>NC_000008.11:38344951-38647981 GCF_000001405.40 Homo sapiens
GTTCAAGTTAAGGAAATCTAATTTAAAAATATATGCAGTTGTGAAACATTAATTTATACACATCTCTAGCTTAGCAAAAGCATGACATTAACGATAGGCAAGAGCTGTGGGAGCTCTGGCTTTGAAGGTCTGTGGTCAGAATGGACTACAACTTCTACAACTGCCCCCGTGTGTGATACAGTTCCAATTAATCAAAATTCAATTAACAAGAACTTACCTCTTTACTTCTTTGAAGGAAGGGAAGAAAGAAGGGGTGAGAGGGAGAGGGAGAGAGAGAGAGGAGAGAGGCAGAGAAGAAGGGAGAGAAGAAGGAAGGAATGGAAGGGGGAAGGGACGAGGGGGTAGGATGGAAAGGGGGAGGAATGGGGCAGAGAGGGGAGCAGGGAGAGGGAGGGAGAGGAAGAGGGGGAGAAGGAGACAGGGAGAGAGGGAGAGAGAGAGAGAACGAACAAGAAAAAAACCTGGATTTCCCCCCAAGACTCGACTTTCAGGCAATGCTCCTAGTAATATTCCAGGCAGTCAATGCCACTTTCTCCAGCTATACTTTTGGTCAAGTTGATATTCCTTTATCCCAAGCTATTGTAAGATCCTAAACAATCAAATAGTAAATTTTGCTCATCATGATTCAATAAAAGGGAAAATGAATTAAAACCCTTAAATTAAAATCTAAACATCTGGGCCAGGCGCAGTGGCTCACGCCTGTAATCCCGGCACTTTGAGAGGCCAAGGCAGGTGGATCACCTGAGGTCGGGAGTTTGAGACCAGCCTGACTAACATGACCCTGTCTCTACTTGAAAAAAAAAAAAAAATTAGCCAGGCGTGGTGGTATGCCTGTAGTCCCCAGCTACTCGGGAGGCTGAGGCAGGAGAATTGCTTGAACCCTGGAGGCGGAGGTTGCGGTGAGCCAAGATTGCACCACTGCACTCCAGCATGGACAATAAGAGTGAAACTCCGTCTCAAAAACAATAAAATAAAATAAAATCTAAACATTCTAATCCTGAGCTATAATAGTTAACTGAAGGTTTAGGTGATATAAAGAACTAGGTATAGCAGACATCTAACAGAGACAGAACTGGTTTTAGAATCTCATTGCAAAATGACTACTAGAAACATCACTGATTACTCTTTATCTCATTACCCAGTTTTATTGTCTTCATAGCATCTAAAGCTATGAGAACTTATGTACACACATATACATATATGTATGCATATGTATGTATATATGTATATATACATATATGTATATACATACCTATGTATTATGTATATATGCATATGTATATGTGTGTACATAAGTTAGCTTTAGATGCTATGAAGACTATGTATATATACATATATAGTATATAGTATATATAGTATATGTATATGTATATATGTATATACACATGTATATAGTATATATAGTATATGTATATATGTATATATATGTATATATAAATATATATTGTATATATGTATATATGTGTATATATATATGTATATGTGTGTGTATTTTCTGGCTCCCCTCACTAGAATATAAGCATCCTGAGAGCAGGCATCTCTACTTTTCATTCATTGTCATACCTTTAAGTCTTAGATCATTGCCTAGCACACAGTAGGAGGAGCATTTCACCAACATTTGTTAATGAATAAATAAGAAAACTATAAAAAGTGAGAAAACATGTTGAAATGTCACACTGGGACTTGTGAGAGTCTAGAAGCATTGTGACCTTTACTCCAGAAAAACATCACATGTGAGTTGTATGAAGTAATAGAAGCCAGCTACCAAGGAAAAGATGAATAGGTAAGAAGTAAACATTTCTTTGAACAGAAAATAAATTAACTTATTCAGGTATAACACATATAAAAGCAGATAGCTGTCATAAAAATAAATATAGTTTTCCCAAGTCAAAGTTTAGAAAACATTTGCAATTTATATTATGAACTCTTCATTTAAGCTAGAATTATGTTACATACTTATTATATTATTGCTAAGCAAATTCACGCTGAAATCTCAGATATTAAAAAATTCAGCAGCATATATCTTAAGTTACCTATAAAGGATGACTTTTATAAAAACTCACCTGAAGTTTTAATCAATATTTATTAATACTAACTCTGATTTTAATAAAAAGATTTCTATTATTTCAGGTTATTTTGTAGCAAACATTAGCAATGAGTGTTAAATCTAAGCTCTACTGGAAAAAGTTGGTCTAAAATAATGAAAACCCAATATAATTAGCTATCTTCTCTTTGCCTTTCCTCTTGATTTTCAAAAACCAACAGTCTATTGTAAGCAAATAAAAATAACCGAGGTCATCAGGACAAAGAAACATAAGCAGAAAGATTCGTTTTACATGTTTTAAAAATATTTCTTAACTAATCATGTCCATTCATATATTCAACAAATACTCAGCACCTATTATAATATTCTGAGCACGTTGCTAGTGATTAAAGAAGTTATCAGACAGATTCATATTTAAAGAGATAAAAACCAAAAAGATCTCTTGAACTTCCAGTAAATGTGAAATATAACAAAATTTTTCAAAACGACTTTTCAACTTACATTTTGTTCCTCTGGTTCTAATTTGGGGATTTTGTGTGACTTGCGCTCTTCAGATCTTGATGAGTCATGCTTGTTGCTTTTTTTCCTCTTTTCTTTTCTGCTTTCATGCTTTGATTTCGTGTGCTCACTTGCCTGTACTTCATTTAAAAGGTCTCCACAAAGGGAAGACTCAAACAATTCCCTGCCATTCTGGATAGTTTTGGTTATTTTTAGTTTAATTTCAGGTGAGCCAGTCTTCTTTGGAATCACAGTTTGTGGTACCGAAGGAGGAGGTGGTGGCTGTGGAGGGGAAGGTTTTTCCAGAATTTCATGTGGTCTTGTGTTTGGAATTTCTGAATGATAATAGTCAGTGGGGCTAAAGTTTCTAACTGCACCAAAGCCATTGGCTGACCCATTAGGATACTGATTATATGACTGGTATTTGGTTTGAGTTTCATACACACTGATTGATGATGGATACCCATTTGTGAGTGGAGGAAGATCTTCTGTTGTAGCTGGGTACTGAAAGCCTTGCTGCAAAGTAGCTTCATATGGTGTCTGGCCACCATCTTCAGCAATGTCACTGTTGTTATCAAAGGCATCCTCCTGACGGATGTTGGCGGAGTCAATGAGTTGAGGTGGTTGCTGAATTGTGTTTCCCATGATCCCTTGCATGAAAGAGAAAGAGAAATCCATTGTTCTGCTCCAGCATCCTTAACTTTCCCTTTCTCTCATCGGGCCTAAAATTATAAAAGAGGGGATTAGAAGGTGTTACTATTCTCATAGGCTAGAGGCTAATCAACTGAAAAAGGATTAAACTAAAATGTTTTGAACTCAATTTTCATATCCAGATATGCATAGACATTAAATATTTCTAAAACAGATAACTGATATAATTCTGACACAGGGCAAATACCTTTTATCTTCAATGCTTATCTGTTTGAAACTCCTGATTACTTTCACAACAACTGTGGCAACAAGATTTTATCATCACCACCAACACACGAAATAGTTTTGACATTCCTTTTTATTTCCCAAGTTAGAGATCGTCTCAGGTTAAAACTGGTGTTTGCAAAATAAGCAGTGTCCTGACACATATCAATCTGCTTCCATAAGAGCTTCCTTTAAAATCATTCATATTTTGTCCAGTGGTTGTTTTTATTACAAAAATAATAAAATGTTATTGCATTTTTTCTTTTTTTTTGAGACAGAATCTCACTCTGTCACCCAGGCTTGAATGTAGTGGTACAATCATGGCTCACTACAGCCTCAACCTCCCAGGCTCAGGTGATCCTCCCATCTCAGCCTCCCCAGTAGCTGGGACTCAGGCATGCACCACCACGCCCAGCTAATTTTTGTATTTTTTGTAGACAGGGTTTCACTATGTTGCCCAAGCTGGTCTTGAACTCTTGGGCTCAAGCAATCCACCTGCCTCAGCCTCCCAAAGTGCTAGGATTATAGGCGTCAGCCACCACGACTGGCCTGCAAATATTTTAAACACCAAAGTGAAAAGGCCTGTTCCTGTCCCCACTTCATTATTCCCACTCTTCTATGCCAAGACAACCACTATAAACACTTTGATGGGTATACTTTCACATCTTTCTCTACATTTTTACATATAAATTTTTAAAATAGGGCTTATTCTGTGACTTGCTTATTTAACTTAACAATATATCCTAGATATACTTCTACATCAGCATGTATAGACAATTTTCATACATATTCATTCTTTAAATGGTTGCATAGTAAACAAACGTGGTATTTGTATTTAACCATTTATGTACTGATCATCAGTTTCTCACAATTGTTTGATATAATAAATACGTCTGCAGAAAACCTCGTTTATTTTTTACTTATTTTTCTTTTCTTTTCTTTACTCTTTTTTTCAAATAGAGACAGGGTCTTGCTATGTTGCCCAGGTAGGTCTCAAACTCCTGGACTCAAGTAATCCTCCTGCTTCAGCCTCCCAAAGTGCTGAGATTATAGGCATGAGTCACCACGCCTGGCCTGAAACATTCTCTAAACTCTGTTTTTGTGCACATATATATTTCTATAGGACAGATTTGAAATTTTGAGATACTGTAAAATTGTTCTATAGGTTATACTATGTCAATGAACTCTCATACCAATAGTGTGTGCTTCTCTATAGTTGCCAGTATCTACTTATTTTTTTATTGTAATTTCTTTCTTTATATATATATATATATATATATATATGTATTTATTATACTTTAAGTTCTAGGGTACATGTGCACAATGTGCAGGTTTGTTACATATGCATACATGTGCCATGTTGGTGTGCTGCACCTATTAACTCGTCATTTACATTAGGTATATCTCCTAATGCTATCCCTCCCCCCTTTCCCCACCCCACAACAGGCCCCAGTGTGTGACATTCCCCTTCCTGTGTCCAAGTGTTCTCACTGTTCAATTCCCACCTATGAGTGAGAACATACAGTGTTTGGTTTTTTGTCCTTGCAATAGTTTGCTGAGAATGATGGTTTCCAGCTTCATCCATGTCCCTACAAAGGACATGAACTTATCATTTTTTATGGCTGCATAGTATTCCATGGTGTATATGTGCCACATTTTCTTAATCCAATCTATCATTGTTGGACATTCGGGTTGGTTCCAAGTCTTTGCTATTGTGAGTACTGCCGCGATAAACATATGTGTGCGTGTGTCTTTATAGCAGCATCATTTATATTCCTTTGGGTATATACCCAGTAATGGGATGCCTGGGTCAAATGGTATTTCTAGTTCTAGATCCCTGAGGAATCGCCACACTGTCTTCCACAATGGTTGAACTAGTTTGCAGTCCCACCAACAGTGTAAAAGTGTTCCTATTTCTCCACACCCTCTCCAGCACCTGTTGTTTCCTGACTTTTTAATGATTGTCATTCTAACTGGTGTGAGATGATATCTCATTGTAGTTTTGATTTGCATTTGTCTGATGGCCAGTGAAGATGAGCATTTTTTCGTGTGTCTGTTGGCTGCATAAATGTCTTCTTTTGAGACGTATCTGTTCATATCCTTCGCCCACTTTTTGATGGGGTTGTTTTTTTCTTGTAAATATGTTTGACTTTTTTGCCAGTATCTACTTATTTTTAACAAGTGGTATATATAGCAGAAGCATCTGGAGTACTTTTACAAAATGTACGTGGCAGGGTCTGCCTCCTGAAGATTCTAATTGAATAAATCTGGGGTGGGGTCCTGGGCATAAGTTTTTTAAGACTATATCCCCGGTAACTTTGATGCATATTCTTGGTTAGATCATTGCATTATAATCTTTCAATTATTGCACCTCCTCCAGTAGGTGTCCGAAGATGCCTACATTATGTAATAACGTTACAATATAGATAAGTATCTGTTAGAAAATGCTACAAGACCACCCTGCCTTGTCATAAGGTTTGACACGTGCACATCACAGAATAGAAGATTAATGGACAATCCATATAATATTTTGATAATCCAACAAACATTTCTTCTAGAAAGTTCTTTTTTTTTTTTTTTTGAGATGGAGTCTTGCTCTGTCGCCCAGGTTGGAGTACAGTGGTGCAATCTTAGCCCACTGCAAGCGCCGCCTCCCAGGTTCACGCCATTCTCCTGCCTCAGCCTCCCGAATAGCTGGGACTACAGGTGCCCGCCACCATGCCCAGCTATTTTTTTTGTATTTTTTTTTTAGTAGAGACGGGGTTTCACCGTGTTAGCCAGGATGGTCTCGATCTCCTGACCTCGTGATCCGCCCGCCTCAGCCTGCCAAAGTGCTGGGATTACAGGTGTGAGCCACCATGCCTGGCCTCTTCTAGAAAGTTCTAAAGCAGGAAGGACAAACCAGTTTTCACAGCTATATCAACTCTGATGAACTGATTGTAGCTTCCTAGAATACTGTGAAGAAGGATCCTGAGGCCGGGCGCCGTGGCTCACATCTGTAATCCCAGCACTTTGGGAGGCCGAGGTGGGTGGATCACGAGGTCAGGAGTTTGAGACCAGCCTGGCCAATACAGTGAAACCCCGTCTCTGCTAAAAATACAAAAATTAGCTGGGCATGCTGGCAAGTGCCTGTAATCCCAGCTACTTGGGAGGCTGAGGCAGGAGAATTGTTTGAACCCAGGAGGCAGAGGTTGCAGTGAGCAGAGATCGCACCATTGCATTCCAGCCTGGGCAACAGAGTGAGACTCCGTCTCAAAAAAAAAAAAAAAATACTATGCAGCCATAAAAAATGATGAGTTCATGTCCTTTGTAGGGACATGGACGAAGCTGGAAACCATCATTCTCAGCAAACTATCGCAAGGACAAAAAACCAAACACCGCAGGTTCTCACTCATAGGCGGGAATTGAACAATGAGAACACATGGACACAGGAAGGGGAACATCACACACCGGGGCCTGTTGTGGGGTGGGGGGAGTGGGGAGGGATAGCATTAGGAGATATACCTAATGTTAAATGAAGAGTTAATGGGTGCAGCACACCAACATGGCACATGTATACATACGTAACAAACCTGCACATTGTGCACATGTACCCTAAAACTTAAAGTATAATTAAAAAAAAAAAAGGATCCTGAGGCTACATTCCAGTTCGACTCTGTTAATAACAGAATCATTAACAATGCCTATTATTAATAGATTAATAATAGACTGATTAACAGTGTCTACCATCTTGGTTCCAGTAGGATCTGCTGTAATAATAAAACAAATAACCCCAAACAGCAAATGGAAGAGGGAAACAAAGCTGACAATACACTTTTCAAGGTGTATCCAATTATACAGCCACTGTTTCTTCTGCTGTTAGCAAATGGAAATGATTTTGGAAGTCCTAAAATTACAAACAAATGAATAAGACTGCACACAAGAAATTGAACTGTATGTATTGCTTTACATTGGTGGGGGGTGGGAGGGATCCAGAGCGCTCTCATTTTCTTAGTGTCACCTCAGTGTCAGGCACTTTACACATCAGCTCATTTAATAATCACAACTCTGCAAGATAGGGATTGTGATTTCTGGTTCATAGGTAAAAGAAAGTGAGCTTCAGAGGGGCTAGGTGGCCTGCTTAAACCACAAAGTGGGAGAACTTGAATTTGGATCTAGGCATGTCTGACTCTGAAGTCCATGTTGTTTTTGTTTGTTTGTTTGTTTGTTTGTTTTGAGATAGGGTCTCACTCTGTTGCCCAGGCTGGAGTGCAGAAACACACAATCACAGCTCACCGCAGCCTTGACTTCCTGGGTTCAGATGATTCTCTCACCTCAGGCTCCCAAGTAGCTGGGACTACAGGCATGCGCCACACCTGGCTAATTTTTTGTATTTTTTATAGAGATGGAGTTTCACTATGTTGCCCAGGCTGATCTCGAGCTCCTGATGTCCATGATTTTTACTACTGTATCACTTCTGTTTCCCTCAGCTATCAGTTCTGGGAAAAGAATTCTTTTGTTCAGGTACTTTATTCCTTCGTCACTACCAAAATCACAAATATTCTAATAACCACCATTAACACTTACATAGCACTTTGCATATGCCAGGCACCATTCTAAGTGCTTGACATAAGTACTACGTTTAATCCTCCCAACAACATTCATGTAGCTATTATCTCCTATTATACATAGGGAAATAGAGGCACAGAGAAGTTAAATGACTTGCTCAAGTGCACATGGCTAAGATTCAACCCAAGATTCACCCAGGCTGGAGTGCAGTGGCACGATCTTGGCTCACTGCAAAAAAACCGCAGTTCCAGGGTCTGTGCTCTTGATTAGCATACCATATTTACTGACAATGTTTAACAACTGAAACATTACCTTAATTTAACTTTTGGCAAAAATGTATAGCTCACAGCAACAGACATAAGAAGGAAATGTTTAAAAATTCTGTTAACAAGCATGGACCAACTACACAGGCAGAATTCAAAAGTTCTCATTTATACTTCCAACTTGAAGGCAAGTCAAATAATGACATCTAACAAGATGCAACCTGTGTTTTTGGTTCTTGTAACTGTTGTATACAAGATCAGCTTCCAGATTCGCCTCCCAAATTATAGTCTTCAGGGTTTTTCAGGCATATGTATTCAGAGACTGAGATTTCTGATGCTTTTGATTGAGTTTCAAACACAAAAAGTTTTATATTTTCCCCTTTTCCTGTCTTCTCTAGCCCTAACTCCAAATATTTCATTTTAGTCTGAACTAAGAAAATAACATTACCTTCTTATAATTACACAGGAGTCCATGGAGTGAACACATATACATTTGTATCACAGAGTGTTTTCATATACATTTGTATTTGATCCTCAAAACAACTCTGTCAGACTGACAGGGCAAGGTGTGCATTAACTTCATTTTTTAGGTAACCACATAGAACACTTCAAATACTGACTTTCCAAGACCACAAAGCTAATTAGTGATAAAGCTTGAAAAATAATCAGTCTCCTGATTTCTAATCCTGTGCTCTTTTTCACAACATCCTACCGCCAGAGAATAACCAACTACTTAAGGACAACTACACTAAACGCTAAAGGTCATTAGTCCAAAACTGAATGCACTGTCCTTTTCCTAGTGCAATGTCCCTTTCAGACTACCCCAGTCTGTCATTGCTTCCACCACTTTTCTAGCTTCCCAGACTAGAAATCTCAGGCTCACAGGTGATTGATTCTTCCCTCTTTGTTAAGCCATAAAACCAGTCATTTAGCAAATCTCGCATTTTCTTCCTTTGAAGTATTCTTCCCAGTGCTTAGACCGAATCTAAAGTGAGGAAATAATCAGACAAATCCAAAATGGGGGATATTCTCCCAGACAACTGGCCTGGGCTCTTCAAAGAGGCTAATGTCTAAAACAAATGAAAGGTGGAAAGACTATTCTAGATTAAAAGAGACAAGATTTATCAACCTAATACAATGCATGAACTTTGATTAAATCCTGGATTTAAATACACACAAACACAAAGATTAAACAGATATTGTGGAGACAACTAAAGAATTTTAAAATATGAACTGGCTTTAAACAATGGAGCTATTAATTTCAAGGTTCTGATAATGCTATTCTGTTTATATACGAGAATGTTCTCATTCTTAGGAGAGCTATGCTGAAATATGTGATAAAGTGTCATGGTATCTACAACTTTCAAATGGTTGAGGATTTTAAAAAAGGTATATATACCTAGAGTAAAGCAAATGAGACAAAATTTTAACAACTGGCGAATCTAGGTGTTGAATGTAATATTCTTTTAACTTTTCTAAAGGTTTGAAAATTTTTAAACTGAAAAGTTCGGGGAAAAAAAAAACAAATGATTTGGCTAGTGTTTGGAAGAAGTACTAAAAATAAAAAGCTACAGGTACCTAAAGTGGTATAAGCCTCCATTAAATTCTGGTGCCATGTTCTAAGCAAACAAGCTAAAGGGGCCACATTGTTATATTTTCTAGAAACCGTAAGCATTAAGAGGGCCATACTTCTTCATATTATGCCTCCAAATAATACAACAATGCAATCAAGAAAGCAGTTTTGGTAGTTCATAAAAACAGATATTTTGGGACTACATGTAAATTTCTTTACATAGTGATTTTTATGGGCAGCGGAGTCTGGCGGCCAGCCTTCACGCAGCAGACACACCAACTGATAAAATGGTTAAGACCTTACTAGATTAGGGGGCTCTACTGAGCACTGTGCTTGAGAGTGCAGGTTCAGAATCAAACTAAGTTCAAAAGCATACTTCAAGTCCTGCTGGCTGTGTGACTTCAGGCAACTTATTCAGCATCTCTAATCCTCAGTTTCCTTAGCCAGAAATTGTGGATACCTGCAATTGTGTACCTTGTACAGGGCTGCCGTAAGAATTAAGAGTTAATCCATGAACAGCACTTAAGACAGTGCCTGGCATACAGTTAGAGCCTGGCCACTTGTTGGCTATTATTATCATTCATTGCAATGCTGGGCATACAGAACTGCTAAAAAGTTAAAAAAAAAAAAAAATCACTGACCTAAAGGTACTTTCAATCTCTTTAGCAAGATAATGTAAGATTTTGTGAGTAAGACACATAAAATAGTAGCAAACAATGTGAAACAGAAGATGACTAAGAATTGAATTGTGTTACTACTACAATTATAACAGACATCTAAGGAGAAGAAAAATGCTGGGCAAGGAGGCATTTAGGCCATGAGAAACAAGTAGGATGTGGAAGTAAGGTGTTCTTCACACATTGCTTTTCAAATTACTTGGTACAGGCCATCAGAAATTCTTAAACCTTTGTCCTAAATAAATCCCTGATAAAGATAATGTGTTCAATTTATTTTTAAAGCAATAATTTTAATGGCTAACATTTGAGAGCTTAGTGTCAATACTATTCTAAACATTTTACATTTGTTATATTATTTTACTTCACAGAACACCCCTTTGAGGAAATACTATTACTATCCCATTTTACAAATGAAAAATCAAGGCCAGTATGATCAAATAACTTGCCATAGTCTGAGATCAAGTAAATGGAGGGTTCAAACACACACTCTGTTCCACAGCATTGGCTCTTAACAAGTAAGCTTACTTCCCACAATCCCTAAATATGTAAACAACAACAGAACCTCACTTCACCCTTCTCCACTCCCACTCCCCAGAGTTAACTAACAATTTGGTGGGAGACTAAATAATTGTACTAATCTATCCATTCTAATATGTACTTTCAAGTAAATGAAATCACCACACAAAAACATTTCTGATAAATTCATCCTCTGAACAATGTTTCTAGGCTAATTTTTTAAAAAAGATAAATCAATCAATGAATACTTCTAATTTTGCTGAAACTATACAGTTTTAAATAAGCAAAAAAAAGTTGAAAATTATCAATCAAAGCTTTAGTGCTCTTATTATTTACCAACTTATTCATGGTGGTGGGGGATGGTGGGCTGATAATAGAAAAGTTTATAGAATCCTTAAGCCAAATCACAGATACAGAGTTGAAAAAAACAAAAACAGGAAAAGAAATCAAGCCAGGCATGGTGGCTCATGCCTGCAATCCCAGCTCCTTAGGAGGCTGAAGTAGAGGGCCTGTTTGAGGCCAGGCATTCAAGACCAGCCTGGGTGACACAGTAAAACTCTTTCTCTAAAATAAAAAAAAGAGCAAGAGGGAGAAAGAAAGAAATCATGTTACGTGTTTCAGATGAACAACTTGAGCCTATAAATATCAATTAAGTATTCATAATGTGCTAAATTTATAGTTTAAGTCACTATAACAAATTCATAAACAATTATTTCTGTGGAATGTATTGCTAGATTCTACTCTATAGAATTACATGTTGTGCTGTATATATTCTTTTTTTCTATGTTTAAAATGCCAGTCTCTTCTCAATAATAGAAACTTTATATTTAATTATACTTAAAAATTCCTTAGGCTGGGAGCAGTGGCTTATGCTTGTAATCCCAGCACTTTGGGAGGGTGAGGTGGGTAGATCAACTGAGATCAGGAGTTTGAGACCAGCCTGGCTAATATGGCGAAACCCCGTCTCTACTAAAAATACAAAAATTAGCCAGGCATGGTGGTACACGCCGGTAATCCCAGCTACTTGGGAAGGTGAGGCAGGAGAATTGCTTGAATCTGGGAGGCGGAGGTTGCAGTGAGCCAAGATCACACCACTGCACTCCAGCCTGGGTGACAAAGCAAGACACCATCTCAAAAAAAAAAAAAAAAAAAAAAAAAAAATCCTTACATTGATATCATTATTTAAGCATTTTGGAATTAGAAGTGGTTTTAAGATGTCATATAAATTGTCTATTTCTGTTTTCAGACACAGCTACTCTACAAATACATTCCTAGGTTAATCTGTAAATCAAACCACAACACTCTATTGATTAAAATCCTTCAATGGTTTCCCATTGCCCAGAAAAAGGCCAAGCACTTAGACTGACAGATCATATAAGGCCCTCCAAGCAAGGTCGCTAACCTACCTCTTCAACCTCAAGTCATTTTTGTACTCTAGTAATATAAAATCACTGGAAATTTCTCTGCACACCATGATTTCACTCCTCTGTGCCTTTACTAATATTATATCCTATCCATAATATACCCTTTTCCTTTTTTATTTTTTTTGCTTGACTCTTAACCATCTTTTGAGCTCAGAATGTCATTTCCAAGAAGTAGTCACTTAAGCTCTAAGTTAGTCTGAGTAACTTTCCTCTGTGTTCTAAGATATTCTATGCGTGCCTCTCAGAATTAACCATAAAATGATCTGTTTATGTGAGTTTTCTTAAGAGCAGGAAGTAATGTTATTCCCATATATGCTCTTGGAACCTAACTCAAAGGCTCAGAGGAGGGGCTTCAATGAATCTTTTAAACTAAACTACATAAACTTAAAGAAGTTATTTTATATAAATGAAATGCTTCACAGAGCTGCTGTGGGTCTTTGCATGGAGGTAGTAACAGAATATAAAAGCAGTTACAGTCTCCTCAGGTAATATCCTTGGTAAAATGAGACTAACAACTTAGCTCACTTAGATGTCACTGAGATTCTCTTTAGTTCTAGACTTAACTTTCATGAAGGTTTAAAGTTCCAAGAGACTGGAATGAAGTCAAATAAACTTCCAGAGGGAGTGTTAACCCAACCAAAGACCAAAATATATTAAAAAAAGAAACTCATATGTATATATATATTTAAAACCTTATTAATGTAGGTCTGAAATTCAGAATGTAGAAGCTCTCAAAATACAATTGTCATAGTTGTAGTTAACTGAATCAGCATGAAAATCAATCTATTTTCCAAAGTTGTTCTAGTAAACATAATCAATCATACTATAAAACAAAGTATACTTGATAGATGTACATGAGAATTTTTACAGCTAGAAAAAAATGGTGGAATATAATATGATTTTCACAACACAGAGGAAGACGGTGGTCTTCCTTCACCCCAGGATAAACAAGGGATCCAGATGTTTCTTTATATGAACTGTTGCAAGGAATATTTCTCAAGGTTTATGATAAATCCACACTCAATGTGTTTCCATAGTAACAGGAATGGAGTACATGCAGACAGTCTACAGTAATGAACCAGCTATGCTGGTTCTTGAAAACCTAGCATGTTTGGCAATTTATGCAGCAAAAACATTATTTAAAAAAATTTTTTTTAAGATACATAATGTTAAAAAACTAGAGGGTCATTTTGTTTTAAACGCAGTACATAAAGACAAGCTTAAGCATAGATTCTGTGAAGTATAAAGAGAAAGCTATCAAATATATTCATATACTAATTTCTAACTGAATGATCACTTAATGTTTCAGTGATCCTGTATTTGGATCCTGTCTTTGAAATCAATTTAATATGTACATACACGCAAAGCCCCCCTAAAAACATCTTCTGAATGTGACTCACATTTGATCACAGAATATAAAGATCTCCGGGTGACAGCATCAAGGGAGATTCTCGTTTTACAATTTTTCCCCAAATTGACACCAAGAAGTAAATGGGGGGAAAGGAACAGTTAATTTTTTTTTTAATATGCTCCATTATTTTCAGTATATGGGTTTGGTAGGGTGAAACCAGAAACTCTACAAAGAAAAAATGCGTAACTATAGAAGATGCTAAAATCCTCTAATGTCAGTTTTTAAAAAAGACTCCATTCTTTCTGGTTCTGTGTTCTACTAATATTTTAATCTAAATATATGATCAGAGTAACCCTTTGACTATAAGTTATAAATTCTGGTATTGCCCATTTAGGTTTTCATAATTAAAAAATTTTTAGTAATACAGTAACAAATGTGTATTGTTTAAAAATAATGGAGGTAAGTTTTTAATGCTATTTATTGTGAAACTGCAAGCCCCTCATCCCTTTTTGAAGTAGTACATACATATTTTTAAAGGACCCAAACACATACCTTTAGAAATCAGCAAAACCAAACTGCTATGAAGTATGAACAGAAGCAAAAGTCAATTTCTACCCTAAGGACAGGGCACAAATTACACTAAAAATCAATATTCTTCCTTTGAAAGCCATGAGTCCTTTCTAATCACATTTTAACTTCACCCTCACCCCACACATACACAAGAAAAAGCAGAGATGTGGGTGTGGACTTCTGGAGGAAACAAAAAGTAAAAACCAACCACCTGGTTCTAAGAACTTGACCACGCCCCTATGGTACCAAAAAGGAAATGAACAAAAATGTTTGTCTTTTATTCACTGAAAGCAGCTAGAATCGATAGGATCTAATCTAGCCCTCACTACAGACAAAAGCAATAACCAAATTTGGTACAGTGACTATACAACTCAATGTTAACTTTCAAACAAAACGGATCCTGCTTGAAAATGTTTTGTCAAGGAAATAAAAATGAAATTACAAATGCAAGTGATTGTTCTATTTGTCTTTAGATTATTTTATCCTTTGAGGGAACAAACACCATCTATAAAATAGATCTCACTATTTCATCCACAAACAAAATACAGTGCTTTTAGTGGCATCCAAGTGTTATACAGTTGGCAGTTACAGTTATCCAAAAAGTTTGAACCACGATAGTACAAATGCAAATTATTTCTCACTAAAATGTGGGCATTTCCTCTCAAACAATTTTTTTTTTTTTTTTGAGACGGTCTCACTATATCACTGAGGCTGGAGTGCAGTGGTGCAATCACAGCTCATGGCAGCCTCAACTTCCTGGGCTCAGGTGATTCTCCCACCTCAGCCTCCCAAGTAGCTGGGACTATGGGCGTGCACCACCATGCCTGGCTAATTTTTAAAATTTGTTGTAGAGACAGGGTTTTGCCATGTTGCCCAGGCTGGTCTTGAACTCTTGGACTCAAGCAATCCTCCCACTTTGGCTGGGATTACAGCCATGAGCCACTGTGCCAGTCCAAATAATTTCTTAAATTCCCATGGTAATGCATATACTTGGACTTCTCAGATTCAAAGGCCATTATATATTAATTGTATAAGCACTTAACACATTTTTAGTTCTCCTATAGCTTTTTTAATGAAAACTTGAGGATGTCAAAATTATGAGGTTTGAAAAGACTGCTGGTCAAACTCTGAATCATTTAAAGAGGTTTACTACCATTCTGGTTGAGGCTGACTCTTTCAAAGTTTAAGGCTATGATTTAGGGGAAAACATTTTCCTGTACTACTTTTCAGCAGTTATACTAATAAAACATCAATTCTCCAAATGACAAAAAGGGCTTACAGCATTTTAGTATGTAAAACAAATGTTCTATATTAGTAAACCTTATCTGTATATCTTGACTTAAAGGTACTTTCCATGGTAGCCTTTTAGAAAGAACTCTAAGCTGCTGACTAATTTCTGGGTTAAACTGGAAAATCTGCTTGCTTAAAAAAAAAATTTGGGAAAAATACATTCCCTTTATATTTTCATGTAATTTTACTCACTTTCCTCCAAGACGTGAAGCAAATTATGCCATTTTTGTATAATTACTAACAACATGCATCCAAAACAAAGTAGTCTAGCTCCATCTATATATAATAAACTCAAGATGTATCAACAGAAGTTACCCTTCCAGAACAGGACTTGTTATATGACATTTAGTTATTAAATAACGAAGCAAAAGCATAAGAAGGACCACTCTTTTCAATAAATGAAGGAGAAATAATTTTTTTTTTGAGACAGAGTCTCACTCTGTCACCCAGGCTGCAGTGCAGCGGCACAATCTTGGCTCACTGCAACCTCCGCCTCCCGAGTAGCTGGGATTACAGGCACGCGCCACCAAGCCCAGCTAATTTTTGTATTATTAGTAGAGACGGGGTTTCACCATGTTGGCCAGGCTGGTCTCAAACTCCTGACTTCAAGTGATCCACCCACCTTGGCCTCCCAAAGTGCTGGGATTACAGTTGTGAGCCACCACGCCCAGCCTAATTTTGCTATTTTTAGCACAGACAGGGTTTCACCGTGTTGGCCAGACTGGTCTCCAACTCCTGGCCTCAAGCAAGCCGCCTGCCTTGGCCTCCCAAAGTGCTAGGCTTATAGGCACTGCTCCCGGCCAGAAATAAATTATGTTTGATACTTGAACAATAAAAACAAAAGACAGAAAGGGGCCGGGCGCGGTGGCTCACACCTGTAATCCCAGCACTTTGGGAGGCCGAGGCGGGCGGATCACGAGGTCAGGAGATCGAGACCATCCTGGCTAACACGGTGAAACCCCGTCTCTACTAAAAATACAAAAAGTTAGCCAGGCGTGGTGGCGTGCGCCTGTAGTCCCAGCTATTCAGGAGGCTGAGGCAGGAGAATGGAGTGAACCTGGGAGGCGGAGCTTGCAGTGAGCCAAGATCGCGCCACTGCGCTCCAGCCTGGGCTACAGAGCGAGACTCCGTCTCAAAAAAAAAAAAAAAAAAAAAAAAAGACAGAAAGGGACAAGTGTCCTGGATGACAAAGGAAAATATCCAGGGTTGAGAAGCTGGGGGTGTGACGACGGGGAGAGAGGATGCAGGGGACCTCAGGCATTTTTGGCTTAGGAAACAAGTTCTAACCTGTAGTGGAAGAGAGAGGAGCTCCTTTCCAAAGACCTATTATAAACCAGTACCTAAAGACTTCCATTGAGAACCTTCTTGGCTTCTTAATATCACAGGTTTCAAATGATCTAGATTTTTAGAAGGGCTTTTCTTCATATGTTGCAAAACCAAATTATAAGTATTTAATGAAAGCACACTATAAAATTCCAGGAAATAAAAACAACTTAGATGCCAGAGAATATGGACAGACTGAAAGTTACAGGACATGAAACTAGTTCATCCTTGAATTCCCAGAGCCAACTATAGTGCCTGGCACATTATCAATAAACAAATCAATCCAAAACAGAATAGAGTATTACAGTAAGGCGGGGGGGGGGGGGGGGGCACAAGATTGGATTAACAATTTAAAAAGCTTAATATGTGCTAATACCATTAAGCAGTATTATTGAAATATCACAGGCTGTTTTTTAATGGCATGGATTTTGAACTGAGAGTACAGATTTGCTTCTTCCTTCCTAAGAAAGACCTCATAAATGTAACGTCACTCAGAGGAAAACAGAAAAAAAATTTGCCCCAATTATTTTTAAACTTTTTAAAAAGTTTAGTATGTAATTTTTTAATTTTAGCAAGTAATCTTTTCATTGGAAAATTAAAATTAGATATTTTATTAAGTGCTCAAAATACGAGTGTAAGTACATCATCCAAAAGAGTCACGACTTGTCAAGAATTTTTTTCCAAGAAACTTTAAACATTTACATAACCACATTAAATATGCTCTACCATGAATCTAATAATAATTCTACAAGCATATATAAACAATTGACAACATATTGTGATTCATATTTTCCTAAACAGTGGGATATTATGACACGAAGCTCTGTCTTTTGTATCAGTATACAAAACCTACATTCACTATGAACAGCGTAAGAGAAACTGTCACAACATCATCACTGTAGAACATAACACATGATGAGAATCTGAAACTCTAAAAAAAGACTTCCTTTTTTGTATCATTTATAGACTAATACAAAACCTGTGCTCAACATAAAATCAATTTATTTTGGAATGTCACGAGATATTTAGGTGTCTTTGAGTAACTTCAGTGCTCAGAGAATTGCCAAATGTGCGCTGATAACTGAAGTTCAGATTTATCTTTAGTTTCCAAAGTAAAGTGTGGTAGTGCCTTCAGTCATGGAAAGAAAAACAAAACAAAACTACTTCCGTGTTAACGAAGGTACTGCGTACTTCTACATCTTGCTCACTGCTGTATCCCCATCCCCTAGTATGTGAGGGAAGAAAGCTGCTAAATGAACATAGGAATGGCAGCAAACACAATGCTGCAATGGAGAGATTATCCTATACTATTCAGGTGGACCCAACATAATCACAAGGATCCTTATCATCCTTTTGGTGGGAAGGATCAGAGTCAGAGAGAGATTTGAAGACTGCTGACTTTGAAAATGGAGGAAGAGGGCCGGGCATGGTGGCTTATGCCTGTAATCCCAGCACTTTGGGAGGCAGAGGCGGGGGCTCACTTGAGGTCAGGACTTCGAGAGCAGCCTGGCCAACATGGTGAGACTCTTGTCTGCTAAAAATACAAAAACTAGCTGGGCATGGTGGTGCGTGCCTGTAGTCCCAGCTACTCTGGAGGCTGAGGCAGGAGAATCACTTGAACCTGAGAGGCAGAGGTTGCCATGAGCTGAGATTGCACCTGCACTCTAGCCTGGGTAACAGAGTGAGACTCCGTCTCAAAAAAAAAAAAAAAAAAAAAAAAGGGAAGGAAACAGCTAGATAAATCAAGGTAACAGTTTCTCTCCTAGAGCCTCCAGAAGGAACGCACCTCTGCCGCTGACACCTTGATTTTAGTCCCATGTCAGACATCAAGAAATGTAAAAGAATAAATCTGTGTCGTTTTAAGCCATTAAGTTTGTTGTAATTTGTTACAGCAGCAACAAGGGTTTTTCTGAAAGCCTTTCCACTCACTTGGTTGTCTTCAGTTTCAGGAGCATCCCTATAAACAGAAGGAGGGGAATCCTTAGATTCATTAACCTAAGATTTGGTGTACCCAAAATAGAAATATCACTTAAAAAAGAAGTCTTAGGCTAGGCGCGGTGGCTCATGCCTGTAATCCCAGCACTTTGCGAGTCCAAGGTGGGTGGATCACTTTGAGGTCAGGAGTTCGAGGTCAGCCTGGCCAACCTGGTGAAACCCCGTGTCTACTAAAAATACAAAAAAAAATTAGCCAGGCATGGTGATGCGCGTCTGTAGTCCCAGCTACTCAGGGGGCTGAGGTGGGACGATCGCTTGAACCTGGGAGGTGGAGGTTGCAGTGAGCCAAGATCGTGCCACTGCACTCCAGCCTGGGTGACAGAGCAAGACTCCGTCTCAAACAACAACAACAACAACAACAACAACAACAACAACAGAAGTCTTGCCCCATTACAACATAAATAGTTTTATCTATAGATACAGGCATGATGATGTGACCTACAATTTGTCCCTGGACAACCAGGAAAAGCCATTAGATTTTAATTGCTGGTAGGGTGTTACTGTCATCTCTCACATAAGCAGAAGAAATGGAAAGAATTTCTCCCATTTCATTGGCACAGCTGCCGCAGCTTTCTATACTCTGGAGTTTACTCTCATTCTAGGGGTAGACCTGATACAAATAACAAAATGGCAGTCAAGCCACTACTATGCATGACATAATAAAATGCTATGGGTCCTTTTACTACTAAAACACCTATTTAAGATTTTCCATTTCTGACAACCAAAATCTCTGGGCCACATTGAATTTTGTGGCTGATTTTCATAAAAATATATAGGGAGAAAGAAAACTTGTAGTAATAAAGACAGCACTATAGTAAGAATCATTTTTTAAAGTCTTGTTAATTTAAACATATAATAGTCACAGTTTTAAGAAAAGCCCCTCATAGCCATCACAAAGAATTATATTAATCCAACAATTTTTCTAAAGAGTAATCACTAGGTGGAAATTTATTTTGTAAAGATAAATAATGTGCAAGTTTCCTAAATAAACAGACTTTCATTCACATTTTAAAACACTACTCAAGAACAGGCATTTGAGTAAATCCCATAACCTCTGTTTTCCCAAATAAATGAGACTGACTAGTCAAAAACTGACCACGGAAATATTTTCTCATGTTTGTTTCCCTTTTCCAGCTCCATGAGGCAGATAGAATTTATTTAGTATATATTGTATGTCTGGACAAAAGTTTTGTTTTTAATTGAGTTCGCAGAGAAACATTTCTATACAAAATTAAACTAACCAGCTTGAATCACCCACACCAACACTGCCAAGATAAGCAAAAGCTGAGTCTCACCTTGCCTATTCCCAGACTCCAAGTGCCATGTTATATATCTTTCTCCTTGTAGAGTCTTATTTTTGTTTTTGTCTGTGATGTGGTTCACTACTGAACACTAACTATGTACCAGACCCTGTTCTAGATCTTGGGAAATCCAAAGAAATAAGATTCTAGTCTCATGGAGCTAAAATAAACATGGAAATTTCAGATAGTGATATGCTACTATAAAACAGGGTAATACAATACAGGGACGGGGGGCTGGATTCTTTTCTTTGAAGACGGAGTCTCGCTCTGTCACCCAAGCTGGAGTACACTAGCACGATCTCAGCTCACTGCAACCTCTGCCTCCCAGGTTCAAGCGATTCTCCTGCCTCAGCCACCAGAGTAGCTGCAATTACAGGTGCCCGCCATCATGCCTGGCTAATTTTTGTATTTTTAGTAGAGACGGGGTTTCCGCATGTTGGCCAGGCTGGTCTCGAACTCCTGACCTCAAGTGCTGGCATTACAGGTGTGAGCCACCGCACCCGGCTTAGATTCTTATTAAAAAACTAATGAAACCAAAACCAGGAATCAGTCATATAGAGAGGCTGGAAAAAGACAAGGAAAAAGATGATCATCAGGTACTTTTATTTCCTTTGACGTTCACTCTGTTTCAGAGGCTTCTGAGTTATGGCTATAGTAAAAAGATTTAAATTACGGTTTACTCAAGTATTCCATGTAGTATAAAGTTTAAATCTTAAATGTTATGTAAACATAACTGATCCAAAATATACTGAAATGGAACTCTCGGGAGGCTGAGGCATGAGAATCATTTGAACCTGGGAGGCGAAGGTTGCAGTGGGCCAAGATCGCACCTCTGCACGCCAGTCTGGGTGATAGTGTGAGACTCTGTCTCAAAAAAAAAAAAAAAAAAAAAAGCTGAAATGAAGGCAATGCATTCTGTATTTAAATCATTTTGTTGGTCGGCAATCTATAGTCTGCTAGTAATTGCACTGATTAAAAGACTTTTAAAATATTCCAGCTTTCAAACAACTATTACTGATAAGTTATAGTTATCTTTCTTTGCCATGAAGAATTTATTTACCATCTAACGTAGCAAACACACTGGAAAAATGAGATTTTAAACATCTAGCCCACAAAAACACACAAATATAGTAATCACAAGGCAAAGAATGTACAATTATGTTCACATCTACTTAATTCTTTTTTTTTTTTTTTTGAGATAGAGTCTCTGTCGTCGCCAGGCTGGAGTGCAATGGTATGATCTCAGCTCACTGCAACCTTTGCCTCCTGGGTTCAAGCAATTCTCTGCCTCAGCCTCGTGAGTAGCTGGGACTACAGGCGCCCGCCACCACACCTGGCTAATTTTTGAATTTTTAGTAGAGACGGGGTTTCACCATGTTGGCCAGGATGGTCTTGATCTCTTGACCTCATGATCTGCCCACCTCGGCCTCCCAAAGTGCTGGGATTACAGGTGTGAGCCAACGTGCCCAGCCTATATCTACTTAATTCTTTCCCTTCACTAAGAATAGCTAATTCTGGGCTAACCACACGTAGCTATTTAAATTTAAACAAGTTAAAATTAAATTACATTAAAAATTTAGTTCCTCAGTTACAATGGCCATATTTCAAGCATTCAACATCAACATGTGGCTAAGGTTACCATATTGGTCAGTGCAGATACAGAATATTTCTGTCATCATAGAAAATTCTATTAGACAGTGCTGATCTACATTATTTTTCAAATTTTACCTTAACAAAAACATCCTTTAAAAGCTTATATTAAATAAGAATTATAAATTTTTAAAGAAATCTGTTAATATTACTGTGATGCTAGAAAGAAGTCACATAAGAGGAAGTTCAGCAAATAGATCTCTATGCCAGAGTAAGACAAACTCATATACCTAGGGACAAGCAAAATGTCCACAGAGTAGAAGGATGTACTCTAACATTGGTCTTAGAGTCATAAGACTTGAATTTTAGTTCTGCTTCTACCCCTAACTTAGCTGCATAAATTCCGAGGACAGACAGTATCTTTGGGTTTTCATTTAACATCATAAGAAAGGTTGGATCAGGTGATCCACATATATAAAATGACCACGAAAAATGGGAAAATGAGCTGTGATTCCTCCTATTATCAATACATAAGTGTAGGGCTTGAGTTTTCATTCTGAAAAGAATATATATATATATGTGGTTAAAATACTAACTTTTGGCCAGGTGTGGTGGCTCATGCCTATAATCCCAGCACTTTGGGAGGCCGAGGCAGGCAGATCACTTGAGGTCAGCAGTTCAAGACAAGCCTGGCCAACATGGTGAAACCTTGTCTCTACCAAAAATACAAAAATTAGTTGGGTGTGGTGGTGCATGCCTGTGGTCCCAGCTACTAGGGAGGCTGAGGCAGGAGAATCACTTGAACCCGGGAGGTGGAGGTTGCGGTGAGCTGAGATTGTGCCACTGCACTCCAGCCTGGGTGACAGAGTGAGACTCTGTCTCAAAAAAATAAATAAATAAAAAACTAACTTTAAATCTCATCTATCACCTTAACATTATTTAAGATGACCATTATTTGTAATATCAAACAATTATATGAAATTCACAACCAATACAGTTAGTGACATAGATAGGATTTTAGGGAGTAAAATCAGCATGGCCACGATTCTCTTTACAAAATCCTAGTAAGGAATCAAGGTGTGTTAGAGAAGTTGTATGTTTTCTCTTAACTTTTTTTAAACTTTTCTGAGTTTAAACTATTAATAAAGCAAAATATCTTTTTTTTTTGAGACAGAGATTTGCTCTTGTTGCCCAGGTTGGAGTGCCCTGGCACAATCTCGGCTCACTGCAACCTCTGCCTCCAGGGTTCAAGTGATTCTCCTGCCTCAGCTTCCCAAGTAGCTGGGATTACAGGCATGCACCATCACACCCAGCTAAAGGGGGTTACACCATGTTAGTCAGGCCGGTCTCGAACTCCTGACCTCAGGTGATCCACTCGCCTTGGCCTCCCAAAGTGTTGGGATTACAGGTGTGAGCCACTGCACCAGGCAGCAAATTATCTGTAAAGAATAACTGTGCTACTCCATAATCTGTTTAACTTTAGCGTTGTCACCTCAAATATTTTCTGAAATGTGTTCACTTTAAATTTTCCACTAAAAATTTAGAGAAAGATGTTTAGAGAAGGATGATGATTAAAGACATTAAAATATCCTGAATTAGGAAGTAACCTGCGTGAAGTAGAACTTAGTTAACAAAATACAAAAAAGAAAACAACAACAACAAAAAAGTGTTTCATTTAACCATAAATCCTGTCACTAAATTCAATCATACAGTTTTCACTTGACTATGATTCCATTAAGTTATACAACATTTTAGGTGGCTTTGTAGTTCATATTTTTTTCCTGACTAAACCACATTACTATTGAACTGCCTTTTACCAATACAAAGCTTACTAGTAAAACACCCTGTTTCCCTTATCTATCTAGTTTAACCTCAACTGTCTTCGCTTTGTTGCTGACCACACCCAGCAACAACAGACATGGTATTACCACTTGAAGGAAATTACATTATTTTCCAATCCTTTACAGCAAGGGTAGTTGCTCACAATGAAAATTACTACAAACAACTTTCATCAGTCATCTTGTTCCATTCACTATGAAATCTAGTAAACTAACAAGTTCATCCACATATTTTCTTACCTATTTCCTGGACAAACTTTTAAATTATGGTAAAATGGTTTGAGATTGGTTCTTAAAATTTTGCAAGCATTCAAATTTACTTTCTTTTAGCTTGTATCCTCCATTCCCCCAAAAAAGGCAAAAGAGAATGTATGCCAAAGATGATATGTAGTTTTTAAGGCACTAAGCAATTTATTATATCTAAATAATAATTTACTAAGTTTATCTTTTCTATAAAGACCAGTTTGGGTTTTGTTTTTTTTGTTTATCGCTTTAGTATTTTAGGTTCAACATGTAGTATTTTAGTATTCAACATGTAGTTTTCAAAATAAGTAATAAAAGTTAGAAAATTCAGAATTTCATACTATATATCCAAATTTCACATCACCTGTTTGTTTAATCAGAACACCAAGCTTTAGTGAAGCTTTAGCCATCATGAGTTGTAATAAAACAGTGGAAGTAAAATTGGACTGGAAAGTTAACTTCATGTTCAAACTTGAACCAGCATGAATTCTCTCAACAATTAAGAAAAACTCATATAACCTAGGCAAAGATTCTCTTCAGGTATTAGTTGATGTTCAACTTTTAACTTCTATGAAAGTGAGTTTAGCCAATTGAGTTCAGTTCTTCTTCCATTAAACATGTGACTAAAGACTAGTTCATTTTGTGTACACTATTTTTCTTCTATTAAAAAAGTTATTCATTATCAACTATGTGTCTGGTACAGTTCTACGCACACTCTAGTACTTCTAATTTGAATCCCTGTAACTCCAAGAATAATTTTCATTTGCACTTTTAGAGATAAGAACACTGATCTTCAGTGGTAAAGTGAAGTGGGGATAGGAACTCAGATCTCCTTGACTCTTGCCCTATACTTCACTGCCCTCCCAGTTTTGTTTTTTGTTTTTGTTTTTGTTTTTGTTTTTGAGACAGAGTCTCGCTCTGTTGCCCAGGCTGGAGTGCAGTGGCACGATCTCAGCTCACTGCAACCTCTGCCTTCTGGGTTCAAGCGACTCTCCTGCCTCAGCCTCCTGAGTAGCTGGGACTACACGCGTGCACCACAACACTGGCTAATTTTTGTATTTTTAGTAGACATGGGGTTTCACCATGTTGACCAGGCTGGTCTCAAACTCCTGACCTCAAGTGATCCACCCACCTCGGCCTCCCAAAGTGCTGGGATTACAGGTGTGAGCCACCACGCCCAGCCAGCCCACCCAGTTTTTAAAAAATGTTTTGTTAAACGGCTTAAGCGAACATAACAAAAGAACAACTTTCGGGGGGAAGGTCAATTAGAACAAAGCAAACCTCTCTTAAAAGAAAACCATATTTTCTATAAGGTGATAAGTTTGCTACAGTTAACTGTATAGGTAAAACATACTTTCCACAGATGTTTTCTAAAATAAAGTGTTTCTAAATCAAATTTGAATTTTTTAAAAAAATTTTAAACCATACACAATACTCTCTCAATAAAGACATTCTGACTGTCCAGGAGAATTTTTTTTTTTTTTTTTTGAGACAGAGTCTCGCTCTGTCGCCCAGGCTCAGGAGAATAATTTTATAATTCAAAAAAATATACCTCATATTTTGTTTAATCAGCTTAAGCTTAATATGTCAGGTTTTCTTAAAATGGGACGTAGGAGCATCATCTTCTCATGAAGGACTTTCTAAAATCTCTCTCAAATGCATATAAAGTATATATCACACAAGCTGTTGTGTTCCTGTATACTGTACTACTTTAAATGTTATGAATAAATGCTGTTTTTAAAACAAAACTTTATAATATTGCTGGGTTTAAACTGGTTCAAACCTTTCTGGAAATGTTCTAAAATTGATTGTGGTGATGGTTATATAACCCCGTCAACATACTAAAAGCCACTGCATTGTATACTTTAAATGGATAAATTTTGGGTATGTGAATTATATCTCAATAAAACTATTATTTTAAAAAATCTTTCAAGAGAACAGTTTGGAAATATGTATCAAAAGCTTTCAAAATGTTTATATCTTTTAAGTAATTCTACTTCTAGGAATTTATTGTAATGAAATAATCAGCCATATAATTTTTTTTAATGTATAAGGATGTCCATCAACTTACAATATCCCAAAATTGCAAACTGCCTAAAAGACCTTCAACACAGAATGGTAAACAGATAATAGCACACCTGTACACTGAAATTCTATATTGATTTTTTAAATCACAAACATTTATTTCATAATATATTAAATAATAAAACATATTACAAAATAATATGGATGCACAATTCCAACTATGTAAAAAAAATACATATGAAAAAATATTGGAAGGATATAGAACAAAATATTAATAGTAGTTACTTCTAACTAGTAGAATTTTAGATAATTTTAATTGTCTTTATACCTTCTGGTTTTCAATTTCTCTGTATAAACAATCCTTACATAAATGTTATTTTAAAACTAGTCACTTTGGAGAAGTTCAAGTTTTCCATTAAAAAATAAAAACCAACAGGTGGTAATGACATAGAAACCATGAGGTGAATAAAAGCATATTAACTCTACTGCATACACAAAGCCACATTACCTAATTTATCTTTCTAAAAATATCAAATTATGATTACTTCCACATCTAGGAAAACTCAACATACACGTTCAAGATTTAAAATCGCTATCGCCCATGCAGGGGAAAAATTAGCAAGAAATATATTTAACCTTCAGTGGGAGTAAAAAAGAATAACATGCTATTGCACTACAGAAAAGAATTCAAGGATACAATAAAACAAAGCAAGAAGTTTCTCACCACAATCTAATATGAAATACTATATTCTGATGCATTTGAATCTTGCAGAGATCATACAAAAGGAGACCACTTAGAGTGACAAAATTATAATAACCAAATAAAGGCTTTAATTTATAAAAATGCCTTTCTCAAAGTTCACATGGCAGAGTTGTACGCAAATAGACCGTATTCAGCAGGTACTCAGTGGGAAAAAAGCATTCAAATTTTTCTGCTATCCTAATCCTCAAAAATCAACACTTAACCTTTCCAAATACCTAAGAAAATATTCTTGAAGGCCAGGAAAGCATAATGCAGTTTCTCCAGCTTCAAAAGAAATTTGGTTCTCTTGCCCAAATTACAGAAAAGTTAAAACTCAAGAAGTACCAAGGATGAAGGGTCAAACATAGATTGTCATCACTGATTACTTCTCAGGTTAATACTTTTTGAATGGTTCCAATACTGCAAAAGCAGGAGTGTCAAACTCATTTTTGTTAATTAAGATAGTTAAGCTAAGAAATTAACAATATAGACAAATCGACATTTTCTAAGTAAGTCATTTTAGAGTTTGCATGTTAATTTAAAACCTAATCACTGAATCTTACCAAAAAGTGCAACAGAGATGAACTCTAAACAAACAACATTTTGTATAAAATGGCACTTTCTTACAGGATTCAGTATTATTTTTTGTTATTCATCGGTAAGGTACTAAGATTTCAAATCACTAAACACTGACAATAAATGTTAGAAAGCTACCTTAAAAATATTGTTCAGAGACCCCTTCTGGCAATAACAATTAAAAACTGGTTATTCAGTTTTTATATTCGTTGAACTCGCATGCTTATGAATTCTTCAGGTTCTTTTTTTTTTTTTTTTTGAGACACAGTTTCGCTCTTTCGCCCAGGCTGGCGTGTGAGGTGACGTAATCTCGGCTCATTGCAACCTCCGCCTCCCGGGTTCAAGCGATTCTCCTGGCTCAGCCTCCTGAGTAGCTGGTATTACAGGCGCCTGCCACCACGCCTGGCTAATTTTTGTAGTTTTAGTAGAGACGGGTTTCGCCATGTTGGCCAGGCTGGTCTCCAACTCCTCCCCTCAGGTGCTCCGCCCGCCTCGGCCTCCCAAAGTGCTGGGATTACAGGCATGAGCCACTGCGCCCGGCCGCAGGTTCTTACTATTATTAAAAAAAAAAAAAAAACCACCAGCCGGGCGCGGCGGTTCACGCCTGGCCAATATAGCGAAACCCAGTCTCTACTAAAACTACAAAAATTAGCCGGGTGTGGTGATGGGCACCTGTAGTCGAGCTACTCGGAAGGCTGACGCAGGCGAATCGCTTGAACCCGGGACGCGGAGGTTGCAGTGAGCCGAGATTGCGCCACTGGACCTCCAGCCTGGGCAACACAGCGAGACTCCTCTCAAAAAAAAAAAAAAGAAAGAAAGAAAAAAAGAAAAAAGAAAAACCAAGGACATCAATACATTTTTGTCCCTAAAGTCCAACTACCACCAAAGCAATACCAGCTAAACCAATGAGGTTGTCTCTGCAGCTTTTCTTAAAGGACTTATTACCTGGGTGATAGTTACCCGATGTTCACTTCTTTTTTTTTTTGAGATGGAGAGTCTTGCTTTGTCGCTCAGGCTGGAGTGCAGTGGCGCAATCTTGGCTCTCTACAACCTACGCCTCCCTTGTTCAAGTCATTCTCCTGCCTCAGCCTCCCGAGTAGCTGGGATTACAGGCGTGTGCCACCACGCCTAATTTTTGTATTTTCACTTCCTAATTATTTGTTTATACTGTACATTCAAGTTTTATATGCTTTTTTTTATATTTCACATTTCATAACGTAAAAGGCTTTAAAATGCCTATTTCTTAAAGTTTTTGTTTGTTTTTTACATATAGCTTTCTTAAGCCTCCACAGCTAAGAGAAATTAGATAACATAAGATTCAATAGACACAATATTGTCTTGGCTATGGCCCAAATGCCACTAGGAGTATCTCCATATGATCTTCTTAATCTCAAATCAATTTGATAAACTAATTTTTTTAACCTATGAAATCCCAATAAGCTACCCATTCTTAAATTTAAAACGCCTCCCTATAAGGATCACTTGAGGCCAAGTGTTCAAGGCCAGCCAGGCAACAAAGTGAGACTCCATCTCTACAAAAAAATTTTAAAAAATAGCTAGGGGGACCAGCACAGTGGCTCATGCCTATAATCCCAACACTTTGGGAGGACGAGGTGGGAGGATTGGTTGAGCCCAGGAGCTCAAGACCAGCCTGGGCAACTTGGCAAAACTCTGTCTCTACAAAAAAAAAAAAAAAAAAAAAAAAAGCAAAACTAGCTGGGTGTGGTGGCACACGCCTGTAGTCCCAGCTACTCAGGAGGCTGAGGTGGGAGGATCACCTGAGCCTGGGAAGTTGAGGCTGCAGTGAGCCATGACTGTGCCACTGCACTCCAGCCTAGGTGGTAGAGGAAGACCCTGTCTCAAAAAAAAAAAAATTAGTTGGGCAGGGTGGCACATGTGTGTAGTCATAGCTACTCCAGAGGATGAGGCTAGGAGAACTGCTTGATCCAAGGAGTTCAAGACTGCAATGATCTAGGATCATGCCACTACACTCCAGCCTGGGCAAGAGAGCAAGACCCTGTCTCTAAAAATAAAAAAAATAAATAAATCTATATATCTTAGGAAATATGTATATAACTTACACCAAAATAAGAAAAAGCACACCTATGTAGAAAAATACTTGTTACTTAATATTTAATTATCTATTAGAATGTGGGTAATATAAGCTATGAAGAAAAATCAGGACACACACAGTCTTAATTTGTTTTAAGTAATCATACAGAGCCCGGCGCAGTGGCACCTGCCTGTAGTCCCAGCTACTAGAGAAGCTGAGACATGAAGACTGCTTGAGCCCAAGAGTTTCAGTCCAGCAGAGGCAACAGAGCCAGACCCTGTCTCACAAAAAAAGAGAAAAGATTAATTATACGGAAATCTGAAAATTTTATTCTCCGTAACATGACAGTCTATTTGGCCTGAAGGGGTCTCTGAAATCTTAATTTTCCCATCTTAAGACTGAGTTAAATAATTCTTGCCTGGGCGCAGTGGCTCACGCCTGTAATCCCAGGACTTTGGGAGGCCGAGGTGGATGGATCACGAGGTCAGGAGATCGAGACCATCCTAGCTAACACGGTGAAAACCCATCTCTACTAAAAATACAAAAAATTAGCCGGGCGTGCTGGGGGGCGCCTGTAGTCCCAGCTACTCGGGAGGCTGAGGCAGGAGAATGGCGCGAACACGGGAGGCGGAGCTTGCAGTGAGCCGAGATCGCGCCCCTGCACTCCAGCCTGGGCAACAGAGGGAGACTCTGTCTCGAAAAAAAAATTTAAAAATAAATAAATAAATAATAATTCTTGTGCTTTCTAACTTCACATTTTTAAAAAGCCAAGTTATTCTGTGGGAATTCTACCAAACACCTCAGAAGATGCCACATAAATGTAAGGTATTATTCATGTTTTATCTTTCCATGCTACACATGGCTAAAACTGAAACAGTATGAATATTAACAATTTTCATTTTCCTAGTCACTTGCTCTAAGTAGCCCTAAATGTAGATGGAAAAAAGAACCTAGTAATTAAATATTAGAAGGGGGAAAAGTTATCACTGTAGATCAGTTAATGACGATAAAGATCCACATCTAAAAAAACAAGCTAAGAATACTTTTTCAAAGAGCTTTTTCAAATTCAAAATCTTATCAAAAAAGTTGTGCTTTAGGAGTAACAACACATCCATGTGGTAAAAACTGAACATTCTCTAAGTCCACAAAATTTAAAATATACCTTTACCTTCTTTTCATGCTACACAGTGCAGGTACAACATACTACAGAAGTGTTTAAAGTCTTTATTACATATTTACTAACAGCAACAGTAAAAATGAAAACAAAACTGTAAGCTTTTTAAAAAAAGGTTAGATAATGTTAGTATAAGCAATTTCTTACATTTGTCCTTGTTAATATAACAATATAAGTATAATTATTTATAACTTATAAATATAATTCATAAAAAGATTGGCCTGCAGAAATAAAGTTCACCATTCATTTAAAAACTCAAATGCTGGACATGTTTATTAACAAATAAATGAATCATCTTAGTTGCTTTTTCAAAAAATAATAGACTGCTTTTAAAAAAAAAGTAAAACTAAAAACAGAATTGCATTGAAAAACAGATTTTATGGACAGATGCCAAGTTCTAAGCATTTTTAAAGTTTTAACAATTTTAATTTCTGAAGTATCTACAACAGACAAGACTATCTTTTTGTTTTAAAAGATCCCAATGAATAAGTAACCCATTTTCTTCTTGATAGAAAAAAAAAATTAAATAAAGTAAGCAACAGTCCATGCTAAGATTTTTAACTTGTTTTCAAATAGGGATTTTTAGCTCACTTTAAAATTTTTACCAATGTCTCTATTTTTTTTCCAGGTCCTTTTCTAAGACCATGATGGACCTCTAATTTTTTTCGTTTCATCGCTATCTTATTTTATTGATAATTTTATTCAAACAAGAAAAAGTCCACTAAAATCCACTTCATACAAAAACACACACCTCAAGATAACTTGGACACAATTCATTTTTGCATGTAAAAATATTTTATGCATATATGTTCACAACATGGTGAATAAAATATGAAAAAATACAAGATCTCTTGCCTCACTGCAGCTTACTCCCCTTTAACTCTTTCTACTAAATATACTTAACCTTAAGTTTGCCCCCTCACCTTGAGTTTTCATAGGCAGCTCTAATTCTTTCTTTCTTTTTTTTTTTTTGAGACAAAGTTTTGCTTTTATTGCCCAGGCTGGAGTGCAATGGCGCGACCTCAGCTCACTGCAACCTCTGCCTCCTGGGTTCAAGCGATTCTCCTGCTTCAGCCTCAAGAGTAGCTGGGATTACAGGCGCACACCACCGGGCCCGGCTAATTTTTTGTATTTTTAGTAGAGACGGGGTTTCACCATGTTGGCCAGGTTGGTCTTGAACTCCTGACCTCAGGTGATCCACCCGCCTTGGCCCCGCAAAGTGCTGGGGTTACAGGCGTGAGCCACTGCGCCCGGCCAGGCAGCTCCAATACTTTAAGGAAGTAATAGGTTGTGCTGTAAAGAACCAAGTAACGGGTTTGTCAAAAAAGCCCCAGACTTCACTTCCATAGGCCTCAGTTTTCTCTCTTCTAAAATAAAGTAGTTGTACTATCTCTCTTCCATTTAACAGGCTATTAGGAACTTAATTCAGGACCAACTATTATTTACTTATAATAGCAAAACCTGCTAACAAACTAAATGTTAATCGATGTTTTAAACAATGAAATACTTACAAGACTCTTTAAAAAAAAAAGCTGTGGATCCATATGTACTAATTTTTATTGTTTTTGTTCTTTGTTTTGTTTTGTTTTTGAGACGGAGTCTCGCTTTGCCTACCAGACTGGAGCGCAGTGGTACAATCTCAGCTCAGTGCAACCTCCGCCTCCTGGGTTCAAGCGATTGGCCTGTCTCAGCCTCCGGAGTAGCCGGGATTACAGGCACGCACCACCATGCCCGGCTAATTTTTGTATTTTTAGTAGAGACGGGAGTTTCACCATGCTGGCCAGACTGGTCTCAAACTCCTGACCTCAAGTGATCCTCCTGCCTCAGCCTCCCAAAGTGCGGGAATTACAGACGTGAGCCACCATGCCTGGCCTTGTTTTGTTTTTGAGACGGAATCTCGCTCTGTCATTCAGGCTAGAGTGCGGTGGCGCAATCTCAGCTTACTGCGGCTTTCCCCCTCGGGGTTCAGGCAGTTCTCCCATCTCAGCCTTCCGAGTAGCTGCGATTACAGGCGCCGCCACCACACCTGGCTAATTTTTGTATTTTTAGTAGAGATGGGTGTTTCGTCATGTTGGCCAGACTGGTCTCAAACGCCTGACCTCAAGCAATCCGCCCGCCTCAGCCTCCCTCCCAAAGCGCTGGGATTACAGGCGTGAGCCACTGCGCCCAGCCGTGGATTCATAGGTACTAATTTAAAAAGATGTCCCAGATAGGCTGTTAAAATGAAAAAGTGGCCAGGTGCGGTGGCTCACGCTTGTAATCCCAGCACTTTGGGAAACCTCGTCTCTACTAAAAATACAAAAATTAGCCGGCACGGTGGTGCATGCCTGTAATCCCAGCTACTCGGGAGACTGAGGCAGAAGAACCGCTTGAACCGGGAGGTGAAGTCTGCAGTGAGCCACGATCGCGCCACTGCACTCCAGCCTGGGCAACAACAGCAAAACTATCTCAAAAAACAAACAAAAAAACAAAAAAGCAAAATGCAGATAGTATGATCCATTTGAAAATATTTTAAGAGAAATATACACATACATGCATAGAAGTTTTCCAGAGGGACATACAAGAAACTTCAAGTGGTTATCAGTGGAGAAGAATGCTAACTTTATTTTTTTAACTTCTTAGCCTTCTGTAATATGTGAATATGTGAATAACTTTTTTTTTTTTTGAGACACTCCAACCTGGGCAACAAGAGTGAAACTCCGTGTCAAAACAAACAAACGAACAAACAAACAAACTCCATCTTGGCCGGGCGTGTTGGCTCATGCCTGTAATTCCAGCACTTTGGGAGGCCAAGGTGGGCAGATCACGAGGTCAGGAGTTTGAGACCAGCCTGGCCAACATAGTGAAACCCTGTCTCTACTAAAAAAAATACAAAAATTGGCCGGGCACGGTGGCTCACGCCTGTAATCCCAGGACTTTGGGAGGCCGAGGCGGGTGGATCACGAGGTCAGGAGATCGAGACCATCCTGGCTAACACCGTGAAACCCTGTCTCTACTAAAAAATACAAAAAATTAGCAGGGCGTGGTGGCGGGCGCCTGTAGTCCCAGCTGCTCCAGAGGCTGAGGCAGGAGAATGGTGTGAACCCGAGAGGCGGAGCTTGCAGTGAGCCAAGATCATGCCACTGCACTCCAGCCTGGGTGACAGAGCGAGACTCCGTCTCAAAACAAAAACAAAAACAAAAAAACACAAAAATTAGAAGGGCATGGTGGCGTGTGCCTGTAATCCCAGCTACTCGGGAGGCTAAGGCACGAGAATCACTTGAACCTGGGAGGTGGAGGTTGTATTGAACCGAGATCGCACCATTGCACTCCAGCCTAGACAACAGGAGTGAGACTCCATCTCTCAAAAAAAAAAAAAAAAAAAGTACTAACTTCATAAAACTGTTAGGAGGATAAAAGGAAATCATGCATGTGAGACACTCAGCATAGCACAGTGTGAGGACAACTGTGAGCAGCTATTAGTGGATTATGAATATTATTATAAATTCCAGAAACGCTGTCATTAGAATCAGATTTGACAGTTCACTCAACAATCACCAATCTCAAAGACAGTTTCCTTTATCCAAAACTCATTCAATCTGATCAGTGTAAGAGACGGCATTTGTTAATTTAAGGGTTAGGGAAAAAAAGAAAAAAAAAAGCCAACACAGGTAACAGGTGGGCTGATGGACATATTAATTGGTTATAAGTGTTATTTAACAAGAGTAGGCTTCTTCGTATATGAATACCTGTCCAAGGAACCAGGATACTTATGACAGCTGGGCAGGAACCCTGATCTTTAAAGGATGCTGCATACATAAAAATAAACTTTTTCTTTTTTTTTTTTTTAAGCAATGAAAGCTTCCAACACAAATTTTTCTATTTAATGATTGCTTATTTTCCTAAAAATTTGCAGCACTGATAGCTCATGCACACAATTTACCAGCTAATTACAAATAACATGTCAATCAAGTAGGAGATATAAAACTTAAATTGCCATAAAAATAAATTCCAGAAAAAGCATGCTGAATTTTTTTTTTAATGCAACTGTTCCTCACAGAATTTCAAACAAATTCAGGCTGAATATTATCAAATTAAAATACTACAAGCTGAGAGGGTGCTTTTAGTGTAAAAGCCAGATTTACAAAGTACCACTTTAACAACATTCAATTTCATTTTTCTAACAAACCAAGAATATATCCTAAGCTTCTGTATAACAACTGAGAGGATGTTGCCATTTAGGTAGGTTAAATGTAGTTCAACTGGTTTGAGTCCACCATATTACAATGTTAACAGGCCTTCTTGGTATTAGAGAACAGTTTCAATATCAATGTGATAGGTTAAAGTTTGGATTACTCCAACTGCTATAATAAAAACAAAAGGTCACACACACATTTAATCCAATATGAAATAAAATAGGCTCTACTTAACACCAATGTATGTTCTGTAAATTTGTCAGGATTTAAACCTTAGAATAGTAATTATTTCAAATTGTACAAGTAGTTACAGTTGAATATATTAGTTACTGTAGTTTCCTGAGAGTCAACTGAAGTTTCAATCAAAAAACGAACAAACAAAACAACAACAAAAAAACCCTGGCATCTCAATGAGACTCTAAGAACTGCATGCCTACTTCACAGATCATTGCACTGTGCTGAACTGGCATCTGGAGATTGTATTGAGCCAGCTACATGAAGGCAAAGAGAAGAGATGGGGAAAAGAGAGTTTATTTAAAAAAGAAAATACTATTCTTAACACACTCATCACTTAACACGCTCATCACCTATAAGCAAGAGCTATCAGAAATACTATTTAAAAATACATACATTTCTAATTTTTCAACATTCAAAATACAGCAAGCCGATAATCTACCACAAGCAGAGCTTCCTACCCCTTTCACCCGGACACAGCGCTTTGCCAAGAGCACAGGCCCAAGTAAAATAACCGATGCAATTTCCTTGTTTACTTAAAGAATTGCAGAAAACATGTTGACTGCTTCTGAGGCTTCCGAAACAAACGAATTTTCAATACGTAAAAGACTTCACGATCATGTTTGATATGTAAGCGTAGTAATGATTCCTTCAGCTAGTAAAAATCTAGTTTTAAATTGATTAAATGGGTTAAATTTACACTGCAGCTCATTAGCATACCTTGTTTGCAACCAGAAGGAAGAGGGTAAAGAGAGGGAGAAAAGCATCAAAAAGGTAGTGATGGAAAACATCACTACCTCCTTTGGCGGTTATGAATAATTTAAAATGACCCAAGACGTAAGGGGAAAAGAGTTCATGAATAGAAAGAAAGGGGGCTAACAGTCTGAATTGGCCCCTTCCAGATTCATACTGATGTCGGAGAGGAAAAGGAATTTATTTACACTGCAGTGCCTTGGCAGCAAACATGGCTGCCCCTGCCCCCTTTAAATCGAAATAATCTTCACTCCCTCCCCAAAACCATCAAATTATGGCCATGTCTCTCCCTGCCTCCCTTCCATAACACAAACACATCGCCTTCTCCCTCAAAACAGTAAAACCCACACCTCCCCATTTCACAACAATCACAATCCCATAACCACCAGCTTCTCTATTCTCTAGCCTTGAAAGAAAGACACAGAATACACACAAATACAGGAACAAAAGGCCTCCCTTCCTAACACTTTAACGACCTCCATCCCCTTCTCTTCCTCCCACTCTGACGCTAAGTCGATCGTTCTCATCCCTGTCATCATTCAGTTAATTTCCTTCCCTAGCCCAATCCTGTCTTCCAGTTTCCTGCGTCTATTTCCCATTCTCCTATTGCAGCCTGCCTCATCCCCTTTCCTAATCCACCTTTTCCTTCACTTCCATTCCTCATTTCTCCCTTCATTCCCATAAAATGCCCCATTTCTCCAGCAAATTTATCCCCTTCTCCCAGACTCTTCTGGTTCCTACACTCCATCCCCAAATCTCCCTATTTATCAGTCCACCCAGGTCTGTAATCTCCATGCAACTCTTCTCCCCTTTCCCTGCCCCTCCCCGATCCATCCTTATCCCCGCCCCCATCCCACTTTCCCAATTCCCAGCTCAGCGCCACTCCGACTCCCATCCCACTCCCCACCTCCCCTGGCCCACCCCCCAATTCCCTCCACACCCCCCACCTTGCCATCTGCTCCTCCGTCAGGACTCCCCTCGAGCCCTTTCAGGCCACCCGCTTCCCCTTCCATTCCTCCTGGGGTCTGGCGCTCCATCCCTAGGTCGCCCCCTCCCCGTCGTTCCCTCCTCAGCCCTTCCTAGCACTACACACGCGCGCGCGCGCACACACACACACACACACACACACACATACACACACGCACACGCACTTTACCTTCAGTTTGTTCCATTCTAACCCCCCGGCCGTGTCAGTGCGATCACAGGAGAGACACGGAGGCCCGGAGTGGGGCTGGGGTGCGGGCAGCCGCTGGGGCCGCGCGAGGAGGAGGCGGAACCGAGCTAGGCCGCATGAAATCCCCGGGCTAGATTTTCCCCGCGCCGGACGCCTCTGCCATGGCGGCCGGCACTGAGGAGGGCCACGGCCGGGCCGGGCCGGGCGTGCTGCGGGAAGAGGAAGGCTCGGGAGGTGGGATGGGAAGGGGAGGCCGAGGGACGGGGGTCGCCGCGCCGCCGCTGCTGCCAGAGAGGAGCCTGCGGCTGGCAGCCCGGCCTGGGTAGCACGGTCCTCGGCGCTCGGCTCGGAATTCGCACGCCTCTCCGCGGCGACCTGTGCACAGCCCCCTCGGCCTCCGCCTCCGTGCTGGCCGCCGCCGCCGCCTCTCCCGCCGCCGCCGCGCACAAAGCCCCCCCACCCCGACTCTCGGGGCGCCGCCGCCGCCAAATCCTCAGCCCCTCATTGGCCGCGGGCCGCGGCGCCTGCCGGGAAATGCAGTCCCTGGTTCGGGACGCTGGGGCTCCGGAGGAAGCGGCGAGTCGGCGGGGCGGAGGGGGCGGGAGCGCGAACCAGGAACGCCCGCGGCAGCTAGCGTCTGGACGACTAGGGAGACCGGGCGAGAGGGCCGAGGAACGAGGGACGGGGAGGGACTGTACGTGGGAGAGTGACACACAAAACACCCCGGGAAGCCGGAGGAGGCGTGGAAAGGTGGGGCCCGGGAGGTAAAACTGGGATCGGCGCGTTCAGTGAGGCTGATTAAAGAACAACGCGCAACCAGCGCCATACGGCGCTCCTCAGGGTGACTCGGCTCTCTAGCTCTTAAGGGTTAGAAGCGACCCTCGCACGGTCCCCGGTGGGTCACCGCGCGAGGGCGGGGCAGTCCAGGCGACCCCTCGGCCGTCTCCCGTCCTACGGCTGTCAGGGAAGGGCTCCGGTTCCGGTAGGGTCTGCATTTGGAAAGCCGGGGGCGATGCAAGACCGCCTTGGCGTCGTCTCCCTCTCAGCCCCGGCTGAGCTGTCGGATGGTCCCCCTCCCCCGGTTGCAAGCAGTAGGAGACCCGGCCGGCGGCGCCGGCTCGCCGAGGGAGCGCCTCGACCTCCCCGGCAGGCGCCGGCCCCGCGCGCCTCTTCCTGCTCTGCTGCGGCCCGGAGGCTTGTGGGTAACCGGGAGGACGACGTCAGCGCCCGCCGCATCCCCGGGTGCCCCCCAGCCGCGGGGGACCGCGACGGCTCCGTGACCGTCACGTGCCGGAGGCCGCGGCTGCTCGCGGCCAGACCTTCGCATCGAGGGACGTGAGGGACATTTGTCCTAGAGGGCCCAAGATAAGAACGAGAGGAAGAACCGGGAGGCAACTCTCCGTCATCCTCTAGCCCCCCGCATCCTAGGAAACGTATGGAAAACAATGGAAGGTTAAGTGTGTGCACAGTGATCTGGCCCTGCAGGAGTGTGCCGACCAGGTGATATTTCCTGGGGCCTGGTGATAAGGATTTGGAAGGTTACAGCACAGAGACGTGAACGTAAAAAGGAAACAGAGGCAGCAAGCAAATGAGGAAACCGATACTCTGTTCTGAGAATAAAGCCATTTTACCGCTAGACGTCATACTCTGTAGACGTTATAGTGCTGGATGTCTTTGGTACTATTACAAGAAATTAGATATCTCTATCTTTAAATATCACTTAAGGAAATTAAATGATTTCTACAGATCAGTTATTTAAAAGGGCACTAATTATGAACTATTTTTTTTAAACGTAACCCGGTTAATACTAGATACTGAGAATTATCAGTATTGGCTGGGCGCAGTGGCTCACGCCTGTAATCCCAGCACTTTGGGAGGCCGAGGCAGGCGGATCACGAGGTCCGGAAATCGAGACCATCCTGGCTAAGACGGTGAAACCCCGTCTCTACTAAAAATACAAAAAATTAGCCGGGCGTGGTGGGGGGCGCCTGTAGTCCCAGCTACTCAGGAGGCTGAGGCAGGAGAATGGCGTGAACCCGGGAAGCGGAGCTTGCAGTGAGCCGAGATCGCGCCACTGCACTCCAGCCTGGGCGACACAGAGAGGCTATGTCTCAAAAAAAAAAAAAAAAATCTCATTACTATTAATCATTAAATATTTTTAAACGTATGCTTTAAGTAGTACCACAAGTTACAGCTATCAGTAAAAGCATACTTTTTATTTGTGATATGACATTTTAAAACACAGATGGCCAAAGCGGGCCACCAAGTCTAGCTTAATTCTATCTCCAGGAAAGAGGGATTAAATTGGTCTTTTTTTTTTTTCTATGAGCCTTTCTACCTCCATTCTTCTTTTTCTTCCTCCTGTGTCTTCCTTGCTTTGTTGATAAACTGTTGCCTTGACCCGGCACCTGGGTTTCTCCCTTGAGGAGAATCTAGTAAATTGTCCCCAGGGATCTTATATTAGCCTGTTTCTAATAGCTATGCTGACAGCAAGAGTTTAAAATTGGAGTTATGTGAAGTAGATGCATAGTCTTTTCCTGCAAAACATTACAAAATACAGTTAGTATACTTGATCTGGTGGCATATTTAGGAAAATGGCCATTAAAAATAATAGTTTACATTTTCAGTATCTAACATCTTCTGAGGTTTAGACGATGCTTACTGTTCGCCATAGAAAATGAACAAGGAGCTCATTAAGACAGCAATCTAACACAATTCTCAGGGCCAGAGTCATGGAGGAAAAAATATTTTTTTAAAAATTTCTCTTCTGAAGATTACATACAGAATCTTACATGATAAATCTCTTATCCTGAAAGTCAAAGAAATTGCCAAGTCTCATAACTAGGGAAGACGGACATTACTTTGAACAGATATCTCAATAAGAAGAGTTCTTAGCCCTTCCCTTTTTAGGATAGGATTGCTGACATATGGCCATGGTAGAAAACCTAGCTCATCTTTCAAATACTGGGCATGGAATCGTTCATCTGGTTTATGAATACTTAATGATATTCACTGTGCCTGGTTGTAAGTGAATACAATGCATGAATAAGAATATTTCCCCGTATAAAATGTCTCCCAGGGAACTGAAAATATTTTTGCATCCTTTAAGATCTTTTCCAGAAAAGTACCAGTACATGGTAGTGCAATGATTAATTTATGAAATTAGTGTGAAAACTACATCTACCTTCTAGAGCTCAAAATTTGACCACCAGGAATTTTCAGTGAGGGAAAAGTAAAGAGTCCAAAGCTTTGTAGATTTTAATACTGGTAAACAGAACGTGAAGTGAAACCTTTATGTGCAAAGTTGAACATCAGACATGCACAAAGAGACCTCTAGTGGCCAAACTGAAAAGTTTTGCCTATTTAACAGTGGATCTATTTGGTTATTAGCTGAAAAATCCTTTGTGGATTAAAAGCAGTCTGCATTTTTTACTGACGTTTAATACCGCCATCTTCCATTCTTAAAAATGTGTAGCCCAGATGAGTAAAGTCTGTGGTCAGCTCACATGTCAGGAGACGTATTCTCCGTGAGAAAGCGATTCCTTGCTGTATGGTGGTCGAGTAGAGCCACTAAGAAAAAAAAAATTTTTTTTTGAGGTGGAATCTCGCTCTTGTCGCCCAGGCTGGAGTGCAGTGGCGCGATCTCGACTCACTGCAACCCCTGCCTCCCGGGTTCAAGCGATTCTCCTGCCTCAGCCTCCAGAGTAGCCGGAACTACAGGCGCACGCCACCATGCCCGGCTAATTTTTGTATTTTTTTTTAGTAGAGACAGGGTTTCACCATGTTGGCCAAGATGTTTTCTGTCTCCTGACCTTGTGATCCGCCCGCCTCGGCCTCCCAAAGTGCTGGGATCACAGGCGTGAGCCACCGCGCCCAGCCTAAATAAAAAAAATTTTTAACTCTTTCTTCTGGAGCCAGATAAAATGGATGGGAAAAGATAACTGGGGAATGAGAATATTTCTAGATGTTTCATTTTCCCAAGATGGCTCAGTTGGCCATCCTAGGAACTGAAGTGCCCTCAAACCTGCAGTGTCTGTCATTTCACAGCTACTATAACATACATTTTATATGCTGAGATTTCTATACAAATTATTAATCACAAACAACACTTGTTAAGGGACCATTGAGAAAGCAAATATTTTTAGTAGAATACAGATTTCCATATGAAGATTTCACAGTATTCCAGCCTCTGGAGAGGAAGGGAGAGGAATGCGCTCCTTCCGATTCCCGCCCTTTCTGCGACACCATCAAATCCTCTCAGCGCCCCTCTGGCAGTTCCGGATTTGCAGGGTCCGAGGGAGAATACATCAAAGTGATGTCATTCATGACTCCGAAATGGTTACCATGGCGACTATCAGACATATTAAGCTGTCAGGGAAAGAGCCTGTTTAATCCAGTCTTCAATCACGGGTTTCCTCGGGCGTTAGCCACTGCCTGCGGAGTGTGGACTGGCAGAAAAACGTCACCTTCGGGCCCCCCAGCACCAACGCGCCTTAAACCAAGCCCCACAAAGAAGTCACTTCGGCGATGTAAACGCGACTTTGCGGCTTCCTGGGCTGCTAAGGTGAAGGACGCCCGCCCTCCCCAGAACTTGAGAGCTTATTGGTTGGCGATGTCGTCACTCAGAGTGACGTCAGGGGCGAGGAAAGAGGCGGAACCGTAGAGACTTGGCTTCGGGCCCTTCTAGCTTGGGGGTCCCGGGAAGGAGCTGGGAGGACCTAGGCGGCCGTTCCGCGGAGCCCGGCCGAGGAGGTAGGGGTGGGCAGGCCCAGCCCTCAGGCCGCGACCTGGTGGGCCGCGCTGCCTTTTTTTCCTCCGGATCCCGCTCGGTCCGCATCCTGCTCCTCTCATCAGAGCATGATCCAGGCTTCTGACAGCTTCCAGTTCCCACCGCGCTCTCCTCCACCCACGACCTCATCCCCGCCAGTTCCCCAGCACAGCGCGAACTCTGAAGCTCGGCCTCTCCTCCCCCTTCCCCGCACAGCGCGCTCCGTCCTTTTTTCCGTCCCAGGCCCTGCTTCTTTCTCCTCGGCTTCATTTCCAACAACCCCGATCATCCACGAGGGTCGTCGTTCCCGTGCCTGTCCCACCTCCGCACCAGAAAACCAAAGCATATCCCCCAGACCCCGCCGCATGCAGGCCGCGCACACATCAGGCGCGCCGAAGCCGCCGGGCGAGGAAGCCGAGGGCGCGTTTTGCTCCCGTGTGGTGATGGGCAAAGCCGAGGGAGCCCGGGAGCAGCGGGCGTGGGGCGGCGCCAATGCGAGTGCGAGTGGTGTCCGCCGCCCGGGAGCGCCCGGGCCCGAGCGGATTAACCGCCGCCTCAGGTGTCGTCTCCTGCCCGCGAAACACCACCCACCGTTAGTGTGGGTCCACAGGTTTCGAGCCCCTGTTGAAAATGTCAGCTCTGTGGCTAAGGTTTCTATTCAGGAGAGCTCCTGGAACTCTTTTCCCAACCACAAGAGAGCAAAGCTGCCATTGGGAATGTCAGCTCTTCTGCCGTTCCTCGCGGCCCTTAGCAGAAAAGCGCCCCTGGATGGAGATGGGTTTTGGTGAAGGTTATTTACAGGTTCAAAGCTCAGTTTGGGCTCTGGAGAATCAGTAGCAAGGGAAACAGTTTTACCTCCACTTGAGCGATTAGTAGGTTGCATGTCTACCTTCATCCACTGCTACATAAATTAGATTAGTGGGTACGTCCAATATTCAGGGTTTGGGACAACTTGCCTAAATATAGAACAATGCTAACTGAAAAGAAATTCAGAATATTCACTTTCTACCTATATTTTAAGGCTACAGATAGATATGTATTGCTCTACTTTTAAGTACTTGGCAATCATTGAAGTTGCATTACTAGATACTATTGACCAGAAATCAAAATGTCTCTGAAGATTGTACCATCTTCATGAGCATCATCATCTTAGAGATCATTACCGTTTGTTGGAATCTCAAAGTACCATTCTCAAGTCCAGAGCTACGAAAATATCTGATTGTTGGAAATGAGCTTGAAGGAGGTTTTGTACCTTAACTATGCAAATGTTCTACCTTTGCAATAGTTAAAAACACTAAAATCCTGATGTCTTTTAATTGATGTATTTTTAAACTACTAAATTGTTTACTTACTCCTTTTGCCTAGGTCCCTATGTTAACTACTTGAGACAAAAATAAATATGGCCTTCTACAGTTATAATTCAGTTCTGGCTATTGCTCGAACAAGGTAAGCATTGGAGTTACCCCCCAATATGAACGTAATTCTTCTTCTTCTTCTTTTTTTTTTTTTTTTCTGAGATGGAGTCGCACTCTGTCGCCCAGGCTGGAGTTCAATGGTGCAATCTCGGCTCACTGCAACCTCTGCCTCCCGGGTTCAAGCTACTCTCCTCCCTCAGCCTCCAAGTAACTGGGATTACAGGTGTTTGCCACCACCTCCGGCTAATCTTTGTATTTTCAGTAGAGACGAGGTTTCACCATGTTGGCCAGGCTGCTCTGGAACTCCTGACCTTAGGTGATCCGCCTGCCTTGGGCTCCCAAAGTGCTGGGATTACAGGCGTGAGTCACCTCGCCTGGCCTGAATTTCATCCTTCTAGATGGAAAGGATTGGCTTAGTACACAATTAAAAGTTTCTTGGAGGCTGGGTGCAGTGGCTCACACCTGTAATCCCAGCACTTTGGGAGGCCAAGGCGAGCGGATTGCCTGAGGTCAGGAGTTCAAGACCAGCCTGACCAACATGGTGAAACCCCGTCTCTACTAAAACTGCAAAAATTAGCCGGCATGGTGGCAGGTACCTATAATCCCAGCACTTGTGAGGCTGAGACAGGAGAATCGCTTGAACCTGGGAGGCGGAGGTTGCAGTGGGCCAAGACTGGGCCACTGCACTCCAGCTTGGGCAACAAGAGTAAAAATCCATCTCAAAAAAAAAAAAGAAAAGAAGATGTAGTTTTTTTTGTTTGTTTGTTTTTGTTTTCTTTTTTGGGACGGATTATCACTCTGTTGCCCAGGCTGGAGTGCAGTGGCATGATATCTTGGCTCACTGCAACCTCCAACTCCCAGGTTCAAGAGATTTTCCTGCCTCAGCCTCACAAGTAGCTGGGATTACAGGCATGCGCCGCCATGTCCCACTAATTTTTGTATTTTTAGTACAGATGGGGTTTCGCCATGTTGGCCAGGCTGGTCTTGAACTCCTGACCTCAGGTAATCCGCCAGCCTGGGCTTCCCAAAGTGCTGGGATTAAAGGCGTGAGCCACTGTGCCCAGCCAGAAGATGTACTGGTTTTAGAGTGACATCTCTGTAATTGATGAACATCACGTGAGGTCCTTAGATGTAAAGCGAGTAAAATGGCTGATGAACAGCCAGTCTTAGGGCATATTCGTGTCCCATTAGGGTCTGTTACCATTATTTATTTATTTATTTATTTATTTATTTTTGAGATGAAATCTCGCTCTATTGCCCAAGCTGGAGTGCAATGGCACAATCTTGGCTCATTGCAACCTCTGCCTCCTGGGTTCAAGTGAGTCTCCTGTCTCAGCCTCCCGAGTAGCTGGGATTACAGGCATGGGCCACCATGCCCAGCTAATTTTTTTGTATTTTTATAGAGATGGTGTTTCTCCATGTTGGCCAGGCTGATCTTGAACTCCTGACCTCAAGTGATCCACCCACCTCAGCCTCCCAAACTGCTGGGATTACAGGCGTGAGCCACCGTGCCCGGCCACCATTTATTTATTCACTGAGACTAAAGACTATTCACTGAGCACTTACTTTTCCCTTTTTGGCCATTCAAAGAGCGTTTTATCTTGGCATGCTTCAAAAATAGTCTGAGGCTGGCTGCAGTGGCTCACACCTATAATCTCAGTACTTTTGGAAGCCTAGACAGGAAGATAGCTCGAGCCCAGGAGTTCAAGAACAGCCTGGGGCCAGGCACTGTGGCTCACGCCTGTAATCCCAACACTTTGGGAGGCCGAGGCGGGTGGACCACAAGGTCAAGAGATCGAGACCATCCTGGCCAATGTGGTGAAACCCCGTCTCTACTAAAAATACAAAAATTAGCTGGACGTGGTGGCATGCAGCTGTAGTCCCAGCTACTCAGGAGGCTAAAGCAGGAGAATCGCTTGAACCTGGGAGGTGGAGGTTGCAGTGAGCCGAGATCACACCACTGCACTCCAGTCTGGGCAACAGAGTGAGACTCCGTCTCAAAAAAAAAAAAAAAAAAAAAAGAACAGCCTGGATAACATAGCAAGACCTCATCTCTACAAAAATTTTTAAAACTAGCTGGGCGTGGTGGTGCGGGCCTGTAGTCCTAGCTACTCAGGATGCTGAGCCTGGGAGGTCGAGGCTGCAGTGAGCTGTGATCACACCACTCTACTCCAGCCTCGGTTTTTAACACCTTAAGAACCAAGCCAGGCATGGTGCATATGCCTGTAATCTCAGCTCCTTGGGAGGCCGAGGTAGGAAGATTGCTTTAGCCCAGGGGTTTGAGGCCAGCCTGGGCAACATAGCAAGACTCTGTGTCTTAAACAGAAAGAGAAAAAAAAGAGCCGGGTGTGATGGCTCACACCTGTAATCCCAGCACTTTGGGAGGCCAAGGCAGGCAGATCACTTGAGGTCAGCAGTTCGAGACCAGTCTTGCCAACATGGTGAAACCCCGTCTCTACTAAAAATATAAAGATTAGCCAGGTGTGGTGGCAGGCACCTGTATTCCCAGATACTCGGGAGGCTGAGGCAGGAGAATCATTTGAACCCAGGAGGCGGAGGTTGCAGTGAGTCAAGATCGCGTCACTGCACTCCAGCCTGGGCAACAGAGTGAGACTCTGTCTCAGAAAAAAAAAAAAAAAAAAAAAGAACCAAGACAAATTTTTTATTTTTGTTTTTTTGTTTTTTGTTTTTTGTTTTTTTGTGAGACAGAGTCTTGCTCTGTCACCAGGCTGGAGTGCAGTGGCGCAATCTTGGCTCACTGCAGCCTCCGCCTCCTGGGTTCAAGCAATTCTCCTGCCTCAGCCTCCCGAGTAGCTGGGACTACAGGTGCACTCCACCACGCCCAGCTAATTTTTGTATTTTTGGTAGAGATGGGGTTTCACCATGTTGGCCAGGATGGTCTAGATCTCTTGACCTCGTGATCCACCTTCCTCAGCCTCCCAAAGTGCTGGGATTACAGGCATGAGCCAGCGTGCCTGGCGACAAATTTTTTTTGCTTTTGTTTTTGGTTTTGTTTTTGGCATGTTCTAAAATAATGAATATTGCATATGCATTTAATTCTATAGCTGTTGAGAACTTGTGTTGATTTCTTCCACATGAGCCTAGGAGGTCATGGCTGCAGTGAGCCGTGATCATGCCACTGTACTCCAGCCTGGGTGACAGAGTGAGACTCCTCCTGTCTCAAAAAAAAAAAAAAAAACAAAAAAAAAAACCAAAAAACTGAAAGAATGGAAAAAGACATCTCTTTGCCAGTAACTTTCTTTGCCAGTATCTGTCATATTTTTATTTTATTTTATTTTAGTTTTTTTTTTTTTTTTTTTTTTTAGACAAGTCTCGCTTTGTCGCCAGGCTGGAGTGCAGTGGCACGATCTTGGCTTATTGCAACCTCTGCCTCCCAGGTTCAAGTGATTCTCCTGCCTCAGCCTCCCGAGTAGCTGGGACTACAGGCACGTGCCACCACGCCCAGCTAATTTTTGTATTTTTAGTAGAGATGGGGTTTCACCAAGTTGGCCAGGATGGTCTCGATCTCTTGATCCGCCCGCCTTGGCCTCCCAAAGTGCTGGGATTACAGGCGTGAGCCACTGTGCCTGGCCCATATTTTTATTCTCAAACAATCTGATATGGTAGTTTAACTGCAAACTGTGGGCTGTTGCAATACCAGAAGCTAGAGACCCTTAATTGGGGTGCCCAATTCTAATTTTTTTTTTTTTGAGACGGTGTCTTGTTCTGTTGCCCAGGCTGGAGTGCAGTGGCATAGTCTTGTCTCACTGCAACCTTCACCTCCTGGGTTCAAGCGATTCTCCTGCCTCAGCCTCCCTAGTAGCTGGGATTACAGGTGCATGACACCACACCCGGCTAATTTTTGTATTTTTAGTAGAGACAGGGTTTCACCATGTTGGCCAGGCTGGTCTTGAACTCCTGACCTCAGGTGATCCACCTGCCTTGGCCTCGCAAAGCGCTGGGATTACAGGCATGAGCCATCGCGGCCAGCCCAATGTTCTAGAAGAATTTAGGTGAAGGGTATTTCAGCTGTAAGTTCCTCTCATTTGAGGGGTTCAAAGACACTGCATAGGCAAGGCGGTATTATGTGACTGGTTAATTCCTACAGTGACCATCAAATGTTTCTTTGAAACAATATTCCTTGGCCAGGCATGGTGGCTCATGCCTGTAATTCCAGTACTTAGGGAGGCCAAGGCAGGCGGATCACTTGAGGTCAGGAGTTTGAGATTATCCTGGCCAATGTGGTGAAAACCCGACTCTACTAAAAATACAAAAATTAGCTGGGCATGGTGGCCTGTGCCTGTAATCCTAGCTACTTAGAAGGCTGAGGCAGGAGAATCGCTTGAGCCCAGATGGCGTAGGTTGTAGTGAGCCGAGATTGCACCACTGCACTCCAGCCTGGGCAATGGGAGTGGAAAAAAAAAAAAGCTGTTTTATTTTGACCAGATGTACTATCTATTTCTTTAATAATATGTGCTTTATGATAGTGTGTGCTTTGTAATAGTATGTACTTAACTCAGAGGATGTTGCTTTTTATTCCAGATTCCCTAGCCATTTTGTCCATCCTACCTGCTCTTCTTATTCCCCATCATGTGCATTTCTTCACTTGCCAGATTCCCATTTAAATAAGACATGTATGAAGAACTATGAGAGCAAGAAGTACTCGGATCCTAGTCAGCCAGGCAATACAGTACTTCACCCAGGAACTAGACTAATACAAAAGCTACACACATCCACTTGCTGGCTGCAAGAAGTTCCTGGCAAACCTCAGCTGGAGCAAGCCACAAAACATCCACAGGTGACAAGCCCTCAGGCCACAAAAGAAACTGGCATGGAGATTAAAGAAGGCAAACAATCTTATAGACAAAAAATCATGGATGAACTAAAATATTATTACAATGGATTCTACTTACTTTGGATTGACGCCAAAGTTGCTGCCAGAATGGTTTGGAGGCTGTTGCATGGACAGGTCCTGACCAGACGAGAGAGACGAAGGGTAGGCAAGAATCATATTTGAGAAAGAAAATGTGAAATTAAAATGAACTATTTGGGAACTCAACTATTTAAATTCAACGTAAACTTCATCTTAAAAATCCCAGAGTAGGAATAATAACTGCTGGTGAGAACCAGTTTCTTGTCTGCAACCGACTTACTGTACAACTTTAGTCAGTATTCTGAAATTTGTTATATATTTTCCTGTATAACGGTTTTTAAAAAAAACTTTTATTTTAGGTTCAGGGGTACATGTGCATGTTTGTAGAATAGTTATAATTGTGTTTTTTAATCTTTCCAAGAAGTTGAGGGGCTTCATGTTTCAACTGTTGTTAATATATTAAGCATATGCATTTTTAAAACCCAATTTTGGCTGGGCACGATGGCTTATGCCTGTAATCCCAGCACTTTGGGAGGCTGAGGCGGGCGGATCACTTGAGGTCAGGAGTTCAAGACCAGACTGGCCAGCACGATGAAACCCTTGTCTACTAAAAAAAATACAAAAATTAGCCGGGCATGGTGGCACGTGCCTGTAGTCCCAGCTACCCAGGAGGCTGAGGCAGGAGAATGGCTTGAACTTGGGAGGCGGAGGTTGCAGCGAGCCGAGATCGTGCCACTGCACTCCAGCCTGGAGTGAGATGCCATCTCAAAAAAACAAACAAACAAAAAAACAATTTTAAGTAATACAATGCTATTAAAGTATGGACCCTCTAACATAGATGAAGTCTAGGAGATGCCAATAATATTTTTATTGTCATAGATTTCCTTCAAGATAGCCCCTAAAAGTTACTTCAGAGCTATGGTAAACAGGAAAACCCTGCCTCTTCATTTTATAAACAGCTGCAGAAAACCTGTCTTGGGTTTTTAACACTTTAAGAACCAAGCTGAGCATGGCACATATGCCTGTAATCCCAGCTCCTTGGGAGGCTGAGGTGGAAGGATTGCGTGAGCCCAGGAGTTTGAGGCCAGACTGGGCAACATAGTGAGACACTATCTCTTGAAAGAAAGAAAATGAAACAAGACAGGGTTTTTTTGGTTTTGTTTTTCATTTTTGTTTTTGGCATGCCCTAAAATAATGAATATTGCATATGCATTTAATTCTATAGCTGTTGAGAACTTGTGTTGATTTCTTCCGCCTGGTTCCATTTATGGTGTTCTTAATTGTACCCTTCATGGAATTCTTATTACCAGTGTTTCTGAAACTCTTCCCAGAGATGTTGCCATCAACTTTTGAAAGTGAATCCAAAAAGGTATGATTTTTTAACTTTAATAAAATTTAATAAACCTTATTAGAGGAGTTTTTAGGTTTACAGAAAACTTGGGCAGAAAGTACTACTTCTCCCCACCCAACCCCATCCCAATTTCTCCTGTAATTAATATCTTGCATTAGTGTGCTATATTTGTAATGATTAAAAAAACCAATATTGACATGTTATTATTAAAGCTCATACTTTAGGGTCCACTCTTCATGTTGAAGCATTTCTGTGGGCTTTGCAAATGCATAATTTCATGTATCCACCATCACAGTATCATACAAAATAGTTTCACTGCTCTAAAAATTCCCTGTGGGCCAGGCACAGTGGCTTATGTCTGTAATTCTAGCACTTTGGGAGGTTGAGGCAGGTGGATCGCCTGAGCCCAGGAGTTTGAGACCAGCCTGGGTATCATAGTGAGACCCCATTTCTACAAAAAATGCAAAAATTAGTTGGGCATGGTAGCTCATGCCTGTGGTCCCAGCTCCTTGGGAGGCTGAAGCAAGAGGATCACTTGAGCCCAGGAGGTCAAGGCTGCAATGACCTATGATAGTGTCACTGCACTCCAGAGGCACTGGGTGACAGGGGGAGACCCTGTCTCAAAAAAAAAAAAAAAAAAAAAATTCCCTGTGCTCCACCTATTTGTCCCTCTTCTTTCCTCCCCCAACCCATGGCAGCCACTGATCTTTTTATTGTCTCTGTAGTTTTGCCTTTTCCAGAATGTCATATAGTTGGGATCATACAGTGTGTAGCCATTTTAGACTGGCTTCTTTCACCTAGCAATATGCATTTCAAGTTCTTTTCATTGCTCAATTCTTTTTATCACTGAGTGATAGTCCATTGTATGGCTGTACCACAGCTTGTTTATCCATTCTCCTATGAAAGGACACCTCGATTGCTTCCAGTTTTTGACAATTATGAATAAAACTGCTATAGACACTTATGTACAGGTTTTTGTGTGGATGTAAGCTTTCAACTCATTGGGGTAAATGCCTAGGAGAGTAATTGGTGGATCATATGGTAAGACTATGTTTAGCTTTTAAGAAATTGCTAAACTGTCTTCCGAAGTGGCTGTATTGTTCTATATTCTCACCAGCAACAAATGAGAGTACCAGCATTTGATGTTGTCAGTGCTCTAGACATTAGCCACGAAACAGGTGTGTAGTGGTATCTCACTGTTTTAATTTGCAGTCTCCTGATGTCGAGTATCTTTCCTGTGCTTATTTACCATTTGTGTATCTTCTCTGGGGAGGTGTCTGTTTAGATCTTTGGTTGACTTTTTTTTTTTTGAGAAGGAGTCTGGCTCTGTCACCCAGGCTGGAGTGCAGTGGTGCAATTTCAGCTCACTGCAACCTCTGCTTCCCGGGTTCAAGTGATTCTCCTGCCTCAGCCTCCCGAGTAGCTAGAAATAGAGGTGTCCACCACTGCACCTGGCTAATTTTTGTATTTTTAGTAGAGATAGGGTTTCACCATATTGGCCAGGCTGGTCTCGATGTCCTGACCTCCGGTGATCCACACACCTCAGCCTCCCAAAGTGTTGGGATTACAGGCGTGAGCCACTGCATCCAGCCCTTCGGTTGACTTTTTAATTGGGTTTTTTTGTTTTCTGATTATTATTCTGAGTTCTTTGTATATTTTGGGTAAAAGTCCTTTATCAGATATATATTTTGCAAACGTTTTCTTCTACTCTGTGGCTTATCTTTTCATTCCTTAACCATGTCTTTCACAGAGCAAATGCTTTCAGGATTAATGACATCCAGCTTATCAATTTTTTCTTTCATGAATCATGCTTTTAGTGTTGTAGCTAAAAACTTATTGCCCAACTGAAGGTCACCTACATTTTTCTCCTGTTTTATTCTAGAAGTTTTACAGTTTTGTGTCTTAGATTTATGTCTGTGATCCATTTTATTTTTTTATTTATTTATTTTTTTTTTTTTGAGATGGAGCCTCGCTCTGTCGCCCAGGCTGGAGTGCAATGGTGCGATCTCGGCTCCCTGCAACCTCCACCTCCCAGGTTCAAGCGAGTCTCCTGCTTCAGCCTCCCAAGTAGCTGGGATTACAGACATGTGCCACTACACCCAGCTAATTTTTGTATTTTTAGTAGAGCCAGGATTTTGCCATGTTGGCCAGGCTGGTCTCGAACTCCTGACCTCAGGTGATCTGCCCACCTCAGTCTCCCAAAGTGCTGGGATAACAGACGTGAGCCACTGCGCCAGGCCGAGTTAATTTTTATGAAAACTGTAATGTCAGTATATAGATTCATTTCTCTCTTTTTTGTATGTGGATATCTAGCTTTTCCAGGACCATTTGTTGAAAAGATTTTCTCTTCTCCACTAAATTCTAACTTGATTTTAACTGTCAAAAGAACAAAGAGAACAGGCTGGATGCAGTGGCTCATCTCTGTAATCCCAGCATTTTGGGAGGCTGAGGTGGGAGGATTGTTTAAGCCCACGAGTTCAAGACCAGCCAGAGCAATATAGTGAGACCCCTGTCTCTAAAAAACAAAAATTTTAAACAAATTAGCCAAGTGTGGTAGCATGCACCTGAATTCCCAGCTACTTGGGAGGCTGAAGCGGGAGGATTGCTTGAGCCCAGGAGGTTGAGGCTGCAGTGAACTGAGATCAGGCCACTGCACTGCACTCCAGCCTGGGCAAGAGTGAGATCCTGTTTAAAAAAAAAAAGAATAAAGAAAACAGAAATCCACTGTTACCGCGGTGACTAGTGGAACAGTAGGTATGATTTAGTCAGCCCAACAGACAGTTCAGCAGCCCCTGAGAAGAGGGAGCCTTCACTGAGTGTGGCAGTCACTGTGCCGGTGAGAAAACAGAGGCAGCTCCTTCCTTCTCCCCGTTCTGTGCCACTCTACTAGACAGCGTTGACAGCATATGGTAAGAAAGTGTGAACAAAACATTATGAGAAGACAAAAAGTGCAACTTTTTTTTTTTTTTTTGAGACGGAGTCTCGCACCATCACCCGGGCTGGAGTGCAGTGGCACAATCTTGGCTCACTGCAACCTCCGCCTCCCGGATGCAAGCAATTCTCCGGCCTCAGCCTCCTGAGTCGCTGAGATTACAGGCGCCTGCCACCACACCCAGCTAATTTTAAGGGCAACTTTTAAATCAGTAAGATTGGAAACTTTTTCACAGAAAAGGTAACTTTGGAACTGAGACTTAAAGAGTAAGTGGCATTTTACCATGGTCTGGGAAAGGTATTCTGGATAAAAGGAATAGCATTTAACATGGCTCAGTGGCATAAGAGAGTATGATGTAATCAGAGACCACTGGTTGGTTATTTGTGGTTGAAGTAGGCAGTTCCAGGGCATCAATGACAGGAAACAGACAAAGTGATGTGTTGGGGTCAGGTTGGAAGGCATCCACCCACTTAAGGAATTTAGGCTTTCCCTTTCACCATGGTGAATAATGGAAAGGGAACGTTTGAAGCAGGGTAGCTGGGTGGATGACATGATTAGATCTATGTTTTGGAGGAATAATTTTGCTGGCAGGAGGGGCAGCAGAGGGTAGAGCCAAGGAAGGGAAACCAGCTGGAATGCTAGCCCAAGAGAGAGATGACAGAGAATACATTATGAAATTGACAATAAGAATAAAGACTTGAAGGCCGGGCGTGGTGGCTCATGCCTGTAATCCCAGCACTTTGGGAGGCCGAGGTGGGTGGGTCACTTGAGGTCAGGAGCTCAGTACGAGCCTGGCCAACATGGTGAAACCCCATCTCTACTAAAAATACAAAAATTAGCCTGGCATGGTGGCACGTGCCTGTAGTCCCAGCTACTTCAGAGGCTGAGGCAGAAGAATCACTTAAACCTGGGACGCAGAGGTTACCAAGAGCCAAGATCATGCTACTGTATTCCAGCCTGGGCGACAGAGTGAGATTTTTGTCTTAAAAAAAAAAAAAAAGAGACTTGAAGACAAATTCGGGATACCTTCACAGGATAAATCAAATTACAATATTTGACTGCCTGGCAATGTTTTAATTTGCTTACATTTAAAATAATCAGCATCTAGAATTAATGCCATAACATTCCAAGGAAAGTATTAGTGAATTCAGGAAGATGGGGGGAATAGAGGAAGTGATTTATTTAAATGTTACCTCTTTCCTGAACACCACTCATTCCCTGAAACATACAAATATGTCTACATCATGGCCACAGTCTCAGAAAATTCTTGTTTGCTTTGTTCCATGGAGAGAGGAGCTTTCTGTTTACATCAGATCACAGCACCATGTATTTCTCTTTCATAGCACTTACCCATTATGCTTCTATATTAATGTGAGGAATTGTGGGATTATCATTAGTCACTAAAGTTTGTCTCTCCCACTACACTAAAAGTTCCATGAGGGCAGGAATTCTTACCTGTTGTTGCTCATTTTATCCCCAGTACCTAATATGGTAGATGTGCAATAAATAAATGGATAGATGGATGGAAGGATATGGATGAATGAAATGGATGACTAAGTGGGTTCTTTTTTTTTTTTTTTTTTTTGAGACAGAGTCTCGTGCTGTTGCCCAGGCTGGAGTGCAGTAGCGTTATCTCGGCTAACTGCATCCTCCCCCCAGGTTCAAGCAATTCTCCTGCCTCAGCCTGCTGAGTAGCTGGAATTACAGGCATGTGCCACCACGCCCGGCTAATTTTTGTATTTTTAGTAGAGACAGGGTTTCACCGTGACAGGCCAGGCTGGTCCCAAACTCCTGATCTCAGGTGATCCAGCTGCCTCGGCCTCCCAAAGTGCTGGGATTACAGGTGTGAGCCACCTCATCCGGCCACTAAGTGGGTTCTGATCATACTATTGTGTGATTTTTTTTTTTTTGGCTGTATCTTTTAAGATCTATCTAAATATCAGTGATTCTTATGATTGGCTGATCATTAGAATCTCCTAGGCAACTTAAAAATATACGTAGATTCCTGTTCTTCTTTACCACCCTGAGTCCTGACTGTGGTTATTTTGAAAATGCTACCATACTACATTTCTGATGATTAACAAGGATTAAGAAACACCAGCCAACACAGTGTCCATTTACTTTTCTTCTGTGTAGTGCTGTGTTCATGTCTGTTAGAGCACTTAACTCACTGTATTGTAATTACTTATGTCTGTTTTCTAGTTAAACTGTAAGCCACATTAGGTAGAGTCCATTTCCTAGTTTTCTTTGTTTGTAAAGAAAAACCCAGGGCCACTCAAGGAGTTAGCTCAACTGGCAGACTGGATAGTTTGCACCAGGTTGAGATCGTATCTCATTCTTGTCTGGGCGCTGTGGCTCAAGCCTGTAATCCCAGCATTTTGGGAGGCCGAGACAGGCAGATCACTTGAGGTCAGGAGTTCAAGACCAGCCTGGCCAACATGGTGAAAACCCCTACTCTACTAAAAATAAAAAATCAGCGGGGTGTGGTGGCGTGTACCTGTAATCCCAGCTATTCGAGAGGCTGAGGCAGGAGAATCACTTGAACCCGGGAGAGAGAGGTTGCAGTGAGTCAAGATGGTACCTCTGCACTCCAGCCTGGGTGACAGAGCGAAACTCCATCTCAAAAAAAAAAAAAAAAAAATTAGCCAGGTGTGGTGGCACACACCTGTAATCCCAGCTATTCAGGAGGCTGAGGCAGGAGAATCACTTGAGTCTGGGAGGTGGAGGTTGCGGTGAGCCGAGATCGTGCCACTGCACCCCAGCCTGGGCAACAGAGTGGGACTTGATCTCAAAAAGAGAGAGAGAGAGAGAGAGAGAGAGAGATAGTATCTCGTGCTAAATAATTATAAAGCCTCCCATTGGGGGAACATTTTGGATCTATCAAATGCTTATGATTATTGTATTAGTGAGAAAGAAAAAGTAAGGAGACAAGTTCCAAATAGAGGCTTCTTTTTACTTGCTCTGGTCTCACAAACCCATTCATCTATGCCTGAGAATCACGTTATTACATGATGTAGGGATGAGCAATAACAAGGAGACAGTTATTTTTCTCCCATCTTTATCTACCAATTTACAATCACGAAGGATTGAGTAACTTTTATTCTTCTACCATTAAGGAAGAAAAACAGAAAAAGAAAATGGCTGTAAAGTTGGAACTAGCAAAATTTCTTCAAGAAACCATGACAGAAATGGCAAGGAGGAACAGAGCCAAGATGGGCGATGCCTCTACACAGCTCTCATCCTACGTGAAGCAGGTGTCCATCTTTTATGTAATGCCGAACAACTTCGGGGCTGGGCGTTCTATGAAAAACGCATGTCATCATGGATTTCCCAAATTGTTCACCATCTTTGGAATTGCAAATATCTAAATTATGAACATATAATATTGTAAACATTTAATATTATAAACATTGATAGTAGTTTGCAGAAAAGCCTGTCTTAAAGTAATCAACGTTTTGAAGACATTGATAACTTCTTGGAGAGAACAGTAGATTTAGAGTCAAACTTCCAAACTCCTGATTTTTCAGCTGATGTAGTTTGACTTCAGATGGATATCTTTTCTTTATACCACGAAGCCGATTTCCAGATGTCAGACAGAGTCCCATAAATGCTTTGATGTCTCTTTCAAATAGCCTATTGGGAAAGTTAAATTAAGTAGAAAACACATTTTAATTGGCCTTTTTGTCCCACTGCATAGGTCCAGACAGGCCACAAGCCCAGCACAAAGGAGATAGTTCGCTTCTCCAAACTATTTGAGGACCAGCTGGCCCTGGAACACTTAGATCGCCCTCAGCTGGTTGCCCTTTGCAAACTGCTGGAATTGCAGACATTTGGAACCAACAACCTGCTCCGCTTTCAGCTCCTGATGAAACTGAAGTCTATAAAAGCAGATGATGAAGTAAGAGCTTAACCATAGCTCTAGGGAATTAGCAAGGTTTTGGGACATACCTTAGGGTGCCTGTGGGATGAAGTGTGCAGTATTTTTTGTTTTTGTTTTTGTTTTTGAGACAAAGTCTTGCTCTGTCACCCAGGCTGCAGTGGCGCAATCCTGGCTTATTGCAACCTCCACCTCCCGGGTTCAAGTGATTCTCACACCTCAGCCTCCCAAGTAGCTGGGATTACAGGCACACATCATCACACCTGGCTAATTTTTGTATTTTTAGTAGAGATGGGACTTCACCATGTTGGCCAGGTTGGTCTCAAACTCCTGACCTCAAGTGATCCACCCGCCTCAGCCTCCCAAAGTGTTGGGATGACAGGTGTGACCACCATGCCTGGGTAGAAGTGCATTATTTTCTGTTGGGTCTGGTCATGTTGGGTTCTGACAAAATGAGTGGTTTAAACAACCATTACCATGACAACCTGAACCTTGATTACTCATTTGAGGAGTTGTCATCCCCTTACCCATTTCTTGAGAAGGCCATCATAAGCAGTTAGTAATTTGGATGTCTTAGCTGGGACTCATCTAAAGCAGTTAGGACCTGCTGGGAAGGAAACAGCAGCTCAGTAGATTCCTGACAAAGCTCTGCTCCCACACTTCTGCTCTCATACCGGGAAGCTGGTGCCAAAGTCAATATTCTGCCGGGCGCATTGGCCTGCCAAGAAGGGGTAGTTGGCTTGGTATGCAAAGCATAATACTGGGAGGAAAAGCAGAGCCTCAACACCTTGTAGAAGAAAGGCACCCTTGGACTATAACTACTAATTAGGCTTTTTTAAAAAATGGAAGGAATGTTTGACTCAGAATCAGCTGCTTTATAAGCATTCCACCTGGGGGAGCAGGTTTCCCAGAACTGAGAAAGCATGATCCTTTTGGCCCCATTTAGATTTCAGTTGTTGCTCTTAGAGCTTTGGAATAAACAACACTGGTCCCAGAAATACCATTGTTTTGGGTTACGCCAAGCAGAAACTGTGTTATTTACTGAGGGAGTTTTGTGGACCAGTGTGTTAGGGCCATTTCTGGGGGTGTTGGGGGGACAGCAGGGGAGAACACTACAGGGACATGCAACAAATGGTACATTGTGAGCTTTTCAAGTGAACTACTTTTTTCTAATGAACCATAAAGCTGCCATGGAAAAGTATGTATGTCACAACCAGACAAAATGCAGATCAAAAAGGGAAATAATTACTCTGATGACAGAATGTTGGGAAGGAGTTGTGTAAATAGCCCTGATATTGCTAATTGCTAATACCTGTTGGCAGGATTCCCATTATTTCAACTGCCACCTCCCTACGTCGCCTTTGCAGTAGCAGCCAGTGCAGGGGACAAAGCATCCAAGCCTCTGATTCTGTTTCCACTGATTTGCTGGAATTTAGGGTTTACGTAAAATTGGAATCAAAAGTTCCAACTCCATCCCTTACATTTCTTTCAGATAATTGCCAAGGAAGGGGTGACAGCATTGAGTGTATCAGAACTACAGGCTGCCTGTAGGGCCCGAGGGATGAGATCACTGGGTCTCACGGAGGAACAACTGCGACAACAGCTCACGGAGGCAAGTAGCAGCGCCCCTCTGGGGTCCTCTTCCCTAGAACTCTCTCCTACAATATGCAGACCTCCTTATGTGATTTCTCCTTTGCAAGTGAACCGTCTTACTTAATTTGCCTTATTTCATTGAGCAGTGGGATGCTGAAGGACTAGGTTGATTTTTCACTTTGATTGGGATCTCTATCAGTTTTGTATTGCTGCCTAAGAAATGACCATGAACTTAGTGGCTTAAAACAACACTGGTATATTAGCTCACAGTTGGTAGGTCAGAAGTGCACGCTGTGCTCCTTTGGAGGCTGTGGGAAACGACCTGCTTCCAAGTTCATTCAGTTTGTTGGCTGAACTTAGTTCCTTGCAGCTGTCGGACTGAGGTCTTTGTTTCCCAGCTGGCTGTGAGCCCCGGGCTACTCTCAGCATCTAGTGGCCACCTGTATTCCTTGCCTCTTGGCCTCCTTCATCTGCAAGAGAGAACTTCTCATATGCCAGAGCTTCCTCATGCTTGAAATCTCCAATTTCCCCCGTGTTTGACCTCTAGCCCCAGATTTAAGGTCTCATGTGATTGGTGAGGCCCATCCAAAGAATCTCCCTATCTTAAGGTCAACCGACTTGGGACTTCAGTTACACCTGTAGAATCCCTTCACACAGCAGCCAGAATACTGTTGAATAACTAGGAGAGGGTGTGGGTATTGCAGGGACAAGGTGTCTTGGGACCACCTTAGAATTTTGACCTACTTCACGTAGTGTAACGGGTCCTGGCAAAAATTTCAGTTCAAGGCCTGTCATCTGTGTGAATCTGTCTGGAGGTCCCCACTTTGCCTGGTGGCCCACCTGGGGCTGCTTTTCAATTAGTGCCCCAAACCAGCACACACTGTGGTAACCCATGTTTAATATTTTTCCTCAGATAGCATATTTGGACTTCAAGTAAGAGCATCAATGCTTTAAAACAAAGGAGTAACTCCTATTACATTTCATTCTCATCATTGTAAGAAATGCCATGAAGAATGCACAGATGATCTTAGGTTACCAGCCATGGTGTGGCTTGGAAACCATGTTAGGTTACTTTTTCCTCTCATGTGTGGGACCAGCTCTGGTTGGAAGACAGCACATTGTAGAGAAAGATCCTTAAAATCATGTATTTCTTGAACGTTGGCTATGACACTGTCACTGCAGAAGCTTTGTGAATACTTTTTATGGTACCTTTTGAATTTTATCTTTTGTGCATATATTACTGATCTTAAGAAGACAGAGTCTCACTCTGTCGCCCAGGCTGGAGTGCAGTGGCACTAACACAGGCCACTGCAGCCTCAAACTCCCGGGCTCAAGCGATCCTCCCACCTCAGCCTTCCTAGCTGGGACCACAGGCATGTACCACCATACCCAGATAATTAGAAAATTTTTTTGTAGAGACAGAGTCACCCTGTGTTGCCCAGGCTGTGATTTATTCTTTCACATTATCTACACTTTGTCCAACAGAAGATACTTGACTACTTTGATCCACAGTTGGGTTGAGAGTTTAATTGAATTCTCCCTCTCTGAGAGTGATTCCACCATAGTGAGGGAGGCTGTAGGGTGCCCCCTCAGTGCAGAAGCCAGGGCTGGGCTCTTGTCCGTGTTCTGCCGTGACTCATCACCTGAGCGGCTTGGCGGAAAGGGCGGGGGCGGTGGGAAGCTGTCAGCCAGGGAGGGTAGATGACCGCGGATCACTCTGGCTCTGGTGTTCTGATTCTCACGTGTTGTTCCCCTCCCGTTCTCCAGTGGCAGGACCTCCACCTGAAGGAGAACGTCCCTCCTTCCCTTTTGCTCCTGTCCCGCACCTTCTACCTGATAGATGTGAAGCCCAAGCCGATTGAGATACCACTCAGTGGGGAGGTGAGTACCTGGGTTAATGGGGACCCTCGACGTCCATCCAACTGAGGCCTCTCCACAAACACTTGGTGTACTCTTGCAGTTAGAGCAGGCATTTCTTTTGGCCTTTTAGAATTTGACCCAACTGGCTTTATGTGTTTTAAAAATTTCTAAAAAAACCAACCAACCAACCACAAACAAACAAAACAAAGGAAGGCCAGGCACAGTGGCTTACGCCTGTAATCCCAGCACTTTGGGAGGCCGAGGTAGGTGGATCACCTGAGGTCAGGAGTTTGAAACTAGCCTGACCAACATGGTGAAATCTCATCTCTACTAAACATACAAAAATTAGCTGGGCGTGGTGGCGGGCGCCTGTAATCCCAGCTACTTGGGAGGCTGAGGCAGAATTGCTTGAACCTGGGAGACGGAGGTGCAGTGAGACGAGATCACGCCATTGCACTGCAGCCTGGGCAATAGAACTAGACTCCGTCTCAAACAAAACAAAACAGAAAACTGAAGCCACTCAGTTTTACCTCCAGCCTTAAGGCTGCTACTGCCTTTGAGCCCAGCTTGATTGAGAATTTTACTAATAGGAGCAGTTTATTCCTTTTTCTTAACTATCTTCATTAGCAGACTGGTGTGTGTGGGTGTGGGTGTTTCTGCTGCTTTCTCCTTTTAGACTGAATGGTTCCTGTTCTATTTCATTTGTCCAGATTCCTATTAGTCTTTAAGCATTGAATGGCTTATCTAGAATGTCTTTCAACTCATTTCCTTAATCATTTTTCTTCCTGGTGTTGTAGGGAAGAGCATAAGATTGGCCCAGTCACTACAGCATCTTGCTCTGGGCCCATCAGAAAGGGCCTCCCGCTTCTCTAGCTGGTGGCTTCCTGTCTGACTCAGAACCCGGCATGAGTAAGAAAGGAAAGATTCTTGTAGAATATGCTACACTGTGGTTTAGGGGACTAGTCCAAGTACTAAGTGAGGGCCAGTCGTTTTACATCTTAATTATGCTGTTGACTCCTTGGACAAGCCAAGGAAAATTATTTGAAGTCCAATATGAAAACCCAACTTCAGGAAACACCATCTTGCTTTCCCTTTTCATATTTCTAGAGTAATCTGGTTTTGGGATTTGTCCAGGAAAAACTCTAGGGAGACTAGGAGCAGTTTCAGAGTATAGACCATGTTCTAAAAGGCAGGCTAGTGGGTTCTTATTCTATCCAACTCTTGGATCCACTCATGTGAGACAGACCAAAGTTAATCGTCATTCTTAGATTGCTGTCAGGGGCAAGGAAATCTTGGAGGAGCTCACTGTCTCAGCTAAATCTGGGTTCTCAGAATTATTCTAGAGGGCCATAAGCTCTTTATCCAGATGTTGCTTTCTGGAGTGGGTGAGAACGGAATTAAGGACAAAATGATAAGCTCCTAAGCAAGTTATTGGCTTTTTCCCACCCATGTTTTTAAACTTCTATTCTCCATGTATATATACAAAATGAGAACAAGTAGCATGCTAGGTTCTGTGAAGAATAGAGACATCAAATATACTGTAATTTTGGATGTATGTAGCCTTATCCCTCCAAAGTCCACAAATTACTTCCAAAGCACAGTGATATATGTTTTTCAAATCTAATTCCTAAAGATAGGTTAGCTAGCTATTCTATCACCACTCCCATTCTTATCGTTATCTATTTTAATACCACTCCTCTCCCCATCTTCCTTGCGTTATAGGAGCTTACCATTTTAGTAAATCAGGCAATTTTATCATTTATTATTAGATACTAAAAATGAAAAAGATGCAACATAGACCAAGTTACATCAATGCTATTAGAAAATAACTGAGGCCAGTAGCAGTGGCTCATGCCTGTAATCCAGCACTTTGGGAGGCTGAGGTGGGTGGATCACCCGAGGTCAGGAGTTCAAGACCAGCTTGGCCAACATGGTGAAACACCGTCTCTACTAAAAATACAAAAATTAGTAGCCGGGCATGGTAGTAGACGCCTGTAATCCCAGCTACTCAGGAGGCTGAGGCAGGGAGAATTGCTTGAACCCATGAGGTGGAGGTTGCAGTGAGCCGAGATCGAGCCACTGCACTCCAGCCTTGGTGACAGAGTGAGACTCCATCTCCAAAAAAAAGAAAAAAAGAAAAACAAATAATTGAGAAATGGCTTTTGAGGCCAACAGCAGGACCAGTGCCATCAGTGGATTGCTAATGATTATTTTAAATGCTAGAATCTATCAGAGTGCAACTTTTGTATATAAAGTACTCAAAACTCAAAGAGAAATAATACTAAGTTGCTACATCAGGGGCATATTTCATAGGTTACTCATAAAGGGTGTAGCTAGAGGAGGAAGTTAGGGATTTAGTGGAAAGCAAATAGTGCTAAAAAAGGCATTGACTACTGTAAAAGTTTCTGGGTTTTAGGAAGAGCAGAAAGCTTATGATACATAAAATGTTTATCTCCCCAGGCTCCAAAGACTGATATTCTTGTGGAATTACCTACTTTCACTGAATCTAAAGAGAACATGGTGGATCTTGCACCTCAACTGAAGGGAACTAAGGTTAGACAGTTACTTTCCATTTGGTTAATTAGATTAAAAAATGAAAATAGCAATGGGTCATTTTCTCCTGTTTTAATCCCCTTAATGAAATTGAAATTCAATACAATAATGTTCCTTAATAAGGAATATTTATTGTACTGTTTGATCTAAGAGGAAGCTTAATATTTGGCTACACGTAATTAGGTTCCAGATTTTGCCTTTTGAATCCTGTGCCAGGATATGAGGTAGTTGTGACAAGTTCCTGGTAGTCAAGGTAGTGGACTGTAGATTAATACACATTTTCTTTTAAATCAGTAACCCAACTCTCAGTTCTGATGTTTAAGGATGAAGACTTTATACAGCCGCCACCAGTTACATCATCACCCATAACACCATCAACACCTATTTCATTACCTAAAGGACCCATCACTTCTTCTGAAGAACCTGTAAGTATCTTTAATAAATGAAAAAGAAAGAGAAGACCCTTTCCCTCTAGTTATCTTTAAGGGCAGTGAGAATCTAGAATTAGTCCTGTTGCAAAACACTGCACAATTCTTCCTGTTGTCCAAACAGGAAATTGTAGGCCAAACTTTAGTCATCTTGTAACCACGTTTTTTACTTCAACTATCCAAAAAAAAAAATTGTGGGTCAGACTAAAACATGCAAAGTGTAGAAGTCAGTTACAATATAGGCAGACCCTTTTTTTCTTATGTGCCAGGTGGAAATAGTTTCCATGTGTTATTTTACACATGCTTCCGACGTGAGGAAATACTAGCTGGAAAGCAACTTTAATTTCCAGAGAAATGCATGTAAATAAGAAACTACTTATCTATCATCCAGTTTTCCCAATTGGGTGAAGGGATTTGGGGCAAGAGCACAGGGCATGAAGAGAGTAAACAGTGGGGAGGTTGTGGGAGAGTTGAAGTGGGAAGTGGCTCCTGTGGACCAAAGACATGGCTGGCAGGACAGAGAATCTATGAAGACACAGATGGGGTAAGCCCAGAAAAGCATCCCAAGGCACACACATACCTTGTTTTTTGTAAATCTCCTTTATCTTTTATTACCAAGGTAAATTATAATCTCAGATTTGACTTTGTGGTCACTATTTTGATTAAGAAAACAAAAATAGCATTCACTCCTTAAGAACTTACACGTCTGTGACTAATGCCTACAGTCCTTGTTTTTTACGCCTAGACACTCCAGGCCAAATCACAAATGACGGCCCAGAACAGCAAGGCTAGTTCAAAAGGAGCATAAAGGACTACTTGAGGATGGAGCTCACTCTCTTCAGCTTCCGGCCCTCAACAGTGGCATCTGTAAAGGACCTCCCAGATAAGACTGTCTGGCTTCAGAGAGCGGATCAGCTGTTTAGCCCGTGGGGCAGTCCTTTGAGGCCTGGTAACCATTCCAGGTGATGTGGGTAGTGAGACCAAGTTCAGACCACTTAGAAAAATATAATTGCAAAGTCCCATTTCCTCTGTACCATTGTCACCCCACTCAACTTTGTATAAAGCCCACCCCCCATCATGTTGTTTTTTTAGTTTCATGTGTACGTCCCTTCAGAGAGGAAATTTTTTGCACAATGGAATCAGCTTGGCACCTTAGATACCTGTCTCCTATGGCTTGGAATTCTGAGTAAGAACTTGGAAGTTCCAAAAACCATTTTAGGAGCACCTGATTAACTTTCTGAATGATCCACCAGTAGGATCAGCACCCTGGAAACAAAGTACCTTATGAGATGGGATGGATATACTCCCCAGTAAGATCTTTCTGGATATAATGAAGCTTCCTGGAGAAACAGACTGGCAATCAGAAAGATTTGGCTGCTTCCGACACCTCCATCTTGGGCCTGCAGAGGCTGCAGCAATCTGTGAGGCAGCCGCAATCTGCGAGGCAGCCACTCTTCTAGCACATATGGCTTTCATTAGCCACCATTTTGCTAGGAAGCATAATTAAGGGTTTAAGCCTTAACCATGTTTGTGTTGGGTGTGTGTGTTTCTGGCCAGTTTGTCTTTCACAAATAAGACTATTAGTCATAGGGATTGTGAAAGTCTGATATAATCCCTGTGCTACCCAGCAACAAGTATTACATTAGGATATTTATGCTTGGTGTTTTCAGTATTAATAATATGAAATAATAGATAGACTGCCATGCAGCTGACCAAGGGCTTTCTTCCCCTGGGGAGTGGTTAGAAGGCCAAAGGTATTTCAGCCTGTAGGTGATAAAATTAGATTTCTTTACTTGCTGTGGTTAGACAGCAGTCAGTTAAAACAAGTAAAACTCCACTGTCCTGTCTGGGATCACCTAAATGAGGAATGTCACCAGCACTTCACAGCAAGAATATGCATTCTACAATGCTTTCTAAATTTGTGCTCCATCAGAGAAGCCCCACCATGTCCCACTAATGAAGCCCAGTTCTTTGGGAATGATGAATCCCTACTGTGCACATACAGCAATCATGGATCCTGCCTATCGAGGTGATTCACAATACACTTTCCCATTTCAAAAATGACGGGTATTTTAATTAGTCCACATTTCAGGTGTTAAATGTGGGAAAGGGATTAGCTAAACTTGCTCAATTCTGTTTTAGCTGAATGAGTCATAGGTACTGCTGGGCTGTCCTACAGTTCCTTCTGGCTTTCCCTCCGAGCAGGGTGGGAATGAGCAGTGACCTGGTCAAGGGACCCGGGCCACTTGATAGACCTCTCCTCCCACTCTTCTGCTAGCAGCTCAGAGAAGTCAAGGATGTTTTGTTGTTCTCATCATTTAGGGTGCTTGGCTGTTGGGTTCAGTGATCCTTACATCTAGCCCCAGCTAGTGGTGTTCTGGTAAATCGTTAACCACCAACTCTTTGAGCCTCCCGGGGTAATGAAAGTTACACCTCTAGTTAGCATGTTTATGAAATAGATCCCTTCTGCACGCGAAGACCTGCATGTAGGGCAGTATGGTGGAAATGGTCCTGAATACTGTTGACGGTCCACCTAGAAGGAACCCGCCCAGACCAAGTCTTAGCAGTTGGGTTCTTACTGACCACCTTCTTCCCTGGCTCTCCTCAGTGGAGGGAATGGAAGGCTGTGCCAGCTGTTTCAGAGCTTTCTCCTCTCTGCTCCCTTCTCTATAGATGCAGATGCCTTGGCTCTACCTGCCACTAATGATCTCATTGGGTATGACTTTAGATTTTTTTTTTTTTTTTTTTTTTTCTTTTGAGACAGTCTTGCTGTCACCCAGGCTGGAGTGCAGTGGCACGATCTTGTCACTGCAACGTCTGCCTCCTGGGTTCAAGCGATTCTCCTGCCGCAGTCTCTGGAGTAGCTGGGATTAAAGGCATGCACCACCACGCCTGGCTAATTTTTGTATTTTTGTAGAGATGGGGTTTCACCATGTTGGCCAGGCTGGTCTTGAACTCCCGACCTCAGGTGATCTGCCTGCCTCAGCCTCCCAAAGTGCTGGGATTACAGACATGCGCCACCATGCCTGGCCACTTTAGGCATTCTCTAAAAACCCAACTACAGTGATGCTAGATGTGTCCTGGGTCTTACACACAATTCTGCTACAATAGAGAGGTGGTGGCCACTGACACTTAGGGCCTTGCACCTGTGTCATGTCTAATTCTAAAATCATCCCAAAACGAGCCACATCAGTGCTGCCCAGTTTTTCTGTAATGCCAAATCTAGGCTAAAGATTTCCCACTCACCACCAGCACACACTAGCAGGTAGTAGTTGGACCAATGTGACTTGAGAGCGGACTGGTGCTTCACCTAATGCCAACTGAAACTTCAGCTCGCTGGCTCCACCCAGTGGTGGCGAATAAGCACAGCAACCTCATTAACAATGAGACAGATTTCTTGCCTCATTTGATGCTCAATCTTACTTACCTGAGATCAATACATTACATTAGCAGGGCCAAGGGACCGATGATCTCCAGCCTATGGCAATTAGAAGAGACGGAAAGGCAGTATTGATTAATGCTGTGGTGATCCCAGCCCTAATCTTTTAACCCTCAGGAAACCAGACAGACTCAGTGCCTTCATGGCACAACATCTTCATTAGATAAACTGGATTCCTTTCCTCAGGAGACCCAATTTGGTCCTCTAAGTAAAACGGCCATTTCATTTTCTCTCAGGTCAATTTCACTGTCTTTTATTTGACAGCTAGCGCAGTCTTTGGGGAAATTTGTGGGTGATTTGAGTAGTAACAGCAAGGACATCACTGTAATTATGATAGTGCCTTATATTTTTCTAGCACCTCTCCCAAGGACTTATGAAGACTTTTAGATTCTTCATCCCTTCACACAACATTGCTTCAAGGTAGGGCCAAGGCAGAAATTATCATCACTGTTTTACAAGGAAAGACACTCCTGTGCGGTCTCAAAGCAAATGCTTTTAAGAGCTAAAAATTCATTTCCTAGTTCTGTTCACCAAATGATGCCTTCTTTAAACATAAATACAAATTGTAATGTTAGCAGGTGCTATTTACAGAGAGAAACAAAGAGAATTTTACAATAGTCGCCAACACTGCAGCTGCCAAAAAATCCCTAGCTCAGAAATTTAAAGCAGCAATCCCATTTTCCCTACAGAAATGAAAACATATTGAACTTTCTTTTGTATTTAGCAGTAATCCAGCAAAATATAAGCTTTAATATAGCGACTGAGGAGTGGTAGTTTGAGCCATGAGGTACGGGGGAGCCAGAATCCACTTAGTGAGGACAGTGATGACCAGCAGGTGGCAGAAGTAAATTCCAAGCAGCCAAAAAACCAAAAACATTCGGAGAATTTTCCCCCCGTTCCTGAGGGACAGGATGGAGTTTGGACAGGAAGAACTGTAAGAAGCCAAGATCTGCGACAGTCCCAACAAATACAGTCTGGTCACATGGATACAGGAAGGACGATCTGGGGAGGCATACCAACAAGAAACGAAGCCAGGGACCTGAATGCAAAACTAGCCTCAGGTGACATGTTCTCCTGCACTTAGAAGCACTGGCAAAACCATGCCCACATAGAGGGGGCAGACACATGTCTGGGTTTCAGTTTCTGCAGACCTTCATCATTTGTTTTCCTTTTTGTTTTCTCTGTTGCCCAGGCTGGAGTGCAATGGCGCAATCTCGGCTCACTGCAACCTCCGCCTCCCAGCTTCAAGGGATTCTGCCTCAGCCTCCTGTGGAGCTGGGATTACAGGCGTGTGCCACCATGCCTGGATAATTTTTGCATTTTTAGTAGAGATGGGGTTTCACTAAGTTGGCCAGGCTGGTCTCAAACTCCTGACCTGAAGTGATCTGCCCACCTCGGTGTCCCAAAGTGCTGGGATTACAGGCGTGAGCAACCGCGCCCTTGCTTTCCTCTTAATCACTGTAGCTCTACCCCGTGGCTATTCCTAGGTAGGTGCCCCCTCCCCAGCCCAACCCCACCGGTTTCCTTGGAGGAAACCATCCATGGTCGATGGCTGCTGGGCCTTGACTCTCTGCCCAGCGCCTCTACTGCATGGATGGGGTTCCTGCCCTCGAAGCAGACATCTTCTTTTTCTGACTTTCCAAAAGCAGCGGAGAGGCAGGAGGTGCGTCGTGAGGTCTGGGTGCAGGACCTAGGAAGAAGAGGTTACAAGGAACCTGCGCCGGGAGCATGCGGTGCCCTCGGGACAGACCTAGCCCCAGGGCCCGTGGGTGTCCCTTCTTTCCAGTGGACATTCCCACCCTTTTCATACAGCCCATAGATAAATGAAGCAGCAGCAATTTTTATTGAGGGACCTAAACTGAAAATAGGTTTAGAACATAATTTAAAAAAATAAAACAGCAAAAGTAGCAAAAAATATATGACCTTTTTAAAAACATTTTCCTTTTTTTTCTTTTTTGTTTTTAATATATAGCAACTGATGCCTCCCAGCCACCAGGAGCATCTTACCCGATGGGTAAATCTCTGGTAACGACCCTTTTAAAAAGACATGTAAATATATACTCAGATTTATACACTTTGTGTTTTCTTCATAGCTATATACAGAGCCCCCAGTTTGGGGCTGGGCCCCAGGGCCACAACACTGCCCCCAACCTGGCCTTCGCCTCACCATCCTCTGGTACCAGGCATTTGGTCAGCAAAGCAAACTAGTATCGGAATTAATAAGCCACTGGCACCACCTATCTGGGGCAGAGGTCACCTTCAATCGAGGCACGAAGCACTGACCTCCCTACTGCTGTAGCCCTGAGGACAAGGCACCTGCCACCAGAGTGCGAGGGGCTTATGGGTGAAGGCAAAACAGACCAAACCGACAGGAGAAAGCTCAGGAAGCTCTCACTTGCATGCCTGTTCATTGGCTCCCACTCCCTGCCCTCCAGGCAGTGCCTGGTGGCAGGGAGGGGTGTTGGTCCAACATCTGGGAGGGGATGAAGTGGCTGGCAGCAAAGATCTGCCTCTTTGCACCTCTCACCAGCAGGTGGAGAGGAGGTGGAGGGAGAGGTGAGCTGAGTGGGGTGAAGGCAGGCCACACAGGAAGGCCCCTGGTAGGCAGCCGGCTCCTGCCAGCAGGAAAGGGGACAGGGACGGACAGGTGGTGGGCCCAGCAGGGGCTGTGGGTGAGGGTTACAGCTGACGGTGGAGTCTGGGGAGGGCGTGTGGGTGGCAGTCAGCGGCGTTTGAGTCCGCCATTGGCAAGCTGGGCTGGGTGTCGGGGCAGGCAGGGCTCCTCGGGCAGCGGCTCATGAGAGAAGACGGAATCCTCCCCTGAGGAGCACGTAGAGCTCCGGGTGTCGGGAAAGCTGGGGGAGTACTGGTCCAGGGGCATGGACAGGTCCAGGTACTCCTGTGATGGGCGAGAGGAAGCAGCGATGGGCCGGGCCCCTCCTCCCTGCTCAGGGAGGTGCGTGCACGCAGTGGGGACGGCCTGAGCTCTGGCTCTGGCACGGGCAGCCTTACCTGGTTGGAGGTCAAGGCCACGATGCGGTCCAGGTCTTCCACCAGCTGCTTGAAGGTGGGTCTCTGTGAGGGCACTGCATGCCAGCAGTCCCGCATCATCATGTACCTGCGGCAGGACTGTAAGGTCAGGGACGTCTCCTGGAGATGGATACTCTCTAGTCTAGCCCCCTGCCCCTCAAGCCCACTCTTGCCCCAAGGCCTGGCTCAGGGCCTCCGACATCTCCTCGGGCTTACAGCTCGTTGGTGCAGTTACTGGGCTTGTCCATGCGGTGACCCTCCTTCAGCAGCTTGAAAAGTTCCTCCACAGGCACACCGGGGTATGGGGAGCCGCCCAGAGTGAAGATCTCCCACAGGAGCACCCCGAAAGACCACCTGCAAATGGGCGGAGAGCCACAGGGTGTTAGAGCTTCTCCGCCTCCCCTCCCCCAGCACAAATCCTCTACCCAGGGCAGTGCCAGGAGACAGCATGGAGAACAGATCAGCCTTTCAACATCTGGAGCAGAGGGAATGGCCACAGACAATGTTTTGTTTTTCTCTCTGGGGCAGAAAGAGGACTCCTCAGTCCAGGGAGAAAGCAGGACTCTACAGTGCTAGAAGCTCTCTATCCCACACCTCCCTGGCAATTGCTATTACAAACTCACACATCACTCTGGTGGGTGTAGATCCGGTCAAATAATGCCTCGGGTGCCATCCACTTCACAGGCAGTCGGCCCTGAAAGCAGCACAGGGGAGGTTGGAGTGGCCCCAGGCAGGGCCATGAGGGCACAGGTGGGAAGGGACTGGGGGGTGGGTTCTCAGCCCACCCCACTCCTTGCTTCTCAGATGAAACCACCAGCACAGGGCGGCCTTGTCGGCACTCACGTTGGTTGTCTTTTTATAGTAGTCGATGTGGTGAATGTCCCGTGCGAGGCCAAAGTCTGCTATCTTCATCACATTGTCCTCTGTCACCAGGACATTCCTGGCTGCCAGGTCTCGGTGTATGCACTGAGGAAGGAGGAAGGGAGAGCGGGAGGCGGGGAGGTGAGGGAGCTGGAAGGCTCTGGGCGGCCGCCACCCATGCAACTAGCCGACTTGTCTCATAGAACTTCTGCCACACTGCTCTGCCCCCCGAACCTTTGCTTTCCCTCTTCTAACATTCTCTGCCAGCTCCAGGCTTCTCATCACAGCAAGCGCTCCTCCCTTCCTTCCCCAAAGACTGGCCCCTTATGCCTCTGCTGCGTCTGCAGCGATGCATGCTCCTAGGTCCTGCCTCCCAGCACAGCAAGTCCACATGGGGCTGGGCTCAAACCAGGCCAGCCCTTACACACCAAACACTGCACTCAACACTCACAGACAGTTTCATTTTATCTTCATAACAATTCTACAACAGGTATTGTTATACTTTATTTTCTTTTGAGACAGGGCCTTGCTCTGTCGCCCCGGCTGGGGTGCAGTGGTGTGATCATGGCTCAGTGCAGCCTCAAACTCTTGGGCTCAAGCTAGCCTCCCACCTCAGCCTCCCGAGTAGCTGGGACTATCGGCACGCACTACCACACCCAGCTAATTTTTTAATTTTTTTTTTTTTTTTAAAGACGGGGTTTCAATATATTGCCCAACCTGGTCTCACACTCCTGAGCTCAAGCAATCCTCCCGCCTTGGCCACTGCACCCAGCTGATATTATTATTATTTTGTATTTGAAGAATTTTAAGATGCTAAGTAGCTGCCTGAGGCTACGCAGAAAGTGGCAGTGCACAGATCGGACCCTGCATCAGTCTGACCCCAAGGCCACCTGGCTACACTGGTGCTCCTGACTCTGCAGTTCCCAGAGAGCCTAAGACAACACACAGGGCACACAGGGCCAGTGCTCAGTGCATCCACAACGCCACCACAAGATGATAAGTCACAGGCTGGAAGACTAGGGGGGCTCTGTTCCCACCCTGGCATTACCCAGGGGAGCCTTCAGGTTCCACACCTTCTTGGAGGCCAGATACTCCATGCCTCGGGCCACCTGGTAGGCGCAGGACACCAGGTCCTTGGAGGAGAGCTGCTCCTCTGGGTTGTGGCTGGGGTTGTAGCAGTATTCCAGCCCTGGGGGCCTCCGGGCCTGCAGGTACTCCCGCAGGTTGCCCTTGGAGGCATACTCCACGATGACATACAAGGGACCTGCAGGCACAGGAGAAGAGGCCATGGGGCCAGCAGCAGGTGAGCAGGTTTGGCTTCACCTCAAAGAAACCCCACCCCCAGCAGCACACCCCGGCCAACCTCCCATCTCCTGCCTCCTCTTAGGGGACCTGGGAAATCCATTCTACTACCCAAAAAAAATCAGAGAAATAATTACTCCCAGCATAGTCCAGAAAATTCCCGAGCAACATTGGGGTAAGAGCCCCAGTTTGTCTGTTTATTTTGAGATGGAGTCTCACTCTGTTGCCCAGGCTGGAGTGCAGTGGCGCAATTTCGGCTCACTGCAACCTCTGCCTTCTGGATTCAAGTGATTCTCCTGCCTCAGCCTCCCAAGCAGCTGGGATTACAGGCATGAACAATGCCTGGCTAATTTTTTTTTTTTTTTTTTTTTTTTTTGAGATGGAGTTTTGCTCGTTGCCCAAGCTGGAGTGCAATGGCGCGATCTCGGCTAACCGCAACCTCCGCCTCCCGTGTTCAAACGATTCTCCTGCCACAGCCTCCCGAGTAGCTGGAATTACAGGCATGCGCCACCACGCCCGGCTACTTTTTGTATTTTTAGTAGAGATGGGGTTTCACCTGTTGGCCAGGCTGGTCTCCAACTCCTGACCTCAAGTGATCCACCCGCCTCACCCTCCCAAGGTGCTGGGATTACAGGCGTGAGCCACTGTGCCTGGCCTATTTATTTATTTTATTTTTGAGACAGCGGGAGTATCTCCCAAGCTGGAGTACAATGGCGTGATCTTGGCTCACTGCAACCTCCACCTCCCGGGTTCAAGCAAGTCTTATGCGTCAGCCTCCTGAGTAGCTGGGATTATAGGCATGCGTGACCATGCCTGGCTAACTTTTGTATTTTTTAGTAGAGATGGGGTTTCACCATTTTGACCAGACTGGTCTCGAACTCCTGATCTCAAGTGATCTTCCTGCCTCGGCCTCCCAAATTGCTGGGATTACAGGCATGAGCCACTGCACCCAGCCTGAGCGCTCTTAGACCATAATTACTCAGCTGCCTCTGTTAACACACCACGTGTGTGAATCTAGGTATCTGTATTCCTGAATGAACACCAATGAGCGGAGCCCAGATCCCGAGATAACACATTTTAAACCTCTGCCAAAGCAGCCTCTCTTAACCCCCTTCCCTAGCTGTGGCTGAGAGAGGCCTTGGGACTGATACCCCAGCTCAGATCTTCTCCCCGCTGGGCAGGGAAAGCCAGTCTGGCCGGCACCCACCATCCTGCGTGCAGGCCCCCAGCAGGTTGATGATATTCTTATGCTTCCCGATCATCTTCATCATCTCCATTTCTGAGATCAGGTCTGACAAGTCTTTCTCTGTTGCGTCCGCTTTAAAGAACACGTTGAGACTCATTTACTTGGGAAGGGAGGAGGGCAGGATAAAGGCTAAGGGAGTGGGGTATGTGTCGAGGGGCTGCTTTTCCCTGGGACTTGATTCTCTCCTCCCCACTTCATCCAAACTTGTTTTCTCTTCCCTCTCATGGGAGCCGTTGTTGCAATAGGTGGTAGTGAGTGGGCAGGGATGTGGTGAGGAAAGCCTGCAAGCGATGGATCCAGGATAAACACCTGACCACAGCCCAGGTTGACGCCAAGGAACAGAGTGACGTCATAGAACAATCTCAAGGTGCAGAACACCCCCTCCACTCCCAGGTAACCCCAAGCAGGCAGCGGAGCAGGTGTGGGCAGCAAAGGCACCAGAGAAGCTGTTCTGCTGGGCCCGAGGCCTGCTGTTTGCTTGGAATGGGACAAGATTTTCTTTGCAAGGACAGAAGCATCACTTACACTTCAACATCTTCACAGCCACTTTGGTCACACGGTTGGGTTTGTCCTTGTCCAGCCCGATAGCCTCTGCCAACACCACCTGCCCAAAGCAGCCCTCTCCCAGGGGTTTGCCTAAGACCAGTCTTTCGGGGGAAACAGAGAGTGGCATAAGTTGGGGCTGGTGAAGTTCAAACCTTGAGAGGCACCCCATCTCCACCTCTCTGTATTTCACCCAACTGCGAGCAGAAAGTGGAATGAATGTTTCTGCAGGCATTTCATGAACCTTCACCGCCCAGAAGGTGTTAGTATACACACCTTCCACCACTAGAATAGCAAGCAAGGAATGCCTTCAAAAAGTTGGGAGTCAAAGTATTATTACCTGTCCCGAGGCAGCTCCCAGCGAGGGTCTTCGGGAAGCTCATACTCAGAGACCCCTGCTAGCATGGGAGTCCCACTGGAGGAGAGCCGTGATGGCCGAACCAGAAGAACCCCAGAGTTCATGGATGCACTGGAGTCAGCAGACACCTGCAAGGAAGAGTGGGGTCACCCTAGAGCAAGGAGGGGGGACGGGGTGACTCCTTCCCATTCTTAGTCAGGGCTTCCCAACAATGGCAGAGGCACATGTCTGTGTATCTGATGTTCTTTCCTCAACACAGAGTGGTCCAAAGACCATGGTAGGCCAGGAGGCCCAACTTCTAGGACTGACCTATTTCTGCCACAAGCTGGCCTTTCTGGACTTCACTCACCTTTAAAATAAGCAGACCAAATGCACCTCTTCCAGCTTGACATTTTATAACTGATCATTGCAGTAACAACTCTGTTCTCCTGACTCTTTGCAAATACTTTGCCTTAGCTTATGGATTCCTAACTCCCAAAGCACCTTCCAGAATGAGCACAGGCTTCTGAGGGAACGGTCATTCTTGCACACACCTGTGCCATCTGTACCATTTCCTCCCGTGGGGAAGGGTGGGCACACAGGGGACAAGGGTATGGTATGGCTGAGATGGTTTGGCTGTGTCCCCACCCAAATCTCATCTTGAATTCCCACGTGTTATGGGAGGGACCTGGTAGGAGGTCATTGACTCATGGGGGCAGGTCTTCCCTGTGCTGTTCTTGTGATAGTGAATAAATCTCACGAGATCTGATGATTTTATAAAGGGGAGTTTCCCTGTACAAGCTCTCTTCTCGTCTGCCGCCATGTGAGACGTGCCTTTTGCCTTCTGCAATTGTGAGGCCTCCCCAGCCACGTGGAACTGTGAGTCCATTAAACCTCTTTCTTTTGTAAATTGCCCGGTCTTGGGTATGTCTTTCTCAGCAGTGTGAAAATGGACTAATACAAACAGTTCTCTTCTCTACCCTGCATCTCTGCACTTCTAAGCAGCCCTTGGGGACAGTTCAAATTCATGCTATTGGCTGCACATTCTGTCCAAATAGGACTTCCTCCCAATCCATGTCCCAGGAGTCCGGAGGACTTGCAGTGTGATATGGAGGGTGCAGGAAATTCACGGGCTACACTAGCTTGAAACAGACTCTAGAGCACTTAGTTCATGATATTCCACTGTGCCTTGCCCAGAAGCCAGAAAATAAGGCCCAAAGCTATAAATTAGGGACAATGGAGAGGGCAGGGCATTAGAGGCCCAGAGAGAGAGGTGGTGCTGAGTGTGCAAATCCCCCATCTACTTTCTGTTACCTGTCTGCGCAGAGGGATGCTCTTGGCCAGCTTGTGCACAGCCATCTGGCTGTGGAAGTCACTCTTCTTGGTACCACTCTTCATCTTGTAGACGATGACCGACCCCACCATGCAGGAGATGAGGAAGGCCCCTGTGCAATAGATGATGATCTCCAGGTACAGGGGCGAGGTCATCACTGCCGGCCTCTCTTCCAGGGCTGAGTCAGTGCGAACAGGGTGTTAGCAGGCTTGGAGGGCCCCGTCCATGCGAGGTCCCGCTCCATTAGAAAAGCAACACCTGTCTCCTGTCCCCTGGGAACTTTTAGGGAGAAGAACCATGGCAAGTTCTAGCTAGGACTGGGATTGTGGCACTAGGAGGATCAGGCAACCCCCTGATTTTGGAGGCTGCCTTCAATGGACTTGAGCCATGGAAAAGGGATGGCCTAGAACCATCGTGCTACACAAGCCCCATCTTCATTAATTCCTGAGCCTCCTTGCTCAGCTGGACTGGAGAGGTACAGGCACCCAGGGATCCTGCAAGGGCCAGCTGAGAAGTCACTTCTATGTGCCTTTCTTGGTCTCCTCAGGGAGCCATGGCCCTTCTCTGCAAAGCCTCAGCACTGTGTGCATGCACTTAACATGCGGGGACACAGATGTTTCTGAGTCCTCTGTCCCTAAGAAGACACGGGGTCCCTGAGGGCAGGGTTGGTGCCTCGTTTATTTCTGCAGGCCACAGTACCTGGTGATGGTGGCACTCACAGAATGAGGACAGAGGACAGGAGGGGAACCAGCCTGTGCCTTGCTCAATGTCCCACTTTGGGTCTGTGTCATCTCTGTAGGGGCACACAGGTAAATATTTATTCCTAGCCAAACCACAGGCAAAGCTGACTTAATTTCCAAAAATAAGCTTTTTTGGTAGTTCTTTCAAATTCTACTCATAGGCCCCAACTCCTAAAACTTAAGGAAATGTGGCGGCAGGGGGCGGAGTTCCATTTTGTTATTCTCTTCTCCCACCTTCTGATTAGGACTCACCCCCCACCCCATTGCCACAGCAGCTAAGCCAGTTCGGTCCACCTTTCCCTTCAGCACGAGAGGCTGGGAGGCTTTCATCCCAGCACGCACAGCACTGGTTTCATGGAACACGCTTTGCCCCACGGGTGTGGACGGCCCTCCTCCTTCCACAGGCCTCCTCCCAACCTTCCCCTTTAAAACCCACCAGCCAACCATGGAGGCGGCGCCCCTGGGAACCTTCCCAGAGAGGCATGAGGCATGAGGCACGACCCTAGACTGAGCCCAGAGAACGTCCCAAGGCCTGACAAGGAGACAGCAGAGCTGATGACAGGGAGAAGTGTTGCTGTTTTTTCTTTCCCTGATGTTGAGGAACGAAGACAACTGATTGGGAGCACATGGGGAGCACGGACAGGACCAAGACAGGGACGATGATAAAAACAGAACGCTTCTCTGCCTCCAGCAGGGGCATCCGGAGACCCTGACGGGCAAGCAGGGCAGAGTGGGAAAGGAGGGGAGAGAGAAGAGGGCAGTGCCAGCAGGAACAGCCAGACCCACATGCAGGACATTCCGAGAGACAGCAGCAAGCCCTGGCCCCGCAGTCACCAGCCACCACCCTGAGCAGGCTGCAGGCTCCTTCCTCCCTGGCTCAACACGCAGACCTCCCCTCTTGGGAGAGGAGAGACGGCAGCAGGCAAACAGGATACATGGACATCGTGAAGCCTGCTGCGGCTGCCTGAGACAGGCCTTTCTGAAGGCAACTCAGTTCACCTGTCCAGGCTGACCTCCTTCTTCAAAGGCAATAGGATGGCAGTACAGGAGGGTGGGCTGCTCTTTGCAAGCAGCAAGCCCCACCCCTGGGCTGAGCACTTGAGAAGGGAGAAGAGGTGTAGGGCCCTATCTGAGACTTTTCAGATGCTCAGTACCCAGCGGAGGGGGGAGGCTGCTGGACCCAAGGACGGAAGGAGCCTGCCCTGGAGGAGTCGGGCTGCAGGGTAAACCCAGATCCCGGGCATGCATTGCAATGGCCAGGGGGAGAGCAGAGGCAGGTGTACGGGTGGGAGGCCTCCGTGCGCCTGCAAAACTAGGGAAGCTCTTCTCTGAGCTGAGAGGATTCAGCCCTCAAAGCTGGGGCAGGATGTGGCACCAGGCAGGCAGGAGCCCATTCTTCCAGCTCTCCTGCCTCTGTGTCTCCCCAAGCCTGGAAATGCATGCTCCCCCCGTGCCCGTGGCGAGGGCAGGACATCGAGAGGAGAAGTTACAGTGTGTACCTTCCAGAACGGTCAACCATGCAGAGTGATGGGAGAGTCCGATAGAGTTACCCGCCAAGCACGTATACTCCCCTGCGTCCTCAAAGGAGACATTTCTTAAGTGAAGCACCTCCATCTCTTTGTCGGTGGTATTAACTCCAGCAGTCTAGAAGAGACAACGGAAGCAAAATGGACAAGCACAGGACATGAGACCTCTAAGAGACGCAGAGCAAGGGAAGGAGACAGAAAGAAGGGGGACTAGAGGAAGAAATGCTCCCTGACATCTTCTTTGCAACAAGGAACAAACGAAAACCACCAGGCAGCAAAACCTGTTAGAGGAAGAGGGTGAGACCCTGAGGGAAGAACTCCGGCAGACCTGAGAAGACGATGGCTGGTTACGACCCTTCACCAGATGCTGGCAGCCACTGGCCCATCCGAGCATGCGGGCGGTGAGCGGCATGGAGAAATGGGGCCGGCGGGCAGGGGCTGTTTGGTTTCAGGTAAAGATAGCCAGAAGGTGAACACAGGAGGGATGGCGGGGGCTGCAGACACACACATGCACACGCATACACACACGCACATGTGCATACACAGCCAGCAGATGCGAGTATGCAAGGGAATGCCTAACCCCTTCTCTCTCTTTTTTAAGAGATGGGGTACCATTCTGTCAACCCAGGCTGGGGTGCAGTGGCATAAACATAGCTCACTGCAGCCTCGACCTAAGCTCAGGCAATCCTCCTGCCTCAGCCTTCAGACTAGCTGGGACTACAGGCACACGCCACCATACTTGGCTAATTTATTTAATTTGTAGAGATGGGGTCTTGCTATGTTGCCCAGGCTGGTCTCAAACTCCTGGCTTCAAGCGATCCTCCCACCTCAGCCTCCCAAAGTGCTGGGATGACAGGCGTGAGCCACTGTGCCTGGCCTATGGCCCCTTCTCTTAATCACCACTCACTCACAACTTCAGTCTGAAGTACCATTTGTAACACAGCAAAACCGTGTCCCCGTGAGTCCTCACATGGATCCACACAAAGCCAAGGAACACACAGAAGGCAGAGAGGGAACCCACAGACACCAACACAATACCAAACCAAACCAGCCTCCCAGGCCGGGTATTTTTCCATGGCTCTGGGCACTAGAAATACAGTAGGGTGGCAAGGACAGTCCAGTACTGGCTTCCCCGCCTGCCCCAGCAGCTTGGGGCCTACATCAAATCCCCAGCACAGGGTCCCATCCATCTCCCCATTACCTTTTGCCACAGGTCTGGTGACAGTGAGCCACGCAGACTGGTTAGCTTCACCAATATAATTGGAAACCTTACACACATACTCCCCGCTCTGGGCCTCTGTCACATTGAACAGGGTCAGCACCTCCGCATCCGAGCTATTAATCCCCGAATGCTGGAACAAACCAACGACACACCAGTCAGTTGGGCAAAGCTGAGATGTGGCCACGCACGTTGCTCCCGTGTAACTTTCAGGCAGGCCCAGGGAGCGAAGGGAGATGTTAAGTGAGATTTATTACCTTTCCCTTTTAGTTTTTTTTTTTTTTTTTTTTTTTAACGCAGAGTCTCACTCACTCTGTCACCCAGGCTGGAGTGCAGTGGCGTGATCTCAGCTCACTGCAACCTCTGCCTTCTGGGTTCAAGCAGTTAGCTTGCCTCAGCCTCCTGAGTAGCTGGGACTACAGGTGCCAACCACTATGCACAGCTAATTTTTGTATTTTTAGTAGAGATGGGGTTTCACCATGTTGGCCGGGCTGGTCTCAAACTCCTGACCTCAAGTGATCTAAAGTGCTGGGATTACAGGCGTGAGCCACTGCGCCCGGCCTTCTTTCCCTTTTACAAGTACAGAACAAGTGGACTTCAAAAGTCCAAAGCATTTGATTAAAAAAAAAAAAAAAAAAAAAGAATCACTGCTTCAAATGGAATGTTCTATTTGTGTTTAACCCACTCCCTCCAGGACTGGAGCAGGGGTTGTGAGTGGAGACAGTGGCCAATGACCTACAGAGCAGTTTTAGCACCAGCAGCAAAGAGAAGAGAAGGGAGGGCCAGTATATCTCTGAGACAGCTAAGCTAGGGGAGGATGAGGTCTAACTCTGGGACAAAGAGGTAAACAACTTTCCCAGCTTCTGGTTCCTTCCTGTTGCGAGATCCACTGGAGATTTAGGCAATTACCTTCCCTGGATTAATGGAGCATTCAGGGACAATGAATGTCTGGGAGTGAGAGGAAAAAGGAAGAAAATGCCATTACTCCTCGTCCTCATATGGCTTAGAATTTATATATGGCATTTGTTTTTCCAACTCTTCGTAAGAGATGCTCTTATCATGCACCCCATTTGCCAGAAAGATCGTACGTAACTCAGGACACAGGGCTAAGACTGGGAAACGCTTGGTGGAAAGGCTCTGGTTTCGGGCAATGAAAAGGCAGGGGTCCAAATGCCTTCCTTGTGTAGCTGACCCCAAAGCCCCAGTGACGTTGCTCTCAAAGCTTATTACAGACCAGCACCACCCATCCCTGCAGCCCTCTGTTCCCAGCTCACCTCCACTTTGTGACCTCTGTTACTAGTCCTGGGGGATGTGGCTAGATCCCTACTGAGATGGAGTGTGTGTGCCTGAAGCGTGAGGAATGATCCCATTCGGGGGCAACTGAGCCTGCCCACAGGAACTTGAGCCCCCGAGACAGTGGTCTCCTTCCCAGTAGACTGGCCCACGAAGACTGGTGCCATGATTACCTTCAAGATCTGGACATAAGGCAGGTTGTCTGGGCCAATCTTGCTCCCATTCACCTCGATGTGCTTTAGCCACTGGATGTGCGGCTGCGGGTCACTGTACACCTTACACATGAACTCCACGTTGCTACCCAGGGCCACTGTTTTGTTGGCGGGCAACCCTGCTTGCAGGATGGGCCGGTGAGGGGACCGCTCTGTGGAAGATGGGAGAGGAGGCACTTGTCATGGGGACCTTGCCATGGCTAAAGAGGGGTGGGCTCACCTGCGCCCCACTTGGCTTTCCCAGTGATGGGTTGTAAACCTCCCAGCACTTCTGCTGAGCCCAAGCCTCTCAAAACAGAGCTGGGGAAAGGGACACCCTCTCTTCAGGCCCTAAGCCATCAGGATCCTCCTCCCCAAGGCAGTCATCATATTTACAGTCACAGTAAGTCGCTCATGCTTTAATGGAGAACCTTCTAATTCAGTTGCACCCCCAGACCTCAGCACAACCTGCTCCTCCTTAAAAAACCAGAGTCACTTTGACTCCTGCTATTCAAAGTGTGGTCCACGAGCAGTGCTACCAGCATCCCCTAGGAGCTTGTTAGAAACGCGGAATCTCAGATCTTACCCCAACCTCTTGGATCAGAATCTCCTTTTTACCTTTTTTTTTTTTAAAGGCAGGGTCTCACTCTGTCACCCATGCTGGAGCACAAGGGTGTCATCATAGCTCACTGCAGCTTCGAATTCCTGGGCTCAAGTGATCTTCCCACCTCAGTAGCCTCAGTTAACTCAGCTGGTACTACAAGTACATGACACTGCACTAGGCTAATTTTTAAATTTTTTTATAGAGACAGGGTCTCACTGTGTTGCCCAGGCTGGTCTCACACTCCTGGCCTCAAGCAATCCTCCAGCCTTGGCCTCCTAAAGTGATGGGATCACAGGCGTGAGTAATCCCATCATGCCACCTGGAGCTCATAAGCCACTGCTCCTGGCCACAATCTCCTTCTTAGACCATATCATCATAATCAAGAAGAACACTGGCTGAGAGATTCTGTACCCAATGATCTCTAGGGAGTGAGTTTCAGAACTCCTAGAAGGAAAAGGTTGCGGTAATAGCTCCAAGAGGCTCAATGTTCTTCCCAGAGTCTCCTGTGATGCCCTGAAGTTGGCACAGGTGTGCAGTTCTGCATTAGCAAGGTGTCTGACCTCTCTGAGCCTATGCGCCTGTGCTCCTGTGCAGGGCTAGACTAATACTGCCCACCTTGCAGGTGTGCCATGAGCATTACAGGGCAGGTATTTAAGGAGCCTGGCATCTTGCTAGCATTAAGCGACAGCTCCTATTACGCTACATTTAACACCTCTCCAACAACGCCTCCTTCAGGACAGACTCTGAACAGCACCTTCAATTTCACAGTGACAACCAGCTTTGACCGTGTTACTGTCTGATCTTAACTCTATTTTACAGATAAGAAAAGTGAGGCTCAAAAGGGAGAAGTGACCTGCTCAAGGTGACAAAGCCAAGAAGTGCCAATCGCTATCCTGACTCTGCCCCTAAGAAACCTGGACACCCCGGCTGTGTTCTCCAAGCCTGGCTCTTCCCACTAAACTCATTCCTCCTGCTGCCTCTGCCCTCTTACCCACGACATCCAGCTGGTATGTGTGGTTGATGCTGCCGTACTCATTCTCCACAATGCAGGTGTAGTTGCCCTTGTCAGAGGGCACCACAGAGTCCATTATGATGCTCCAGGTGGCATAACGGACCTGAGGGGAAATGCCAAAGGGATACATTGAGGGTCCAGAGGAAAATGCAGGCCCCATGACAATGTCGGCACCCCGTGGCACCTGCCCTCCATATCAGAGCCTGGTGGCACAGGGCCCCAGGCTGCAGGGTTGGCTAGGACAAGGCGTGGATTGCCCCCCTACCAGCCCGTTCACACTCTGCAAGCTGGCAGATGGGGTGTAAAGACTCCAGAAGTCTCCACTGTGACGTTCAAGATCATTCGTGATCCGGACAGATGTGCCTTCTGCAAACACTCCCAAATACACCAAGAATGTTCCCAACTGTGCACCTCTCCTATTACACTAAGAATCCAGCCCCCACTGTCCTTGACAGCTCATTTCAAAAACCATCTCCTCCAGTCCAGTCTCTGGTCAGAACTGTGCTCACCCTTTCCTCTCTGCCTACCAAAGCACTGATCACAGTCTACTTTTTACGGTAGCTGCTCATGGACATTTGCCTCCTATCAGACTGCAAAATTTTTATGGGCAGGAACGCTATCTTGCAGCATTTAAAGCATGGTGTCTTGCATGTAGTGAGTGCATGGTGAATTAATTTAAAATATTTCTGGCTGGGTGCGGTGGCTCAAGCCTGTAATCCCAGCTCTTTGGGAGGCCCAGGCGGACAGATCACTTGAGGTCATGAGTTCAAGACCAGCCTGGCCAACATGGGGAAACCCCGTCTCTACTAAAAATACAAAAATTAGCTGGGAATGGTGGCTGCACATCCCAGGTACTCGGGAGGCTGAGGCAGGAGAATGGCATGAACCTGGGAGGTGGAGCTTGCAGTGAGCCAAGATGGCACCACTGCACTCCAGCCTGGGTGACAGAGTGAGACTCCGTCTAAAAAAAAAAAAAAAATGCTTACACCCTTTAAGTTAGTAATTTCACTTGTAACAATCTGTCCTAAGGAAGCACGCTTAAAAAAATGCTGACAGAGATTCACTGCAACATTATTTATTATGGTGAAAAACCAGAAAATACCTAATATCACAAAATAGTTCATTAAATTATAGGACTTTTTCTGTTGTTTTTTGGAGACAGAGTCTCACTCTGTCACCCAGGCTAGAGTGAAATGACGTGATCTCAGCTCACTGCAACCTCTGTCTCCTGGGTTCAAGCAATCTCCTGCTTCAGCCTCCCCAGTAGCTGGGATTACAGGAGCCTGCCACCACACATGGCTAATTTTTTGTATTTTTAGTACAGAGGAGGTTTCGCCATGTTGCCCAGGCTGGTCTCGAACTCCTGAGCTCAGGCAATCCGCCCACCTCGGCCTCCCAAAGTGATAGGATTTTAGGCGTGAGCCACCATGCCCAGCCAAATTATGGGATTTTAAAATAATGGAATCTTATACAGTCATGAAAAATTATGTTTCAAATATTCATGCTTGAAATATATCAGGAAAAGACTCATGTTAACAAATGACAAGGCAAGGAAATTACATACATGATGTGATCAACTATGTAAAAACCATATTACAGAAAGAAGACTGAAGAAATGTTTAAACTTTATTTGCATTTTTTTGTATTTAAAAATTTTAATGAATAACCTGTATAGGTGGAAAGTATTACTTAAAAAAATGAAAAGCATGTAATCAGGACTTCCTAACTCGGCCTCCCCTGTTCCCATTACTCTAACTTTCGCATGCACACACACGTACCTTGTAGCCTCCAATTCTGTGGTCAGGTTTGAATTCTTTGCCATTTTTCAACCAGCGCAGTGTGGGGTTTGGGGTCCCACTGGAAGGGCATTTGAACTTCACTGTCTTGGCAGCCGGCACTGCATGCAATTTCTTTTCCATCTTTTCTGGGGATGTCCAATATGGAGCTACGGCTGCCCGGGGAAAGCCAAGAGAGACAGGCAGGGTGGAGAGGAGCAGCTGGTCAGGCTCAGGAGCAGGGCCCAGGCCAGGACCTGGAGGTGTCTTGCCCATCTGCCCAACACCTGTGAGCAGTGCCTGGCACTTAGCAGAACAGGCACCGTGACCCCATGTGCCCTCCTCTTCCTCCCCTTTCAGCCTTCCCCTCCCCTCTTAAACCCAATGCCCAGACCCAAAGGGCAGTAAGATAGGAAACAGTGTCTCACGCATACGGTTTGGTTTGGTGTTATCTGTTTCTTTCTCCTCTGAAGAGGAGTCATCATCATCATCATCATCCTCCGAGGAGGGGAGAGCATCTATGGGAAGAAGAAGGGGCACTGAGGTTCCTCCTAGGGACCCCTAGATTTCACCAAGGCTAGTGCAGTTCCAGATGAACACGGACACCCTCCCCATGGGGATCCCAGTCCCACTGCTCCCTTAGTGATGATCTCTTGGTGGGATGGAAACTGTTTAAGAACAGTTCCTGTGCGTGTTTGCTTCCTTCCCCGAAGCACTGCCCCCACTGCCTGGAAGCCTTCACACTGGGTGGTTCCATCAGGGTCAGCTGTTCCTATTTAACTTAATTCCGTCCTACATTCAAAGGCGCTTTCTCAACTTGTGGTGCCACCTGGGTGTGCTGGAGCCAGGCAACCTGTATTCTTCTTTGGACGGCTGACTATAGGGAAACCCAGGCAGGTCTAGACACACTGTGGCTAGATGCTATTTCCAAAGGATGGGCTAAACACCCCACAGTCAGAATTTTTCTAGCATGTGTCTACTAAGGTTTGGGGGCTGCCCTCCTTAATCAGAGCAGATAGGGCACCCACCACCCCAGCAGCTGCCAACACCTCTCCCCAATAAGTATTTATTTCTTGTAAGAACACGCTTGATACACATGTGGTCACCCATCAGGGTTCATGCCAGATCTTTCTCCAGTCCTTCCTATCACCTTTGGGGATCTGCTGCCAAGTCCACACCCTGAGGTGCATAAATGGCATAAAGAAAATTTCAGCTCCACTTCCTCAACTCCTAGTTTTGTGAAAGTCACATTCTAAGAGTGGCAAGTTCCCAAGTTCACAGAGCTCCAGGGCTCCCTGGCTGCCCTCGCACAGCTCCCTTGCGGTGCACCTGGGTTCCTCTCCAGCAGAGCAGGGATACCACCACCTGTTCAGGGCCTCTAATCACTAAGCCGAGTACCAAGTCCAAATGGCAAGGGAGTGATGGAGTGGAAGCTGGCCGAGCACCACTTAGCCTCCTGGAGATCTGGGCAAGCTGTGGTGGAAAAAAATCACAGGGTCTTAACATCCCAAGAGCCCTGGCAATCACCTCCGAGGTGTGTCCTGGAAGCCCCAGATCTCCGGCCCTGGGGCCCACCCCACCTAGTCACCTCTCTGAGAGCCAAGCCACGCGGCAGGCAGGGAGCAATGTTAGTGGGCAGCAGTTTCTGAAGCAGAGTGGGGGCAGATCACGGAGGGGGAGGAGGTTCACCTTCCTCTGAAACTGGCAGAGAGGGCTGGAGGGGGTGGGTCTAGGGAGGGGCAAGGGCAGGGCTTGGCTACCAACCTGAAACATTGACGGAGAAGTAGGTGGTGTCACTGCCCGAGGGGCTGCTGGTTACGCAAGCATAGAGGCCGGAGTCTGCGGGCACGGAGTCCTGCACCTCCACCTCCTCCCCTGTGATGCGGGTGCGGTTGCTTTCCGCCAGCTGCACCCCGTCCCGCAGCCAGTTGATGCTCTGCACATCGTCCCGCAGCCGACAGCGAAGCTGCAGCAGGTCACCGGGGTGGACCAGGAAGGACTCCACTTCCACAGGGGCTCCCCAGGGCTGGGCTGCAGCCACCACGGGGCCGGGAAGGGAAGCCAAGGGGCGAGAGAGGAAGACAGGGAGAGGGGAGGAGGGGAGAGACAAAGGGAATTACGCTGGCCACACGGAGCCGCACCATCCTGGGCATCACTTACTGGAGGCTACTGAGCCAGGGCAGTGGGAATTGGAGCATGGGTCAGTGGGGAAAACAGCTGGCTGCCTGGGAACCCCCATCTCTTTTCCACCCCACTCCTCCAAAAGTCAAAGGAAGAAAGAGGCAAAGTTAGGAAGCAGCTGTAGCAGCATTAAGCGCATTTCATTTCCCCCATCCTAAGGGGAAAGGTCGGCCCTCCCCAGGACTTCTTTGTGTCCGGAGTTGCCCCCTCCCCAGATGCTCAGTTCTTTGCCAAGATTGCCACTTGCCAGAGGAACACCCCATTTCCTTTGGGATAGCTCAGCCTCACCCTTCCCTAGCAACAGCTGAACAAACCCCGCCCCTCAAAACCCCAGCAGCCCCTGCCCAAGTCGAGAGAAGGCAATTTGTCAACTGGGGGCTGACCAGGATGCGTGTGATTCGGAGAGGGTGGGGGTCTGGCCCTCGACGCGTCAGATGCACATGCTGGGGGGGCAGCCCAAGGAGAGGTCAGCTCAGGGAACCTCTCGCTAACAGGTGTCAGGGCAGGGGATTTGGAGCTGTTGACTATATTAGGACGGGAGGCCACAGCTGCCATAAAACCCACACTTGCTCTGGCAGCAGGAGCTGTCGCACACAAAGGTCCTTTCTCCTCAGCCCTCTGACTGGGCACACCCTCAGGCCCCCCACCATCCACTCTCCCTCCCCGTGCCCCATCCTTCTCTGTCCCTGGGTGGGAGCACTGGACCCACCGGGGTGTCTGCACCTCACAAGATCTGATACCACCAAGAGCACCTGTCCCTCCCCTGACCAGTGCCTCTTCCCGCACGCGTTCAAGAAGGCCCGTGGCCCGGACACACCTGAGTTCACCATCCTGGGCTGTTACCCATCTCCTGAGCACACCCCTCTGCACTCACGAGGGGAAATGAACTTTCTATTTCCTTTTAGGATGTTCAAATGTACTCCTGGCATCTTCCACCTCTCACCTACCACCCACATCCCGCCCACAGCCTTGGAGAGGACTTTTCTCACCATTTGTTCACCCTAAGAGACTCAGTGGAGCGACTGCCGCTCCCCGATGCATAAGGCTCTGAAACAGCATGTTCTCCCTCAGCCCCTGCTGTGGCTCACGGCTGCCCCAGTGGCCACAGGGCCCCTGATTTTTTTCTGTCCAGCTCTCACTACTCACTCTTCTGTCTCAGCCTAGCTGGTGACTTCTCCTCCAGGGCGGTGCTGACTCCCAGTCTGGGTTAGGTGCCCTCCCCCTCCTGGCACCTGTCACACTGAAGGGCAGTCCTCTTTCTGAACCTGAGTGCGGTGATGTGTCATCGGTACCTTTAAATCCCCAGCACCTACTACGATGCCTGGCGCCCAGGAGTTGCTCAAGAAATGCTTGCTCAATAAATACCACACGTGCAGTCACTCTGGCTCTTCACTGCCTTCCTTTCTACTCTCCCTTTTCTCTTTCACTCCCCCTTATTTGAAACACGGTCTTCCTCAAGTGCTCAACAGGCTTCCGCTAGAAACCTTAAAAATGAAAATGGGTGTCCCGCGCATCATGATCAGCAACTGACAGGGACTGACAGTGGTTTCTCTTGGGGGGGCCAAGGTTGCAGACCCAGTCCTGCATTGACCCATGGGCTTTATCTTAAATAAGAGTTGTCAGAAACAGGGGTACTGCTTTAAAAGGGCTCAGAAACCACTAGGCTTGCACACGTTTATTTTTGTGAGTCCGGTCAAGGGGAACACCACAAAGGTGAGTAGACCACACAACTGATTAAAAATAAGCTTTTGTGGGCCTTAGAAAAAGTTATTCTTTCCATTTTTAATGGTCTGTGGTTTTGCCAAACGAAGGTAAGGAGAAAAGCAGTTTAGACTCAACTCTTAAGGAACAGAGCAGACACTTCTATTGATCAAATCTCATTTCCCTCAAATGACCTCGGTGATTAAATATTTTGCAGCTTGTGATCTGTGCAACCCATTGGTCAAGAGTAAACTTGAATTCTTACCCTCTGGCATCACAAGGCCTATTGCAGCCGATCCCAGAGAAAAAAGCAGCTCCCAAAGACAAAAATGTAGCAAAGAGAACCCCCAGGCATTTATTTCCCCCCAAGAGAATGCAGCAAAGGAACACTGGCCCTGGTGAGACCCGCTCTAGCTGATACCAGCTTGGATCCGTAACTTCCTGCCCGTCCCAACCAGAACGTGCAAACAAAACTCCACTATACGTGATCTGTAAAAGCCTCAAGAACCAGCTCGCTTTCCTCCTGATGCAAGTTTAGACCCCGGTTCCCTTCCAAACGTGGCTCAGGTATGCTCTGTCCTATCCCTTTACCGGAACCATCTCGGGATAAATTTTTTTTTTTTTTTTTTTTGAGATGGAGTTTTGCTCTTTCGCCCAGGCTGGAGTGAAGTGCTGCGATCTCGGCTCACTGCAACCTCTGCCTCCCGGGTTCAAGTGATTCTCCTGCCTCAGCCTCCTGAGTTGCTGGGATTACAGGCATGCGCCACCATGCCCAGCTAATTTTTGTATTTTTAGTAGAGAAGGGGAATGTTGGTCAGGCTGGTCTAAAGCTCCTGACCTCGTGATCTGCCTGCCTCGGCCTCCCAAAGTGCTGGCATGAGCCATGGCGCCCAGCCGGGATAATCTTTTAAATGGCCTCCCTGGGGCTGCAGCTCAGACTCCTGCTTCCAAGCTGTCATGTGCTTGACATTATTTTCCTGATCAAAATCTACCCTGTGTACAGAGTAAAATCCACATCCCTGCCTCACCTTCAAGACTCCCTGCAATTGGCTTCCACTCTCTCCACCCAGCCCCATTCTCTCTACCAGGGGCTGTCCCTCCCCACCGCGCCCCCCCCCCTCCCCAGTTGGGATGCTTTCAGCACGGCTGCATCCTCCCTGGCATGGCAAAGCTTACTCCTTCCTGAGGACTGTCAGCGCCACTCCAGAGTCCTCCTACCCCAAACTACTCAAAGTCCACCATCCAAAACGTCCAGGGGCTGGGTGCAGTGGCTTATGCCTGCAATCCCAGCACTTGGGGAGGCTGAGGCAGGAGGCTCATTTGAGCCCAGGAGTTCAAGACCAGCCTAGGCAACATAGTGAGACCTCGTCTCTACAAAAAAATTTAAAAACTAGCCAGACTTGGTGGCACATGCCTGTAGTCCCAGCTACTCAGTGGGCTGAGACAGGATTGCTTGAGCCCAGGAGTTGGAGGCTACGGTGAGCTATGATCATGCCACTGGACGGGATGACAAAGACCCTTTTTTTTTTTTAAGACAGAGTTGCTTTGTTGCCCAGTCTGGAGTGCAGTGGCACAATCTTGGCTTGCTGCAACTTCTGCCTCCCAGGTTCAAGCCATTTTCCCACTTCAGCCTCTGGAGCAGCTGGGACTACAGGCATATGCCACAATGGCTGGCTTATTTTTGCATTTTAGTAGAGATGGGGTTTCACCATGTTAGCCAGGCTGTCCTTGAACTCCAGACCTTAAGTGATCTGCCCGCCTCGGTCCTTGCATCTTCAGTTAGCAAGTGCTGGGATTACAGGTGTGAGCCACCGCACCCAGCCAGACCCTGTCTTAAAACAAAACAAGAAACTAGGAAGCCTTGTTTATATCAATGTCTCATCTCTAATTTTCTGTAAAACAGTTACCGCCTGAATCACACAAATTCACACTCAATTACATTCCATTTTGTATTGTTTCTATTTTATTTAAACAGCAGACAGGTAATTCACATGCTGTAATATTCATCCATTTAATGGTTTTTGTATATTCAGAGTTGTGCAATCATTCACCACAATCTCACTTTAGAACATTTTTACCATCCCTCGCCCCTCAAAAAATGCCTGACCCATAGTAGTCACTCCTCCATCCCCTATCCCCAGTCTAAGCAACCACTAATCTGCTTTCTGTCTATGGATTTGGCTATTCTAGATATTTCATATCAATGGAATCATACAATATGTGATCTTTTGTGACTGGCTTCTTTCACTTAGCATGTGTTCAAACTTCCTCCATGTTATAGCATAGAATCAGCACTTTGTTCCTTTTAATGACCTAATAATATTCAATTGTGTAGACATACCACATTGCAGTCATCAATTGACAGATATTGGGTATAATGTTTCTTTCTTTTTTAAAAAATAAGTTAAAATTTCAAATGTTGCCCAGGCTGGTCTTGAACTCCTGGACTCAAGCAACCCACCCACCTTGACCTCCCAAAGTGTTGGGATTACAGGTGTGAGCCGCTGCGCTCAACCCATATTGCTGCTGCTTTTTTTTTTTTTTTTTATAACAACCGCTAATCAGTTTATTAAAATAGTTGACTTTGAGCATCTGCAATGGTGACTTCCACCTCAATTCCTGGCTCAACACTGATGGAAGTCAACTGCTTAACAATCTCAGAAGGACTGTGCAAGTCAGTGGGTAGCTTGTGGATTCTCATCTGGAAACGATCCCATGTCTCTGAACCTTCACCACAAGGAGATTTTCTTATAGTGATTCTCAAAGTCTTGGCAGGCATTCAAACTGGTCCCTTCACTTAGACATTCTTTTCCTTTCCTCCTCTGAATCAAGTCAGCACACACCTTCTCCAGGGATTTTACGCTGCGGATCATTAGAGGGATTCGAATTTGGTGAATGGTCACCTCCAGCTTCACAGGTGTTTTCTGGTATCTTTAAAAGCCTTGGTGCAGTGCGGCTTCCTGGCTGACTTGTTCGGAACAGCGATGAGTGAGGAGCAGGAATGGGCAGACTGCAACTCTGCACCACTTATGACTGCATCTTTCTCAAAGAGCTGTATTGCTTCTTTTTGTTTGTTTGTTTTTTTGAGACAGAATTTCACTCTTGTTGCCCAGGCTGGAGTGCAATGGCGTGATCTCGGATCACTGCAACCTTTGCCTCCCCAGTTCAAGCAATTCTCCTGCCTCAGCCTCCCGAGTAGCTGGGATTATTACAGGCATGTGCCACCACGCCTGGCTAATTTTGTATTTTTAGTAGAGATGGGGTTTCACCATGCTGGTCAGGCTGGTCTCGAACTCCTGACCTCAGATGAGCCACCCGCCTCAGCCTCCCAAAGTGCTGGGATTACAGACGTGAGCCACCGTGCCTGGCCTGTATTGCTTCTTAATTGTCCAAAATGTCCAAGTCTCTCCTAGGAATTAGCAAGCAACTCAGCGCAGACGTACCTGTTATAATTTTCCCACAGTGCCTAACAATGTCAAAAACCCAGAGACTACTCAGTAAGTCCAGAACTGAATCTAGCATCCAGCAAAAGCTAATTTTCAGAGGAACCAAAAATCAGACTAACCTCGGGTTCTAGCGGCTTTTTTCCACGGCTAGGAGTGCTCTTGGTGTGTGTCAGGTTCTCCGTTTACAAAGCAGGGATGATGCCACTTTCTTACAGGAGATGAAACCAACTGCTTGTATGCTTTCTGGGCCCTGCTTGACTGCGTCACAACCCCATCCAGTGGCCCTGAACTTGGGGAGTTCTATGTAAGGTGGCTGATTTGGGGGCATGACTGCTCACTAGCACCCTGCAACTACCATGTCAGTACTTTCCATTCTCTTTTGGTCTTTCCAGTGTCCCTCACTTATGTCCTCATTAGAAAGGTCCTTGCCTCTTCAGCTCCAGCTGCCCTGAGCTGGCCTTTCTCTGGTCAAGACCAACAGGCCAGGGTGTCGTTAGGTGTCCATTAGCAAGAGAAAAGCTACCTGACACTTTTATTGGACTGGCCAAGAAAGATGAAGAAAGCCACTTTATTGTTCAGTCACTTGAAACCAACATTCCAACTCCTGGAGAACCTGATTAATTGGAATCAGATACAAAGGTTGTCCTCAAAATGCACATGGGGATGCTGTGAGGGAAGCAGCACCAAAACACTTGCTTTGTGCATCTGTTTCCTGAGAGATGAGGTGGGGAATGGAGGCTGGAGGGCATCTGGTATCTGGATTCCCTGGTGACCTAGCCTGAGGCTGAAAAAGACTGGCTGTTCACTATTACAGGCTCTAGGTGCCATGTGTTAACAGTGCATTGCGGACTGGGTGCAGTGGCTCATGCCTGTAATCCCAGCCCTTTGGGAGGCCAAGGTGGGAGGACTGCTTGAGGCCAGGAGTTCAAAACCAGCCCTGGCAACATAGTGAGACCCTGTCTCTGCGAAAAATAAAAAAATTAGCCAGGCATAGTGGTGCATGCCTGTAGTCCCCAGGCACTTGGGAGGCAGAGGAGGGAGGATCCCTTGAGCCCAGGAACTCAAGGCTGCAGGAGCTATAATCTTGCCACTGCACTCCAGCCTGGGCAACAGAGACACTGTCTCAACAACAACAAAAAAAGTGCATTGTGAAAAAAAAGGGGCCTTATGCTTTGATGCCAATAGAATGGAGTCACCGTTCTCATCAACAGGAGTGGGAAGGTCAGGGTTAGGGTTTGCCTTGAACATCGTTCGAGAACTCAGGCTGCTGATCTCATTACCACGCAGGTTCCTGGGTCAAAGCAGCTGGCGGGTGGACCTTGGGAATTTGTGCAGGCTGCAACCAGTGCTCCTTTTAGTGCGAGTGACAAGGATTCATACATCAAACCTACCCTGCTTCTCTAAGGTGTCTCTATCCCCTAAGAAGGAATTAGGAGCCCACCGGAGACCCACACTTTTTGATAATCCTCAAGGAAGCAGCTAGAAAGGACAGAGGCAGGGGTGGGAGGGGATTTTCCCATGGTGCTTTCAAGTTCAGGAACACGATTAATGATAATGAGGCCCTACTGAATCCCTCTTCCCTTCCTACTTTCCCCCCAAATACTGCAGGCTTGTACTTCCAACAAGCCAACAGGTACAGCATTTTGCTTCTAGCAGGACTGGACAAAAATCTCCCACAGTCATTTAGAAGGCAGTTCTGGGATCTTGGCTCACTGCAACTTCCGCCTCCCAGGTTCAAGTGATTCTCGTGCCTCAGTCCCGAGTAGCTGGGACTATAGACAAGCGCCACCACGCCCGGCTAATTTTGTATTTTTAGTAGAGATGGAGTTTTGCCATGTTGGCCAGGCTGGTCTTGAACTCCTGAACTTAAGTGATCCACCCACCTCGGCCTCCCAATTCTTGATTCTAAATCTGTGTCTTCCACCAGTCATGGGAACCATCAGAGACCCAAACCCATACAAACCTTGCTATTCTTATGACAAGATGAGACCCCAGTTCTCAAAAATCCAAGGAGGAGTCAGGGAACTTTCATCAACATAGCTACCATTAGGTGACTCTGGGAGCCCTTGTCACTGTGCAAGGAGAAATGGGTGAAACAAAGGCCCAGAAGGCATATGTCTTGCCCTAACAGGGGTGCTCAGATTTGCACAGCACCTTAATATGGATTAAGATTTTATACTGCAACATGAGACAAATGGAGAATGTCAGGACCAAGTACAGGCAGGTCTAGCACAGGCTCTGACGTCATGAAACATAAAGAAAAGTATCAGCAGTGAGAGCAGAGGTTGGACAAAATGACGGGGAAGGGAAAAGAGAGGATTTAGATGAGAAGTGAAATGTCTGGGGGGAACAGAAGAGAATGAAGTGCTTACAGGCATGGCTGTACCCTGGTCTGAGGGGCAGTGGGAGATGAGGCCAGGCTGTACAGCTGGCCAGGAACAGAAGGTTCATGGGAGAAAACAGTAACAAATAATGATTTCAATTTGTAAGTTGAGGGATAGAACAGAGCCACCAAAGATATCCCAGGGAACACACCTCTCTGCAGAGACTATGAATGCAGGGCATTCATGCCACATGGACAAACACACCTGAAAATGTATTTTGAAATACCGCTTCACCAGCCCGGTCCCACAGCAGCCACTCTGGTCTGGAAGTTATCCATCCCCAAACCCCACAACTTAACAGGAACCCAGTGAAGAATAACAACACATTTGCATAGCACTTTGTAATTTACCATGTGCCTTCCCATATATTATCTAGGGATCCATAAACATCTGAGTAAACAGCAATACTACTACTGGCCAATATTTCCAGCACGCTCACTATATCCCATAGGCTGCACAAAGCTTTTAACACAGACCCTCCCATTTCATCCTCATAGGAAACTTATGAGGTTGATCCTACTATGATTTCTATCCTATGGATGCGGAGGCTTACTACATACCAGCATAGTTCTCAGCATGTGTTAACTTAGAATCTTGTGAAGTATTTAAGAGTTAGAATTATTATCTTCGGGCCCAGTGCAGTGGCTAATGCCTGTAATCCTAGCACTTTGGGAGGCCGAAGTGGGTGGATCACCTGAGATCAGGAGTTTGAGACCAGCCTGGCCAACATGGTGAAACCCTATTTCTACTAAAAATACAAAAAATTAGCCAGGCGTGGTGATGCACGCCTGTAATCCCAGCTACTGAGGAGGCTGAGGCAGGAGAATCACTTGAACCTAGGAGGCAGAGGTTGCAGTGAACCGAAATCACACCACTGCACTCCAGCCTGGGTGACAGACCCAGACTCCGTCTCAAAAAAAAAAAAAAAAAGGAATTATTATCTTCAGAGGGGGAAACTGGGGCACAGAAAGATTTGGGATTAGTCCAAGATGGCCCAGCTAGGTTGTTAAGTGGCAGAGCTGGGATTCAAACACAGGTAGCCTGGTTCTCCAGAATCCACATACATCATACATCCAGAGTCCAGCTTTACCGCTGTGCAAGGCAGCCTCAATCTTCACAGTGTCTTGACTTCCCCAGGTGAGGAAGCCCTTCTGGTTCAGCCCTTTGATTCTGTCTAATGGCACCCCCTGCATCCTACCTCCTCCCGTGAGATTCTGAAGTTGGTTGCTTTGGCCTTATCCTCCCCTCCTTCCCTCATTTCCTCAAGCCCATAGCTCATATCAATCATTACCTTACAGTTGAGTGCTTTTAATTATAAAATGCACTCTCCTGCCCCTGCGAGTCCAGCAGGCTCGGCTGTCCAAATGTGGCAGGTGAGAAAATGGGGGAGGTGTTCATTGTGATTGTGGCAGACTCAAGACCAGTAACAATGCCCTGTTTTGGCATTGCACTTAATATTTCATAGGGCCTGCTTCCTTGTGACCAGGTGACTTGTGTTCCTTCCCATTTAAACATGGAAAAATGGCTCCCAAAGTCACAAAACAGGGACAAGCTCTAGAGGCTGCATCTGCTGGGTCCTGGCCCCTCCACTGTGTCCAGGTACTCTTCCAGGGTTCAGTCCAGCCAGCACTGTCGCAGCACATGGGGTGATGAGGGGTGGCCCACTCCAGGTCTGTGCCGCTCTGCCTGGGCCACAGGAGACAGCACCCTGCCTCTCCTGTCCTCAGCTCAATCCCCAGCAGTCACCTGACACCTTCTCTTCTCGAGCCCCTCACCGTTGATTACAGCTTACAGCTGATGACCCCTGATGACCCACTGAGAAGATTAAGAACACGAGGCAAAAGAGCTGGTCCGCCCTCCCCCTTGGGCCACATCCTCAGGACTGCACAGGGCTCACAAGGGTCCCGGCTTTCAAGTCCTGACTGCTCCAGACCCCCAACACTCCATGACAGCCCCAGCTGGTCTGGAGCCTCTCAACCACGTCCTCTCCCACCCCTGGTTCGGCCACTACCCCAGTTCCACCTCCCCAGTGGAGCCAATATCCTCACTGCTCCTTTCATTTTCCTTTTCTTCCCCTAAATGCCTTTCTCCTTCTCTCTCTCCAACAAGCAATCATCTCCATCACTTTCCTAGGCCTTAAAACTCACTCTTCTGAGACTGGCCAAACTGCATTCTCCACCTCTCCCCAACATGAATGTGCCTTTCCCTAGAGCTGAAAATGTTCATGCCTGTGTCTTGCACTTACTCATGTTGCTGGGGTGCTGGGCTGACAGTAGGTATTTGTATTACCTACTCTACGTTCTACACTCCAAAGGGCTTAGGGCTTGGATAACTGGCCCCCAACAAAATCCAGGCATCCTCCATGAGCATGATGTCTCAGGGTAGCAATTTCTATCATCCCTATTCCATCTTTTTGATTTCTGAGTTAAGAAAATTAGGAGAGAAAGGCTAAACTCCTCAGCAACATGGGGGAAACTGGTGGTCCAGGAATGTTTACAGTCTTGGTATAAACTCCCCAGAGATAAATGAGGGGGCAATTGTGGGTGGGGGAGGAACTCGGGGTGGCTTTGAAAGCAACTTAAAAGGAGCACAGAACAGCGCAGCGGGGCTCCGGGGGCCCTCTGCAGAGGTTTTTTTATTACGTATTTTGGCTTTGAAATGGAACTGAAAACTTACCTTCGGCTGGCAGGACCCGGCCAGAGTGCAGAAGCATCTCACCGAAATCCCGGGTCACAGCTGCCATCCTACAAGGGTTTGGGTGGAGAGAGCCCCAAAAATGTGTTTCTCTCAACTCTCGGAGTCCCCAAATAGAAGGAGAGCTGCAAAAATGGGGGGCACAGGTATGTGTGGAAAGAGAGCCGGGAGCACCAAATCAATTAGCAGGGCCTGACACCCAGGGCCAATGGCGTCCACCAGCCCCCCGACCCAGGGGATTTGGAGAAGGGCTTTTTTTTTTTTTTTAAATTGAAGAAAGTGAAAAGAGTAAGAGGGGACATTTTGCATGCAAATGGGCCACTGCCAGAAGAGCCCATTAAAATGTAAAAACTCCACATTCAGCCTGACAAAACGGTGCAAACTGCTGTGTTTGCCAGAGGGCCGGCAATAAAGCTCACAACAAAGGGGCCGGGGGACAATGGCAGACTGAATGGCCTCTGCCAGCAGGTCCCCCCGTGCGTTGCCATGGGGACCCCACCGGGGCTTACTAAAGGTATTTCCTGAGGAGAAAGGCCGAGCACACAGGCCCAGGCAGCCCGGCTAATCCTGACAGGAAGCCATGGCCATTCAGCAGCCCAGGGGCTTGGGGCCCAGAGTTTTGTTTTGTTTTTATTAAAAAAAGATTTCGGCCTTTTGTGCGTCCCACCTCGTCACTGTAATTTAGTGCCGAGCCGCCTGCACTAGCCAAAGCCACAGCCAGGACCCTGCACCCGCCCCGAGACCCCCCAAAAACAGATCCCCCCGAGCTGGGCAGCAAGACACGTGTAGAATCCCACTTGGGAATCGCAGGCGCCAAGAGCTATTGGCCTGGAGAGTTGTGTGTGGATCTTAAAAGACAGAGGGACTCTGGGTGTCGTAAAGGATAACGCAGCCTGAGAACTGAGTTTGGGGCTCAAGCTTCTATGCACGGATTCATCTGATGCCTCCTTCAAATCTGTACTTTTTTCCCCTAGGGATTTTGCCACCTTTCTCCAATCAGCACCAGTGTCCCCCACCTCCTCCCTACCTCTCACAATGGGGAGTTCACTACCTCACTGGGAGAAGGGCTGTAATTAAGTGATTAACAAAGGAATGCACCCAAGAGTTGTCTGAAAAGAAATTTCCCTCCTTCCTCTCTCCCCAGCAAAAGTTCTCACCCTATTGTTTACTGATACATTAAGGACAGAGCTGTACAGAAAACTCTTACTACACTCTTTCGCTCAACCTATTCCCAATACACTTTGCTTCTCTCCCTCCTATCTAAACAGGAAGAAAGCATTGCTCTGGAAAGAGGGAAGTTCATTCACTCATCCAAGAAGAGCAAAGGTAGATGCCCTGCGGCTATGGAGGAGGGCCGTCCAAGCTCACAGTTCCTAGAAGTTTGTGTCACCATTTCACATTTAGCACCAGAATCCAGCCTTGGCAGATTCAGGGAAGGAAGCCAAGGACACAGCTGGTGGTGAAGACAGAAACTCCTGTGTGACAACTGCCCCCTAGGACACAGTTTAGGGTCAATTAACATTTCCTGAACAACTTGCAAATGGAAAGAGCCATCCCCAATGAAGACTGAAAAATGAGAGGCTCAACTCATCTATTATGACTTGAACCCAAGTCTATCTGTGTTTGCAAAGGCTGTGCTGTTGCACCTAGACCTCCACCCAGAAACATGTTTTGGGGCTGACATTTTAATAGAAACATAGAGAGGAAAACATACTATTTCGGAGACATTAAGACTGTGACTAGCAACTGCCCCGGATACCCTGGGAAGCTTCTAAGGCCATATTGGGTGGGTCCTATTTTGGGAAAAGAAGTTGGGGCATCTGCACGATAATAGAAAGCTCCCAGGATCTGGTAAGGACCACTTAGGTGGACTGTAAGTTGGGGGGATCTAAACACTCAGGTTGGACCGGGGCAGGGGGAGTGTCTTCTCCTGCCTTTATTATAATATAAATCACATCCTAAACTCAAAGCAAAGTCCAACTCGTCATCACCTGTGACAGTGCATAAGAAAGAACATCTTCCACCAAGTTGTTAAAGTGGTGTGTGTGTGTGTGTGTGTGTGTGTGTGTGTGCAGGGGTCCCACTGCTGGAGGGGAGCTCAGACTCTCCCACCACTGGCCCGGAGCCCAGGCCTCCCAGCCATGTGTCTGCAGCTGCGACCTGTCATGCACTTCCTGGTCTGGGTTCTGTAATGGAAAGATCATTAAGAGTGGGGGAGGGTGGAGAGATGAATCAACGGCAAAGAGGTAACCCTGCAGCTCCCACTCTCCACTGAGCTCTGACCTTAAAGTTCGGTCAGGTTCCTTAAGGAAAAGAATGTATCGCCCTCCCCCCACCTCTCCCAGCTGGGGCCTCTCGAACAACCTCCCCTCCCCCAAACTCAGCAGAAATTGTATGGGGAAGGAAACGCCAGCAGCTGGGCAGGGAAAAGTTGCCGCTCCCTAAACTTGCTGATGAATTAGTAGAGGCTTCAGCTGTTTCAGGATGTGTCTTCTGGTCCCCCAAGCCCGACATGGGTGCTTGAGCTCACAGTTCACCTGGACTCTCAGCACCCCAAGTGCCTGCCATATCCCCGCAATCCCGTCTCATTCCTGCAATGGTGGGGCTGGGTCACCAGCCTCTCCAGAGTAGAGAAAGGAATGGGCTTCATAAAGTTACTTTTTCTCCACCGTAAAGAAATTCTCTTAAGGTTTCACACGATGAGACTAAAGACAATAAAACATCCTTTGAAAATGAAAAGCTGTAGAATAGTGGTTACCAAGGGGCTGGAAGAGGGGAGAAGGGGGAGTTAGCGTTGAACAGGTAAGGTGTCAGGGAAGGTGAAATGGATGGTGGTGATGGCTACACAGCGTGAATAAATTTTATGCTACAAAACTGTGCACTTAAAATTGGTGAAAATGCACCACAAAGAAATGATAAATATTTAAAGTGATGGATACAATACAGCAATTACCATGATTTGGTCGTTACATAATGTGTGCGTGGATCAAAACATCATACCGTACCCGACGATTATACATAACCATTATGCATCAATTACAAATTTAAAAATTGGCCGGGCACAGTGGCTCACATCTCTTAACTCCAATACTTCGGGAGGCTGAGGTGAGAGGATTGTTTGAGTCCAGGGGTTAGAGATCAGCCTGAGCAACAAAGTGAGACCTCATCTCTACAAAAAAAAAAAAAAAAGAAAAACAAAATTAGCCAGGCATGGTAGCGTGCACCTGTGGTCCCAGCTACTTGGGAGGCTGAGGTGGGAGGATCTCTTGAGCCCGGGAGGTCGAGGCTGCAGTGAGCTGAGATAGCAACACTGCACTCCAGCCTGGGTGACAAAGTGTGACCCTGTCTCAAAAACATTACATAATCAATTTAACTTAAAAAAATAAAAATAGTTAAAATGGTTAATTTTATGTTACATATATTTTACCACAACAAAAGAATTAGATGGCGCTGGGCTCGGTGGCTCACGCCTGTAAACCCAGCACTTTGGGAAGCTGAGGTGGGCGGATCACATGAGGTCAGGAGTTCGAGACCAGCCTGACCAACATGGAGAAACCCCGTGTCTACTAAAAATACAAAATGAGCCAGGTGTGGTGGCGAATGCCTGTAATCCCACCTACTCAGGAGGCTGAGGCAGGAGAACTGCGTGAACTCAGGAGGTGGAGGTTGCAGTGAGCTGAGATCGCACCATTGCACCCCAGCCTGGGCAACAAGAATGAAACTGTCTCAAAAAAAAAAAAAAAAAAAAAAAAAAGAATCAGGTGGTAATGGTAGCAGGCAGCATTAGTTTATTAAAAACGTTCTTACTTGGCAAAAAAGTTGATGATCCTTTGTTGGTTCCAAAAATCTGGAGGGAAATTTTACTGGCCTATGAAATCTAAAAATCTGGGACCACTGGTCTGTTCCACGAATTTCCAGGAGAGCTTGGACCCAGAGACTGCTTCATTCACATCCCATCTATCCATACCCCACACATTCATCCTTCAGTCTCACTTTTATGCACACAACATGAACGTTGAGCATTTAGTACTCTCAGTTTTAAGAAATTAAAAACATGGTTCGGGTTTTTTTTTTTTTTTCTTTGAGACAGGGTCTCATTCTGTAGCCCAGGCTAAAGAACAGTGCCATGATTTCAGCTCACTGCAGCCTCCACCTCCCTGGCTCAAGTGATCCCCCCACCTCAGCCCCCCAAGCAGCTGGGAGTATAGGCACTTGCCACCACGCGTGGCTAAATTTTTTTTTTTTTTTTGTAGAGACAGGGTTTTACCATGTTGGCCAGGCTGGTCTTGAACTCCTGACGTCAGGTGATCCACCTGCCTGGGCCTCCAAAAGTGCTGGGATTACTGGCATGAGCCACCATGCCCAGCCAGTTTAGGGATTTTTCTACCTGAGAGTGTGTGGCTCTGTGGTAGCCAGGAAGCTAAAGCCTAGTATCTATGCTCAGGGTTCCAGTGATCTGGGGATCTAGAACAATCCTGGGAAAAGAGCCCTTACTCTCAGCAAAGTCAGTATTCCCCATGTCCTACTAGAAGAGAGAGAGTATACTTTGAGGTCCTTGTAAAACCATTTAGTCCCAAACTCAGCTTGAGCCACAGGTAGTTGTCACTGGCTGGGTCCAGCCAGAGAGAGTACCTGAAGAAATCACTCAGATGACAGCTGATCACTTACTGTGTGACCTCAGGCAAGTCACCTCCCCTCTCAAGCCTCAGCTTCCTCCACTGTAAAATGAGAAGGCTGACTGACCCTGTCCCAGCCCTAACCAATGTCCTGTTTCACCTGGGTCTTGTGAGATGATAGAGGGGCATCGCTTACTGGCATCCCTTTCCGTGCCCATCGTGAGCACAAAGCTCCCTCTGATGTGAGGGAAGTGAAGAGCCCTCAACTGTCCTTGAGTTGTCCTTCAGAAAAAACGATTCTGTGTTGGTCTCAGGGCTCCGGCTACCAGCACCTTCAATAAATGCTTCTCCTCTTCACCCGTTCTCCCTGGCCTGGGGTGCTTCTCCAGAATCTAAGGCTGGCAGAAAGCCCAGCTATACATGGAGGATTCACTTTAGTGTCATCTTTTGATGGTCATGATATATTACCCCATGAGAATGGCTAGGCCAATAAATTTTTTAAATGCACTGGGAGTTTGGGGTAGTGAAGAAGGGCTAAAATTATAAAATAAACATCACTTTCAAGTGCATGTCAGGCATTCATACAGTCTCAATGAAATTGACATTTCATTTTTTGGGGAACGGAGTCTCACTCTGTTGCCCAGGCTGGAGTGCAATGGTGCAATCTTGGCTCACTGCAACCTCCGCCTCCTGGATTCAAGTGCTTCTCCTGTCTCAGCCTCCAGAGTAGCTGGGATTACAGGCGCCTGCCATCACGCCCGGTTATTTTTTTTTTTTTTTAATATTTTTAGTAGAGACACTATGTTGGCCAGGCTGGGCTTGAACTCCTGACTTCAGGTGATCTGCCCGCCTCAACCTCCCAAAATGCTGGGATTACAGGTGAGCCACTGTGCCTGGCCGCAAGTGACACTTCAAATCATGACTACCCAAGTTTTGAATGCCTAACTTCATTCAGTAGTTAGTAAAGGAAACTGACTCTTCTAAGGTTCAAAAGCTACTTCCTAAAACCTAAGGAAAATAAACCTTAATTCCAAAAGTAAACTCTGGAGTTTGACACCAGAGGAGGAGAAGGACACTTCTGAAGGGCTGGAGTGCTGATAAGCATTCTAAAGGCAGTGATAATTGACTGAAAGCTGTGGCAGAGCAGGAGAGCATTCCAGGAAAAGGGTGTCCTTCCTTCCTAGGGAAGCTCTTAGATCACTTCCCTGTTCACATCCTTCTCCTCCCCCATGCCTCCAAGGCAAACTGACTCAGCCCTCTCCCACCTTTTTTTTTTTTTTTTTTTTTTTAAAGAGGAAGTCTTGCTATGTAGCCAGGCTGCAGTGCAGTGGCACAATCTCGGCTCATTGCAACCTCTGACTCCCTGGTTCAAGCGATTCTCCCGCCTCAGCCTCCCGAGTACTTGGGATTACAGGCGCCCGCCACCACACCCGGCTAGTTTTTTGTATTTTAGTAGAAACAGGGTTTCACCGTGTTGCCCAGGCTGGTCTCGAACTCCTGAGCTCAGGCAATCAGCCCACCTTGGCCCCCAAAAGTGCTAGGATTACAGGTGTGACCCACCACACCAGGCCTAGGTGATCCTCCTACCTTAGCCTCCCGAGTAGCTGGGATTACAGGCGCCCACCACCACGCCCAGGTAATTTTTTGTATTTTTTGTAGAGATGGGGTTTATGCCATGTTGCCCAAGCGGGTCTTCTGAGCTCACTCTATCTGCCCACCTCGGCCTCCCAAAGTGCTGGGATTACAGGTGTGAGCCACTGCGCCTGGCCCTTCTTCATTATTTATAAAAAACACTAGTAGCCTCAAAAAAATGTTAATGTCCCAGCCTCTGAAGCTTTTGATATGTTTACTTCCATTCATCAGAGATTGTTGGACCACATCCATATTAGAAGCAATCTAGTTTATGCGTCCAGGCAATACCCATACCACACATTCTAGGCTAACTGTGACCTATAAAGAAAACTCAGGTGTCGGATCTGACACCTTGGGAACCTTCTCCATGTAGGTCTTTGGCAACAGTGGAAATGGCAGCGTCCATGGGGATTTTGTTCCATTGATTATTCTAGGCTAGGGAACCTTGTTCATTAAGGCAGTTCACAGACCTGTGACTGATGTGTAACCTCTCTACAGAATGCCACAGGAGATATTACTGCAAGCAAACACACACACACACACACACACACACACACACACACACACACACACACACACACCCCTGACAAAGGGAGGGGATGCCTGACTCCTGTGAGACAAAGGGGACTGAGCCAGCAATGTTTACATTCAGAAGTTGGTCCACCTAGATTTTGTGGGGAAACCCAATTTGATATAGAAAAATAGTGTAATACAATGGGAAAAAAATACTATAGCAGAACCACCTGAGTTTAAATCCTAGTTCCACCCCTCACCCACTATATAAACTTAAGATAGGTTACTTAACCCCTCAAACCTCAGTTTACTCATCTGATTATGGTCATAAAACCTATGCCTATGGAATCATTGTAAAAATGGGAAAATGTCAAGCATGCAGAGTGTGGAGATGATATTTATTATTATTACTTTTGAGACAGAGCGTTGCTCTGTCGCCCAGGATGGAGTGCAGTGGTGCAATCTCAGCTCACTGCAACCTCCACCTCCTGGGTTCAAGCTATTCTCCTGCCTCAGCCTCCTGAGTAGCTGGGACTACAGGTGGCCGCCATCATGACCGGCTAATTTTTGTATTTTTAGTAGAGAAGGGTTTTGCCATGTTACCAAGGCTGGTCTCAAACTCCTGACCTTAAGTGATCTGCCTGCCTCGGCCTCCCAAAGTGCTGGGATTATAGGTGTGAGCAACTGCACCCGGCTGGTATTTATTATTATATTTTAAAAGACATTTACTGGTATAATCTTTTGGGGGATATTTGGTATAGTGATGTAATAGTGATAAAATCAAAACTTAAAACAAATGGAACTATCCTTGGATACATGGACAGATTTTATTTGTAAGAATATGTTCTATTGAATGCAAACTATTGAAAATAACCTAAATGCCCAAATGTAGAGAACTGGATCAACTTTGTACACCCACACAATGGAACATTATGTAGTTCTTAAGCATAATGAAAAACATTCTCTGTATGGCTCTAAATGCTGATATCAGTCACAAAACATCGTATACAGTATAAATCCTAATTCTGAAAAGTCAGGTTTACATAAATGCAAGAAAAAAGTCTAAAACAATAAATTCAGTTAACAGTGATTGCTTTTGAATGATGGAATTATAGGAGTCTTCCTTTTCCTCTTTACAGGTCTGTATTTTCTGAATTTTGAAAGATGAACCCAGATTATCTAACAAAACACCAATTTTTTTTTTTTTTTTTTTGAGACGGAGTTTCGCTCTTTTGCCCAGGCTGAAGTGAAGTGGTGCGATCTCGGCTCACTGCAACTTCCGCCTCGCGGGTTCAAGTGATTCTCCTGCTTCAGCCACCTGAGTAGATGGGATTATAGGTGCGTGCCACCACACCTGGCCAATTTTTGTATTTTTAGTAGAGACAGGGTTTCGCCAGGCTGGCCAGTGCTGGGATTACAGGAGTGAGCCACCGCGCCCAGCCTAAACACTAATGTTTTTAAAAGAGTGATAAAGATATACTTGCTGACTATAGAGAACTTTGCTCTAGTGGAGTAAACAGACATCTATTAAAAACTCCACATAATGTGAGGCAGAGTAAAGTAAGTGTTAGAATGAAAGTTAAAAAGAGGCCAGGTGTGGTGGCTCACGCCTGTAATCCCAGCACTTTGGGAGGCTGAGGCGGGTGGATCACTTGAAGTCAGGAGCTCAAGACCAGACTGGCCAACATGGCGAAAACCTGTCTCTACAAAAAATACAAAAATTAGCTGGGCATGGTGGTGGGTGCCTGTAATCCCAGCTTCTCGGGAGGGTGAGGCAGAAGAATCGCTAGCACCTGGGAGGCAGAGGTTGCAGTGAGCCGAGATCGCGCCACTGCACTCCAGCCTGGATGACTAAGCGAGACTACATCTCAAAAGGGCATGGTGGCTCATGCCTGTAATCCTAACACTTTAGGAGGCTGAGGCCAGAGGATCGCTTGATCCCAGGAGGTCGAGGCTGCAGTGAGCCATGATCACTCCACTGCACTCTAGCCTGGGCAACAGAGCGAGACTAGGTCTCAGGAGAAAAAAAAAACACAGAAAAAAGAAAAAGAGAAAAAATGGGGTAATTAATTTGGAGATAGGGGAAGGCTTCAAAAGGGAGGTGGCCCTTAAGTTAAGCTTTAATCTAAACCCAAGCTAAACCTTAAACTAAGATTTGAGCAGGAATTATAAAAAGTGAAAAGGAAGAAAAGGACAGGAACAGATATTTCCAGCTAAGGGACTAGGATAAAACAATGTATAAAGTATACATTGTATTTACGGAAAAAGGAAGAGACTTGCTTGACTAGATGAATGAATAAATGAATGAGTGAAAAAAAATCAGTCAATGAATGGACCATTAGCCAGAAGCTAGTTTTTGATCCTAGAGAAAAGTGAGGAAGGGCTAAGCTCTGAATTCAATGTTCACTGTTGGTTAACTCCTAGAAACCTCCGTGTTGCTGTTTCTGACCTCTTTCTCTGCCCAACCTCGTAACCACTAAGTCTACTCTTTGCGGAACTCCTTGACCCTCTCACCCACTTCAGGCTCCCTGTGTCTCCATGTCCAGGGCCTGGGAACACAAATGGCACAGCCCCCACCCCACCTTTTACACAACCCATCCCGGGAGGCTCAGCCACGCCACAGCATGTGAACGAGGAGAGGGCGTGGAGTTTCAAGCTCTGCCAGGGTGGATCTTTCTCAGTGCCTGAAACCAGCTACACGGAGCCCTCACCCCACAGCCCCTAGTTTGCAGGGCACAAATGCTTTACATGAAGGCAGTAGATACCTGTTTGGCAAGTGGAAAGGCAAGAACTGTTGTGAGCCAAGAAACAGGAGAAGGGAGGGAACTCTGAGGGTAGAAGTTCAATGTCTCTTGGTGCCACACTGGCAATGCTAAGAGGCAACAGGCCCACTACCGGGGAGGAGGGGTTAGGGCAATTGGCCCTGCTACTTGGCTGCCACCAGCTGTAAGTCAGAGCAAACCCCAAGGTCAGAAGTGGCCCAGACTCCAGCAGGCTTCTCCTAGGAGGAAACAGTTTGGGATTTAGCCCAGGCCCTTCAGATCCAGGTAGGGCAGTTAGCTTTCAGCTTAATTATTTAGGGTGCAGTGGGGCTGGGGAGTATGGTGGGTGGGGAGAAGGGATTGCCTGCCTGCAAGTTGGTGAAAGAGCCAGGCCCAGGAGGAAGGCCTGGGCCGCCCCGTTCAGGAGCCCAGGAGAATGAGAGCAGCTGGACTTCCCCGGTCAACAGGGAAACAGTTGTCTCATTTCCAAGCCTCAGGGAAGGAAGAAAGAGGCAAAGGTGGTGTCTACAGGGTGAGCTGGAGCCCCCAGTGGCCCCGGAGGAACGAGGCATTGTGAAAATAGGGCCAGCTGCTGGTCGGGCTCTCTGACCCCAGACCTCGCCCTCCCGGATAATGACTCCCCAGGACTCACTTCTCCCAGGGCCATTCATCACCGCCCAGACACAAGCCATCACTCACTGCTTCTGCCTGGCCAGGAGCAAACACCCCTCCGTGCTGGGGCCACAGGCTCCCAAAGAATCCCTGATGCTGTCTCTCCAGTTCCTGCTGACCCGACTCCAGGTAGTCACAGGAACCAGGTGATGGAAACCCTGACAGAGTCTTTGTTTGGGATCCCTCCCTTCCCCCACTGGCAGCAAGATCTCTGGACAGCCATTTGTTCTTCCCTGAGAAATTCCTCCTCCCTGACTTCAGGGAGCGGGCCTGGCAGAGCCAGAGTGGAAAATCAGTGAAGCTAATGGTGTAGCAATGCAGAAGCCGGAGCCAAGAACACAGCCTCGGAGTGGCTTTGCTGCGCTTGCCCCAGCTTGGTCAAGAGGGCCACGTGAGCGTCCTCACATTCTCTCACAGGCCGAGGGCTGGGTCCTCCCTGTCCAGCTCTGAACACTTGCAAACACCCCTTCCAGGCACTGGAGCCACTTCTCCAGGGGAAGTGGGACAGAGCTGATCCTCTGGGGAAACCTGTTATGAGCTTAGCACCTTGCAGATTTCTAGAGGCCTAAATCCTCCACCCTTGTTCTCAAGAGGGTCATCTGACATCACCTTTTGCTCCATGGAATTCCATTCGCCTTCTGGCAGGGGATGAAGAAACTCCTCTTACCATCCAGGTTGAATGAGAAGCAAACAAGTTCTTTTCATCATAAGAAATCATGCTGGAGATGGGGTGGGAGTAGGGGAGGGTCTTGCCTGTGTCCCAAGGCAGCCTTGGGACACAGGACCACAGTCCAGTGTAGATGCTAGACTACAGGTCTGATAGTGGAACAGAGGGTGTCCCACTACCAAACCTGTAGTACCTATTTGAGACTCTCCCTGCAGCCAGGCTGAAACGCACACCCCTTTGGGCCAAAGGCAGCTGGAGACGCCCAGGGATGGAGGACCTGCAAGGGCCCTATGATCTGAGGCTAGGCAATGGCTCTGGCACCACGCACAGCCTCTCCCCCATAGGTGCAGGTTTCTGCAAAACACAGAGACAAAGCCCCGCTTTGTGGTGCACACAGGGCATCCAGGGGGCTTGAGGCCAGAATGGAAATGTGTGGTTTTTCCATTAAGTGCAACCTCTCCCCCCTCTAACAAGCCACCAGACTCCTTCAAATCTGGGTGGGTGGGAGGAGCTGTAAAACTCAGCCCATTAAATCACTTCTGAGCTGCAGGTTTTCTGAGCACTGGGGTGTTTAACCCACAGTACTGCTGAAAAGGGGGCAGGACCCCCACCCCAACTACCAGCAGTGGCCTTGCAAGCAGTGTTGTACTCACTCACTGGCTTTGCCCACCAAGACTTGACTTATTGCAAAAGACAGACAAATGCACCCTCTGCAAGCTCAGAATGTTGGGGCTTATCATCTGAAACCGGCTTCAGTCTTTCCAAACAACTCCCTCACCACTCTCAAAGCCTGATCTGAAACAAGCTGAGGCTCTGTAAGATCCCAAACCAAAGGAGGGGAAGGAGAGGGAGAGGGGAGGGAGGCTGGTTTTCCTGGAACCCTTATTAAATCAACTTTCCAAGGACAGCCAGAAACTCCAGGCCCTCCCCAATCCCTCAGGAGCACTTGCAGACTGAGGGGCGTTGGTACTGCGCTCAGTGGGGAGGGGCTCCCGACAGACACACAGACACACAGACACACACACACACACACACACACACACACACACACACACACACACTTAAAATCACAGCAAGGCCTTTTAAATGGGGAAAACTCAGTGTGAACAGGGTTTTAGGTGGTTTGCTCTCACCTTTTGGACAAAGCCCTTAATACATAGATTATAATGTGTTTCTTCTTTTTTTTAAAGACAGGGTCTCCTTCTGACACCCAGGCTGGAGTGCAGTGGCTTGATTATAGCTCACTGTAGCCTCAACTCCTGGGCTCAAGCAACTCTCAAGCAATTCTCCCATCTCAGCCTCCTGAATAGCTAGGACTGCCGATGTGTGCCACGTTACCCAGCTAATTTTTAAAATTTTTAGAGATGGGGTCTTGCTATGTTGCCCAGGCTGGTCTGGAACTCCCGGGCTCGTGCAATCCTCCTGCATCGGCCTCCTATAGTGCTGGGATTACAGGTGTGAGCCACTGTGCTCGCCCTATGATTTTTTTTTTAGGACAACAGCAGCATTGGCCAGGCATGGTGGCTAACACCTGTAATCCCAGCACTTTGGGAGGCCGAGGTGGGCAGATCATGAGGTCAGGAGACCGAGACCATCCTGGCCAACATGGTGAAACCCCGTCTCTACTAAATATACAAAAAAACTAGCTGGGCGTGGTGGCACGCGCCTGTAATCCCAGCTACTTGGGAGGCTGAGGCAGAAGAATCGCTTGAACCCAGGAGGTGGAGGTTGCAGTGAGCCAAGATCACGCCACTGCACTCCAGCCTCGCGACAGAGTGAGACTCCGTCTCAAATAAATTAATTAATTAATTAAAAAATATCAGCATTATTATTTAATAATCAGCAGGCCCAAGACTATGCAATATACTTTACACTTACAAGGTTCCTTACAGCTTACAAAGCATGAAGCCAGATCTCCCCTTAGAATGTCCTGGGCACAGCAGTTCTCTGTTCTGTCACAAAGCTCATGAGAGACAGGCTATGTGAAAGCACCACACTCACACTGAGACGGGGGCTTACTCCACCAAACAGAGACCTGGGGCTTGTTCTCCAAGTGCAGGGGCTTTCCGTTGCTGTGTCCCATGAAACAACATGCTCCTCGCCATGTGCCGTCTCCCCTGGAGGCCCAGGGAAAGGGACCCACAACGGCCATTGACTGCTCATGGCCTACGGACCAGGCAATGTCCTATGAGCTCTGCAGACATGCTTATTTGATATTCACAATGACCTTATGAGCACACATTCATTATCAATATATTTTATAAAAGGGCACAAAGAGGAACTTCCCCAAGAGCCAACAGTCAGTAAGGTGTGGAGCCAAAATCAAAACCAGGGCAGTCCAAGGAAAATGTGTGCCCACCCAGGCTTGCACATGAAGGTTCACAGCAGTCTTATTACAATAGCCCAAACTGTTATACCTAAATTAAGTTGGTTTGGCCAGGTGTGGTGGCTCACACCTATAGTCCCAGCACTTTGGGAAGCCGAGGTGGGCAGATCACTTGAGGTCAGGAGTTCAAGGCCAACCTGGTGAAACCCATCTCTACTAAAAATATAAAAATTAGCCAGGCATAGTGGTGAGCACCTGTAATTCCAGCTACTTAGGAGGCTGAGGCAGGAGAATCGCTTGAACCTGGGAGGCAGAGGTTGCAGTAAGCCAAGATCATGCCACTGCATTCCAGCCTGGGCAACAGAGTGAAACTCTGTCTCTTAAAACCAACCAACCAACAAACAAACAAACCCAGCTGATCTTAAACTCCTGGGCTCAAGTGATCCTCCTGCCTCTGCCTCCCACAGTACTGGGATTATAGGTGGGAGCCAATGTGCCTTTGAAAATTAAGTTGATTTTTAAAAAATGGTCATTTAATGTCAGTCTTCCTGGGTACATGGCTCCTAAGAGCCCCATCCACCTCTCTTACTCCCTTTCTTCTGTTCACAGGGCCGGTACTTTGTCCTCATCAAGATCTTCAGCCCCCAGGTTCCAGCCTCCACCCTGCCCCAGCAGCTTCCGTGAAGCCCCCTCCTCTACTAGCACCCCCACCCTGGCCCTAAAGTTCCTTATACTCATCCCGTCGGGCTGGCTCACAAGCAGCCAGGCCCGAGATCCACTTCTCCCTTCTTGGGCTGCAAAAAAAAGAAAGTACTTTAGGCTCCATTATAAATTCACATTCTCAAACCTCAACTAGCTCCTTGCTACTCTTCCACTCCTTTATCGCTGTCTACAATTGGCGGATTCAAATCTAAACTCCCCTCAAACCTCCCACTCTGACTCACTCCCTTTACACTCTCATCTCAGTCTCCAGTTGCCCACAGTTGACACCCAACCTACTTAAACCCACAGATGCTATTGCTGTAGTGTCTTTACTACTTTTTCCTTCCTCTATCATCTCCCAGTCCCCATCCTGGTCAGTACCTGCACTTCCTCTAGCCAGACACTCAAAATAACCTGCGACCTCATCCTTCTGGCAGCAGCAGTGGCAGCAATAGCAACTATTAACACCTTACATGGAAGTGCTTCATCTGGATTACCCCACTTAACCCTTTATTATTTATCCCTGTTTTACAGATGAGCAAACTGTGACGTATGGTGTTTGAGTAGTTTGTTGAAGTAAATAATGCAGCTATCAAGTGGCAGAGCAGGATGCAAACACAGGTGCACCTCACTCTTTCCTCCCAGCCATCCACACTGAGCTGCCAAATTAACTTTCTGAAAGCTGATAGTGTCACTACTTGCTAAAAACTTTTCAAGTTTCCCAGCATCTACCCATTTAAGTCTAGTTTTCTTTTCTTGCTTTTTTTTTTTTTTTTTTTTTAGACAGAGTTTCACTCTGTCACCCAGGCTGAAGTGAAGCGGTGTGATCATGGCTCACTGCAACCTCTACCTCCCAGGTTCAAGTGATCCTCCCACCTCAGCCTCCCTAATAGTTGGGACTACAAGCATGTGCCACCACACCTGGCTAATTTTTCTATTTTTTGTAGACACAGGGTCTCATCATGTTGCCCAGGCTGGTCTCAAACTTCTTGGCTCAAGCAATCCTCCTGCCTCGGCTTCCCAAAATGTTGAGATTACCAGCATAATCCACGCCTGGCCTAAGTATAGTTTTCTTTTTCTTTTTTGAGACGGAGTCTCACTCTGTTGCCCAGGCTGGAGTGCAGTGGCGCGATCTCAGCTCACTGCATGCTCTGCCTCCCGGGTTCACGCCATTCTCCTGCCTCAGCTGGAGACTGGAGCTGGAGTAGCTGGGACTACAGGCGCCTGCCACTACGCCCGGCTAATTTTTTTGTATTTTTAATAGAGATGGGGTTTCACCGTGTTAGGCAGGATGGTCTCGAACTCCTGACCTTGTGATCCACCCGCCTCAGCCTCCCAAAGTGCTGGGATTACAGGCGTGAGCCACCGTGCCCGGCCCTAAGTATAGTTTTCTTAGCAGGGCATTAAGCCTTCCATATGCTAACTCAATCCAATTTTTCCAAGTGTTGTTTCCCAGAGCTACCTACTCACCAGGCAAACCGTTCTCCATAAACCATATACATGCTGTCTCTGAACACTCATGCTGTTCAACCTGGAGGGCCCTTCATTTTTCCCCTTCTGAACTCAAGCCCATCTCAGGTGCTCTCTGCTCCCCTCTTCCTCTGCATTCCCACCACCTCTGGTTGTAACTTCACTGGGTGGTTTAAACACAGTCTGTCTTGTGTTACTTATCCCTGTACTTGCCCATCCCTCCTGACCATAAACTCCCTGTGGGCAGACACAGTCTCTCCCACTTTGGGTCCCCACCGTGCTCCAGCTCAGACCTTGCCTTCGGTTCTGTTACTGACAGCAACATGAATATGCCTGCTCTAGCCACTGCACCTTCTATAAAGTCTCACACAACTTTCCCTGTTCATCCCCAACTCCATCCAGAGGACACATATTCTCACCCATCACTCATCATTCAAACGAGTCCCTGACCAGCTGAGTGGCAGCCTTTTGCACACAGCCACCCCATCACGCGCACCTCCAACCTTTCACCCACTGTGTGTCAACCTTCTCTGTGTGACCAGCCACTGAGTCACGAACCACACTATCCTCTGGCAGCAGAAATGCTCATACATTAGTTTTCAAAGTCCCGCGAAAGCCACCGGTATTCTGTACCTATAATCTCCCAAGAGGCCTTTCCACAGCTCACACAGATCCCAAGAATGGTGGGGTAAGTCCTTCCTGTTACCGATGATGGCTCTGAATTTCCAACACGCCATAGGTCTCCATGCCCCTTTATGCTTCCTGGGTCTCAATCACTTCAAAACCCCTCAAACAGTACCTATCCAAAGCAAATCGCTTGGCAGGCCCCCAAACAGAACCTGTGAGACACAGTTAAGGATAGGAAAATGCAGGCGTGAAGCCATGACTGCTGACCCTTATAGAAGATGTGCCTTTTTTTCACCCAGGCTGGAGCGCAGTAGTGCAATCATAATTCACTGCAGCCTCAACTCTTAGGATCATGCAATCTTCCTGTCTCAGCCTCCTGAGTAGCAAGTAGCTGGGACTAGCAGCGTGCACCATCACACCCAGTTAATTTCCTTTTTTTTTGTAGAGATGGGGTCTCGCTATATTGCCTAGGCTGATCTTGAACTCCTGGCCTCAAGTGATCCTCTTGCCTTAGCCTCCCAGAGTGCTGAGGTTACATGTGTGACCCACTATGCCTGGCGAAGATGTGGCCTTGAAACAATTTTCTGGAAGTCAGAGGTCTTTAGCAAGCTCTCACCTCCTACAACATCCCCTGTAGTCTGACCCAAGTTCTACACGCAAATTCTAAGGTCATTCTCTCCCCATTGCACCACCAGCTGCATTTTATACATCACCTATGTTAAAGTGTGACACTAGGGTCCTCATCAGATATTCTTTCCTCAGAAAGAGAAAAGCATAAATTACCCCCCACAAACATGTCATCTCAGGTAAATGGATGTCACCAGCCTTCATGACCCCAACCTCTGATGAAGTCAGTTATGTTTATAACCAGACCAGAACCAACCCAGGTATCTTGAGAGTTTCTCCTACAGGAAGGGAGTTCTTTGCTCCACTTGGGAAGGAGCCTTCCCTGTTGACCACATCACCTGCAACCATATCACCTCCCTCCCAGCCCATCCTGTTCCCAAGGCCCAGGAGTCCAGGCTGCCCCCAGCCAGCACCTTACCTTGTTCAGGCAAGGTCGGGGACGGCCTAGCGGTGCAGAGTGTGGCTGTGACCAGCACAGCCCAGAAGAGGAGGCACTTCCAGCTCCACATCCCAGTTCTGCAGTTAGAGGTTGGTGACAAGGCTCCACATCTCCATGGATACTCCACAGTGAGCTCGATCCTCCTTTTCAAACTGACCCTGAGGAAAGGAAAAAAACCCCAAAAGTTAGGAGGGTCTAGGTAGGGGAGGGGAAAGGAAAAACAGAAGGTAAAGTATGCCATGTGGTGGCTGCTTAAAGTGTGGACTTACTAAGGCGTCCAGAAGAAAATTGTGAAGCTACCCCAACAATGAATTAGATCATAGGTCCTGGCTGGGTGTGGTGGTGCACCCTGTAATCCCAGCACTTTGGGAGGCTGAGGCGGGAGGATCACTTGAGGCCAGGAGTTTGAGACCAGCCTGGCCATGGCGAAACCCCGTCTCTACTAAAAATACAAAAATTACCCAGGCGTGGTGGCGCGCACCTGTAGTCCCAGTTACTTCGGAGGCTAAGGCAAGAGAATCGCTTGAATCCAGGAGGCGAAGGATGCAGTGAGCTGAGATTGCACCACTGCACTCCAACCTGGGTGACAGAGCGAGATTCTGTCTCAAAAAGAGAGGTTATAGGTCTTAATTGGACAGAGGGATGCTTTAGTTCAATTCTACAGCTATGTTTTGAGTGCAGATTACGTGCAAGCCTGGGAATACCATCATGAGGTTTTCCAAGGTATAAACTTCAAAGTAGTATGTGCTACAAAGTGAATGGTCTCATGAAAGTCCCAAATAGTTCTGCCCTTTTGTGGGAAACAGTTTTACAAAGTGTGCTACAATTGCAGGAGGTTTGAGCATGCTGATGGCTCCCCAGCATAAGACTTCACTCTGCCCAGGCCAGGTGCGGTGGCTCACACCTGCAATCCCAGCACTTCGGGAGGCTAAGGTGGGCAGATCATTTGAGGTCAGGAGTTCAAGACCAACCTGGCCAATATGGTGAAATCCCATCTCTACTAAAAATACAAAAATTAGCTGGGCATAGTGGTACACACCTGTAATCCCAGCTACTCAGGAGGCTGAGACAGGAGAATTGCTTGAACTCAGGAGGCGGAGGTTGCAGTGAGCCGAGATCGCAGCACTGCACTACAGCCTAGGTGACAGAGTGAGACTCTGTCTCAAAAAATTTAAAAAAAAAATTTTAAAAAGACCACTCCATCTAGGGCCAACCAGTCCCTCTGGTGAGAAATAAGGGGCAATGAAGAATCACGGAACAAGCTAAGGACCAGTAAATGGAAGCCAGGTACAGAGATAACTAGTTAGTAGCTGCTGGACTCCATGCTCAACTCCCCGACCTATGCAATGAAGCAGCTGAAATAAATGACCTCCTGGGTACTTTCTTTTTGTCTCTAAAATTGTACGAATCACATCCATAGTTCTACCAGCCTCCCTTGCAGAGAGAAGAAAACCCTCACCAGCTACTTACAAAGAGCCTAAGAGTGTGGAGCCAGGAGGGATCCAGTTCTCCCTGATGCTGGAAGGTGACAAGTGATGTCTGACGGATATGAGTCCAGAAGTTGCGGGGGGCAAGGGGGCCTGGGAGGTCCCACTGCAGAATCAAGGTCTATTGCAAGCACTGAGTCAAAGATGGCTCACACTGGCCCCAGTTAAAAGAACAGAATCTGCAGCCCTTTACCCTTCTCAGGTCTGGTGGGGTAAAACTTAAAACTCCCCAGGGTCTTAAAGAACGGATCATAGCTGTTAACATTTACCAAGTGACAAGACTTTCTGGGCACTGTCAAGGCTACGTGGGGGTGACCATCTCTATTTTCCAGGTGGCTTCTGTCCTAAATGCTCCAGGGAGCCATCCAAGTTATTCAGAGAATCTACTTCCCCGGAACATGCCCTAATGTGGTACTTCAGCCCTGCCTCCCCCGAGCCAGGCAGGGCCCCTCGCAAGTGAGTCAGTGCTGGCTGGCAGAAAAGCCCCTGGATTCTTGGCTTCGTTCACATGTGCTTGGCCAGCGGGATACACATGCCACACCACTAGCTCCCTCCCAAGGCTTACTAAAATGTTTTAATGATTTCAAATCAAAAGAGAAGTCAACATTTCTCTTTCATTTTTCTACTTTTACGAAAGGAATCAGAAAAGAGAAAATGAAATGAATACTGAACACCCACTATGTACCAAGGATGCCCTAAGTAGAATTAATTTAGAACTATAGTGAGGAATTAATTCATTCCTCACTATAAACTTATGGGGGATAAGTTTTATTATTCCTTTTATGCAATGGAGAAACTGAGGCTCAAAGAGGTTAAGTACTTTACTCAAGGAAATGTAGCTAGCATGTAATAGTGCCTCAAGGTTTTTGGATATTAGAGAACAGGGTGGGAGGAAGTAAATAAGGGATTGATCAAGCCTGACTCCATCTGATGCAAACTCAATTTATCCAAACCAAGTAGATAAGGGTAAATCCAAGGTAACTCTGGTAACAAAAGAGGCTTGATTTGCAGTTCCATTGGTCAAAGATAGACCCTTGTGCCAGGGCATGTTGGCTCATACCTACAATCCCGGGACTTTGGGAGGCTGAGGCGGGAGTATCACCTGAGGTGGGGAGTTGAGACCAGACTGGCCAACATGGTGAAATTCCTCGTCTACTAAAAATACAAAAATTAGCTGGGTGTGGTGGTGCACGCCTGTAATCCCAGCTACTCAGGAGGCTAACGCATGAGAATTGCTTGAATTTGGGAGGTGGAGGTTGCAGTGAGCCGAGATTGCATCACTGCACTCCAGCCTGGGTGACGGAGTGAGACTCTGTCTCAAAACTAACTAACTAAAAGAAAGACCCTTGGAAGCAGACCACAGATGGGCCATCTAGGACACTGCATGGGGCACATTCCCAGAGCTGGGATAGAAGCAGTGCTTGCCAGAGGATGCCCCTAAACCCATATTCCACAACTTACTACATCCCGAAAATACACCTGATGCAGGCCTGTCACCCAGAAACGCACACCTGACCAAGAAAACCCAGGTCCCTTGCTAAGTGTCAGAATACTGAACAAGTTCTCAGGTTCCAATGGGAAAGAGTGGTGTCATGTTGAGATGGTTAAGCTTGCTTCGACTTGGCCACTCTGTCCCCAGAAAAGCCTGCCGCCTCCTCCCAGGTGTGGGCTGGCTGCAGACCGCCCTCTCTCAGCTCCCTGGTCAATGCACTTCAAATTCATCTGCCAGCTTCCCTCTTGTTCTTTCCCAAAAAAGGTACAAAAAGTCTCTTCCTCTCCTACCCCTCTGGCCCTCAAGTTTGACATCTGTAAAACAAGGATGTTAAGAAAACCTGGCCTCCTGGCACCAACTCCTGGAATAAGAAGTCAGCATACACCCCATGCCACCCGCCTGCAAAAAACACAGTGACACAGGCCACTAGTCCAACATGCTGTCTGGGACCCTGCCACCTCCTGCTTCACCTCAGTTTCTCATTCTACTAATTAATGAATTTTTCCAATCCCTTAGAAACAACTTCCTTCCTTCACTGCTTGACAGATAGATGTAACCTGCAGCCTTGCAGGTGTACACAGCAGCTTCCTCCAAGACCCTGCAGCTGGTTCCCCCCGCCCCGTCTCTCCAATATCAGCTAGGCTCCTGGGATTCATGCCTGCATGCAGAGGTCCTCGGTGGGGAGCAGAGAGGGGGCACATCTCAGTTTCCCACTCATCAGAGGGGGCTGAAATACTTGCCTTGCCTCCATCACAGGTGGTTATGAAGACTGAATGGGCTGCATGGGTGAAAGTGCCTGCTGTCTTCTCACTGGAGTACTGATCCAACATACAGGGTGGACAGTGTCTGGTGAGATAGCAGGGGCTGGACGGACCACGTGACCTTGAAGCTCTCCCACTTCTAAGAGAAAAACCTATGAATGTCAGATCTCCTTGTCCAAAAATTATGTAAGGAAAACTAGCTGACGAATTCATGGCCAAATCTTTTTATTCTTTCTGAGACAGAGTGTTGCTCTGTCACCCAAGCTAGAGTGCAGTGGCACGATCTCAACTCACTACAACCTCCATCCCCCAGACTCAAGTGATCCTCCCACCTCAGCCTCCCGAGAAGCTGGGCTAATTTTCTGTATATTTAATAAAAATGGGGTCTCACCATGTTGCCCATGCTGGTAATGAACTCCTGGGCTCAGGAGATCCACCTACAGTGGCCTCCCAAAGTGCTGGGATTACAGGCATGAGCCACCACACCCAGCCTGGGTCTTTTTATTCTTGTCCGCTGGAGACAGTATGAATTCACACCCTTCCACTTATGATCTTGCCACCCTGGGATAGTCACTTAACCGTTCTAAGCCTCGGTTTCCCACCTAGAGGAAGCCACATCACAGGTGATTATGAGGCTCAAATGGGTGGTGTGGGTGACTGTGCCCATTCTCTCCTCTCTAAAGTACCAACCAAATGTAAAGAATTATGCATTTGGATTTCAGATATAATATTAAGATATTTATAATTCTCTTTGTGTAGTGCTTTGAGTCACTCCTTAATAGCACTCTCAGGAGATTTGGTAATTGGCAGCAGAAGGACAGGAACTTCCAACCTTTCCAAAGGCATTTCTCACTCTCCATCTTCATGTCTTATATTCTAGACCTGTGGCCCACACAGTGGCCACTGCACACTTGAAATGTGGCTGGTGCTAACGGATATGCTATAAGTAAAAAGTATACACCGCATCTTAAAAACTTGTTATGAAAAAAATGTAAAGTATCTCATCAATAATTTCTATATTGATTACATGTTCAAATGATAATATTTTGGAAATATAGTTACATTAAATAAAATCTAAACAAACAAGTTAATTAAAAAACAAATATTGGCCAGGCGCGGTGGCTCACGCCTGTAATCCCAGCACTTTGGGAGGCTGAGGTGGGCAAATCACGAGGTCAAGAGGTCGACACCATCCTGGCCAACATGGTGAAACCCCGTCTCTACTAAAAGTACAAAAATTAGCTGCGTGCAGTGGCGCGCGCCTGTAGTCCCAGCTACTCAGGAGGCTGAGGCAGGAGAATTGCTTGAACCCGGGAGGCAGAGGTTGCAGTGAGCCGAGATTGCGCCACTGCACTCCAGCCTGGCAACAAAGTGAGACTCCGTCTCAAAAAAAAAAATTTTTTTTACCTATTTCTTTCTTTTAACTTAATTTCCAATGTGGCTTCTAGAAAATCTGAACATATACATAACTCATGTTATAATGTTATATTTCTTTCTTCCTTTCTTTTTTTCTTTGAGATGGAGTCTTGCTCTGTCACTCAGGCTGGAGTTGCAGTGGCGCAATCTTGGCTCAACCACCGCCTCCCGGGTTCAAACGATTCTCCTGCCTCCCAAGTAGCTGGGATTACAGACATGAGCCACCAAGCCCGGCTAATTTTTTTATTTTTAGTAGAAATAGGGTTTCACCATGTTGGCCAGGCTGGTCTTGAACTCCTGACCTCAGGTGATCCACCTGCCTTGGCCTCCCAAAGGGCTGGGATTACAGGCATGAGCCACTGTGCCTGGCTTTTTTTTTTTTTTTTTTTTTAAACAGGGTCTTCCTCTGTCCCCCAGGCTGGAATGCAGTGGTGCAATCACAGCTTATTGCAGCCTCTGCCTCCTAGGCTCAAGTGATCCTCCCACCTCAGCCTCCTGAATAGCCGGGACTACCAGTAAGCACGAGCATACTCATCTAATTTGTGTATTTTTTGGTAGACACAGGGTCTCACCATGTTGTCCAGGCTCATCTCCATCTCATGGGCTCAAGCAATCCGCCTGCCTTGGCCTCCCAAAGTGCTGGGATTACAGGCATGAGCCACTGTGACCAGCTGCTCATGTTCTATTTCTATAGGGCGCCACAGCTCGAAGCAACATCCATGCCTCTGTGCAAGACTTTCTTCATGCCATTCCTTGTTCTGCAACAGGCCAGCCCTTCCCTTTTCTCTGAACCCCACCTTAAGAAGCTGTTTCTTCCATAAGACTTTCTTGGGCCTTCTAGCTGGAGAATTTCATTCCTCCAAATTTGCAAACCACATTACTAGCCCCTCTCACATAGCACTTAGGTCATATTATATGATTGTTATTTATGTTCTTCATTCTCTTCTCTCCCCACGAAACTGCAGGCTCCTTCAGAACAGGGTCTGTGCCTCCCTAACCTTTGCTAACACCCTCGGCACCTAGCATGTACACAGGAGATGCCAACATGTTTGTTAACTGGATGAATGAGTAAGTGAATGAAGGAAAAAAAAGGGCTGATGAAAAGAAACTGACAGAGATACTCCTCCAGAAAAAGAGGCTGAGAATATCAGAGAAAAGCAATTAGGTAGTACCCCTTGTTAACCAGCCAAACTCTAGTCCAAAGAACCCTGAGAAAATTTCTGGACAACTTGGTTCTTCAGAATTGAGGAAGTAACACCAAAACATTAATCCCTTCAGATGAGAATAAGACTTATTTCTTCCCCAAAGTGACCATTCTCTACTCACATGTTGAGAGGGCAGGGGGCAAGTACTTAATAAACATATGGAGAAAGTTACTCAGCTCAGCTTGCTAAATTTTAGTTGGTCCAATGGAAATGCTAATTTTTTGAGTCTCTTTAAAAAAAAAAAGTGTCTAAATGTCCTTGGAAGTAAGAGACATATAAAAAATTAGCAATAAGTGGTCAGGCACAATGGCTCACACCTGTAATCCCAGCATTTTGGGAGGCCGAGGCCAGCGGATTGCTTGAGGTCAGGAGTTCAAGCCCAGCCTGGCCAACATGGTGAAACACCATCTCTATTAAAAACACAAAAAATTAGCCGGACATGGTGGCGCATGCTTGCAATCCCAGCTACTAGGGAGGCTGGGGCAGGAGAATCGCTTCAACCGGAAGGCGGAGGTTGCAGTGACCTGAGATAGCGCCACAGCACTCCAGCCTGGGCGACAGAGCGAGACTATCTCAAAAAAAAAAAAAAAAAAAAAAAGCAACAAGTGAAACACGAACTGCTGCACATAATCTAGAAAACCTTGCTCTTGAAGACAGGATGTACTATGAGTGGAACCCCACCAAATTCTTGGGATAGTTCATCCATGTGAGGGCTATTAAATGGGGGAGAGGGCCCTAAACATGGTTTCTTTCATTGCAGGGGAGAGATAAATGGTGGCGAGGAGAGAATTTCTGTTTAAAGTAGATGCAACCTTAGGAGGAAAAACAAATATCCTAGCCCAAGTCTGACATTTCATCCTCTCTGGAAACACCAGAATCTTCTCTAAAGCTCTGCATCTGGGCTCCCACTAGTCCCTGGTGCGTTCAGGCCTTTTACAAAGCTCTGGGGAAGACAAATGTAAGACACAAATTTCCCAGGAGGAAATTAAACTATCAAGTGATGTGAGGCCCTTTCAGAATAAGACATTTGAATCAATTCTAACTCCTTTTCCTCCAGCAGCAACAGGCTCAAACTTTGCTAGGATGTTCTATAACTAACAGCCATTTTGACGAAAGACACTTTAGAAACGAAGGCAAGAAAAAAGCCTTTGTAGAAGCCGGCTGCTAAACCCCCAAGTTCATACCAGCAAATCTCTCATTTTAGGAGTCTTGTTTCAGGTCAATACTGAAAACAAAGAGCACACCACTAAAAGCAAAACCCATGGATTTTCCTTGGTCTCTAAGGCTTGAATCTGCCTACCCAGTGTTCAATTCAATTTTCTTGCCCTCTGGAGTCCACCAGGAATAAAGCTAGCCCAGCCTGAGGGATGCACCGATGTATCTAATCCTCTGCCCCTAGGGAGTGGGGGACGCTTCTCCATTTCTTCCTGAGCCTTTGCTTCCCTTGCTATCAAAGGGCCACCTAATGGAACTGTCTAACACCCTCCATGGCCAGAGGCCAAGGAAAAGAAGCACCCTAAGATTGTTCAAGTGGTGCCCACTCTGGCCTGAATTCCCATTGGGAAAAATACCTCGAAAATGAGCATTTCTGCAGGCATGTTTGGAAAAGCAGGCAGTGAAGTACGCAGTCCAAGTGGCTCTCAATCTGGATGAACCTCATTAAAAAGCTGACACTCAGCTATGACTAAGAGTAAATGCAACAGATATTTCAAGCAGCTCGTCACTGATGCAGTTCATAACCCTCCCAGCTGGAGTCAGGCCCCAGCAGCCTCCCGGTCCCCAAACACCCTGCACTCGGAGGGTCGGGGCAGCCCCGGAGCTTCTCCTAACCCACTGGGGGTAGGATATGTAAACAAGTCATTAGGGAGGCAGGCCATCGGCAAAGACGGCCGGCAATAGCAGAGGCTGCTGAACCTCGGTCACCGAGAGGAAGGTGGATGACCCGGGCGTGGGGGTGATTACCCAGACCAAGGCGCGTCCCACGGGGCCCTGCTACTTCGCTTTTAAACAAGCCTCAGGGAGGAAACCGGGAGCCCGGGCCAAGGGAGGAAAATGGCCACTTTCTGCTAAACAGTCTCAAGGCTAGATAGTATTCCAAAAAAAGCGCTGGTCCGGAGGTGCAAAGGGTAGGGCACATCTGCGGAGGAAACAGTCACCTTAATTACCACGTCTAGAGAAAGTGCGATTTCATTACAGCCTCCAAAACTACCGCCCAAAGAAGGAAACCAGAGAAGTGTTTTCAATTTGAAAGAGGCTGGAAAGAAGCGGGTAAGACACCGACTCTCCCCACCCTCCCGGCAACTTTGGACCACAAGGCGCTTTCCTGCCTCAAAGACTATTACCAAACACAACTCGAAAATCCAACCCCGCTTTCAAACCTGTAGCCGTTATTTAAACGGTAAAACACCCCACTTTAGTTTCCGGGGGATGCGGCCCAAATCAGTCCTTAAAAACACACAGAGAGCGCCTCTGGCAGCAGCCGCCCACGCCCCCGGCCCTGCGCACCGGGCTTGCTCCGGGAGGGGCGCGTGACGCCACCGCGGGGCAGCCGAGAGGGGACCGCGGGCTCCGGGCAGGGCAGGCGCTCCCGCAGCTCCAGCTATAACACAAGGGAGAGAAAGCAACGCTTTGGTTCCAGAAACTTCCATCGTCAAGGCCAGTTCTGGCCAGACGCACAGCCAAAGAGCCCCCCTAGTCTAGCGGATGAACCGTTCGCGAGTGGCACCCCCTAAAACCTTGGCCCCATCTCCCAAGATGCCTCTTTACTGCGCAATCCAGAAAGCACCCGGACCGCCGCCACCCACCAGCGGCGGCGAATAACTTGGTGAGATCTTAAATAACTCGGGATCCAAGGGAACTTTCTTTTCTCCCCCGAATCTCAACGCCGCATCTCCAAGTCTCCAGAAATGTTAAGGAGGGAGGTGGTCAAGACAGGCTGAAGAATCTGAGTTTTAATTTGGGGGAGGGGGAGGGGAGGAAGAGGGAAGTTAATAATGCGGCTGCGGTGTACCCGTGTGGGGTGAAACGGAACCAGATGCGGCTGCTACATCTGGAAATTGGGGGTGGGGGAGTGCTGGGGGAGAAAGGCACCGTGGTAATGTTTTTCAAAAGGGTTGATAGCTTCTGGGCTCAGAACAAGAAACAGGCTTCACACCCCACCCCCCCCCCACCACCACCAAAAAAGTGTCTGGCTGCCTCATAGGGGGTGTGTGTTCTATATGAACCCCCATCTACAAGGTCCATAAAATTCCTCCGCAAACATGGGTCGTAGCCTCACTTTTCTCCCAACCCCAAACATAACGGTAGGGGAAGCGAGGTGCAGAGGGGTCTGGGCCAGAGAAGCATACGCATCGCTGCCGAGTGAACCACACCGGACAAAAACCCTCATCCCTTCCCCCACCTCTAGGAACCAGATTGGGACCGAACGGTCCTTCCGCCCCCATCCCACACCTCGGCTTAACGACCGTGGGTTGTCCTCCCGTTCCCCAAACTTCCGACCCTTTCAGAGACCGTCCAAGTCATAAGATCACCCCTTCTGGAAAGGGGAGTCGTTTTTCGCTCTCAGCTCAAGCAGATTCAGCCATTTGGTGACGACACCTCCTTAAAACCTATTCCAAGAGAAGCTAACCTAGCCCTCCACGTCCTCCGCAGTTCATCTCCCACCCCATCCGACCCCAACCCGCACCCCAGGCTTTCCCGGGGGTGGAAAAGGACTTAGGAATGCCCCGGATTTTTAGCGTTGAGCCCAAAGCTACCTGCTGAATTGGGGGTGAATCCCCAAAAGGGGACCAAAAAGACATGGAGTGGAATGCAACACACACACATAACACACACAACGCATCCCACCTCGCCGCCCACTCCCGCCCTCCTCCCCAGTCCAGGAAACCGCGGGCCTCGCCGCCTTCGCCCCGGGCCTGTCCCTCCCGGGACTCACTGAGGAGCCGCCGCCGCCTCGCCAGCTCCCGAGCGCGAGTTGGAGGAAAAGTTGGGCGGCGGGAAGAGCGGCGGGACGAGCGCAGGGAGGGGGCGCAGGAGACGCGGACGGAGGGAAGGGAGGGGAGACCCAAGGGGCGCGGATCGCCCGGGAGGGAGCCAGGAGGTGAAAGGGGCGGGCGGCGAGCGGAGGGAGGCGCCGGCCCCGGCTGGGCTGCGGCGGGCAAAGCGCGCAGCCGGGAGGCTCCGGCGCCGGGGGCCGCTCGGGACGCCAAGCCCGCCCCAGATCCGGGGGCGCCGCGGCTCTTACCTCGCTCGGCGTGGAGGTTCCGCCTCGGGAGAGTCCGCCGTGGCTTGTGCGAGCGGGCGTGTGCCCGCGTCCCCGGCTCCGGCCCGCCGCCCCCGGGCTCTGTTCGGGTCCTGGCGGGGTCGCAAGAGCTCCGCGGCCGGCGCTCGACTCCCGGCGGCGCTCGGTGCTCGGCGCCTCCAGCCCGGGCGGGAACAATGGAGCCGGAGCTGGTGCCCCGGAGGCGGGGCGGGGGGAGGGCTCCCGTCCGCCACCCGGGGTCTCCAGACCTTGTGCCCCCCTCCTCCAGAACGCAGCGGCGGCGCCTCACTTTCCTTGCAGACCGGGCTCCATCGCCCTGCGGAGGCCCCGGCGCCGCGGCGTGCCCGACTGCAGCACGGGTACCGTGCGCCCTGCGGGGCGCCCCGAGCTCGGACCGGAGAAAAGTCCTTGGGTTCCGCGGCTTTTCAAGCAGCGGCGCGCTCGCGGCCGGGGAAGGCGAGGTCGCCGCAATGCGCTACGAGGGGTCTCGGTCCCGTCCGGACGTGGCCGCCCAGCTCCCGGCACACCCGGGTTCCTCCGCGCGCTGCGGCTGCACCGGCGTCCCGGCTCCCGCTAGCTGCCGCCCGCCGCCGAGGACGCCGCGCCTGTGGCCGCAAGAGCGCTCCGAGCGCTATGCGCCGGCGGGGCGCGAGGGCTCGCTCTCTCACTCCCACCCGCGCTGGTCCCTCCTCCGCCTCCGCCCCCTGCAGCTGCCTGCTGGGCCTTGTAGTTCCCCAGCCGCGGCCCCAAAGGACGGGGAGCGGGCCGAGCTGTCCGGCGCTCTGCCCTTCTCTTCCTACAGCCTGGTCTCCTTTGGCGTTTGCGCCCCTGCATCTGAGCACGTCCCAGAGGGCGCCGGAATGTCAGGCCCTAGACATAGCAGCGGTTTGGGGGCTAGGGGGCAGGTGAAGAGACGCCGCAGCCTTGAGGTTGTACCTGGTAGCGTGGGCTTTGGAGTCTGTGCGCCTTGGGGAAATGATTTTCGCGCTCTAAATCTCTGTTTTCCCATCTGTAAATGGGGGATAATAGTGCTTTTCACATAGAGTTGAGGCGTCAACGAGGGCCTAGCGCATAGTTAACACTTAGTAAATACAAGCCGGTTTTATTATAAGGTCAGCCCCTCCTCAAACCCTTCCCTTGGATTTCAGCTTTCCCCAGCCACATAATTTAGGTTTTGTGGTCCACCGGGAACTGGACCCTGTAAATTCTACAGCGATGCTGTTGGCTTCCAGAAGTCTCCAGCCTGCAGTGAATGTCTAGGAAGCAAAGAGTAAGCAGTGGGAGTTGAGGGGAGACGTGTGGTTGGTTTGGAAATTAATCACAGCCCACTCAGAACACCCTCCAGTACTGTGGAACACAGGAAAGTGGCTAAAATGCTTCCCCCTGAGTCTTCCCGCGAAGTGGTATAATGTAGTGGTTCCCTAATCCAGATGGACACGGGTCCTAGGGAACGTCTGAAAAATACAAGTTCATGGGCCTGCTCAGACATGAGGAATCACGCTGTCCCAGGAAGGAGCCAAGAGCCTTTATTTTTTCCAAGGCTCCTTGGGGCGTGTGATGTGAGCCCAGGCTGAGGCCACCATTGGGGTGGGAAGTAGGCAGCACTTGGTCTGAAGGATTCCTCCATTCTGTCCATCATTTATGAAGTTTGATGTAGGACAAATCATGCATCTGATAAAATCAAAACGGGGTATCTGTTGATACTCCTTCACAAGATGGTCATAAGAATCAAATAAAATAATAGCTCTCAGTGGACCAAAAATATTACACAAATGGAAGTCACTATGAAAGGTAGTGGCAGGGCCTGTTCCCTTACCATCACCCACCTCAACCCCGAAACTTGTAGAAGTTTGAATACTGAATGAGATCCCCCCACCCAACTCCTCACCCAACCCACCCACGCCTCCCTGGCTAATTTAAGAAAAGAGTTGGCCGGGTGCGGTGGCTTATGCCTGTAATCCCAGCACTTTGGGAGGCCGAGGCGGGTGGATCACGAGGTCGGGAGATCGAGACTATCCTTGCCAACAAGGTGAAACCCCGTCTCTACTAAAATACAAAAAAATTAGCCAGGCATGGTGGCGCTTGCCTGTAATCCCAGCTACTGGGGAGGCTGCGGCAGAGGAATCGCTTGAACCCGGGAGGCGGAGGTTGCAGTGAGCCGAGATTGTGCCACTGCACTCCAGCCTGGCAACAGAGCAAGACTCCGTCTCAAAAAAAAAAAGAAAAGAAAAGAAAAAATGGTCCTCGCGCTATTTTTCTAATCCACCAGTAGGTGACAGACTAGTGGCCAACACAGTGTTATTCACATAGTAGACACTCATGAAATCCCTTGACTGGCCAAAGAGCAAATATTCAATAAGTATTTGTTGAACAAATGAGTAAATAAACAACTAAATTACAGCTCACGCCTGTAATCCCAGCACTTTGGGTGGCCGAAGCGGGAGGATCACTTGAAGCCAGAAGTTCAAGACCAGCCTGGGAAACAAAGTGAGCCCTTGTCTCTACAAAATATTTTTAAAAATTAGCTGGAGGTGGAGGCTGAAGAAGGAGGATGGCTTGAGCCCAGGAGTTTGAGGCTGCAGTGAGCTATGATCCAGCCACTACACTCCAGCCTGGGCGACAGAGTAAGACCCTGTCTCAAAACAAAATAATACAAAACAAAAAATGAGAAACAAGAACTCATATCTTTGTTGAATAAATGAACTTCAGCCACTGTTTATAGGGTTTTCCCCTAAGAGCCACCATTTAACCTTTCAGCTCCTGGTCAAGCTTGGTTTATACTCCTATGTAAGCTGCCCACCCATTAGGCCTCCTGCATTTTAATTACTACACATCACACGCTTGTAAGAAGGCCATACTCACACCCTACCCCCAAGAGGCCTTCCCTGCCCATCCCAGCTTTGTCAGTCCCTGGACCCCCTGCTCACTTGCTGACTATCCACTGAGTTGATACCGTGCTTTGTTAGTGGTTTTCCTTACTCTGCTTTCTTTCTAACTGGTTTCTAAACTGCTTTAGGGCAAGGATCTTATCTAGGTGTCTGACCAATTCTACACAGGAGGTTTTCCATGTATATTTATTGTTCATGGACTTGCTAAGCATAACCAACCTGGGTTACCAGAGGAGGAAACACAATTTGAGGGAATATGATTGGGAAGACAAGCCATGAAAAAAATCCAGCATTTAATGTTAACACCCAGCTACTATTTTTCTACTTTGCTCCGTAATTCTTCTCAAAAAAGGGTTTTTTTTGTTTTCTTTTTTTTTTTTTTTCCTGAGATGGAGTCTTGCTCTTTTTGCCCAGGCTGGAGTGCAATGGCACGATCTCAGCTCACTCAGCTCACCTCTGCCTTCTGGGCTCAAGCGATTCTCCTGCCTCAGCCTCCCGAGTAGCTGGGATTACAGACACCTGCCACCATGCCCAGCTAATTTTTGTATTTTTAGTAGAGACAGGGTTTCACCATGTTGGCCAGGCTGGTCTCGAACTCCTGACCTCAGGTAATCTGCCCACCTTGGCCTCCCAAAGTGCTGGGATTACAGGCGTGAGCCACCATTCCTGGCCCAAAACAAGGGGTTTTAAATCAAGCCCCTTTTTCTTATGATTTAGAACCATTGTAGGAGTATCTTGAACCCCAAATAAAAGGCTAAATAATGCGTTCTTGATTTAAACAGAAAGATAATGATCTAAATGCTTGTTTGGGGTTGAGGGACATGGGCCTGCTGCTGAAAAATCCTCTATAGATTTATCAAGAAGCCAAAATGAAAGCAAGTGGCCAACTTGCCAGGGTCCCTCCTCCACTTCTCAGGGAAAGAGCTGATGGCAGCTGAACAGAGAAGGTGAGAAACTCAGCAAAGGCATGGGCTGTCCACACACTGCAGACAGGTTTCTGAATAATTGAGAGTTGGCTGCTTTTATCCTTCCAGCCCACCTCGCTCCTTTTCTGTCCCACTCCTCTACTCGCCCTCTTTCTGAAATGTAGCCCTCCCATTTCTGGAAGGGCCCCAGGCCAGTGGAGGGAGAGTGTCCCTAGGGCAGCCCTGAGCTGCTCCAGGCAACAGGGGTCAGACAGCAGCTCTGCCTGTCTCTGTTCTGCCCGAGGCCTCCTGGCACCTTGCCTCCCATACAGAAATGTAACCTTCCCTCTGAGATAACAAAGAGCTGGGAGGGTCAGGGAGGATTTGTCGGCCCTTCGCCCTGCCAGCTACATGTCTAAGGGGAGACAAAGGCCCTCATGCTGGAGGGCCTGATAACTGGTTGGGGGCCTGTTGCCTCCCACATCTGTGGGAGGAGGAGACCACTGCTGAATGAAACGAAGGGAAACGGAGCTCTCCCCAAAGCCCGGCCAGCTCTCTTTGTTTGGGAACACTGTAGGAAATCCCTTCCCTGTTCCTCCAGCTACTTGTGTCCTCAGAGTTTTCCCTGGCAGACGGGAGCTCCTCTTCCCCTCTCCCCACATTCCTTCTGCCCCTGCTCTATCTGGGTTCTGTTATTTTAGGGCTCAGCTGTGCCTACCAGGAATGATCACCCCACTACCCTGGGTCGATACTGCAGAATTAACAATTCTTTGTTATGGAACAAGTCAGGTAAAGTAAGCACCATTGACATGGGGCAAGGTTGCAGAACTTCCAGCCCAGGCTTCAAGAGTCCCCAGGATGTGGTGAGAGCTGGCAGAGTCTCCACTCCGAGAGCTGGTTGCAGAAGGGGATTCGGGAGGAGGGAACTGTCTGGGGTTTTCCCTACAAAGTGGATGGTTCACAGGTCCTGGGAGCAGGTGGGCAGCCAAGCCTTTTGCCCCAGGCCCCTGGAGTTAGGGAGCAGCAGTCAGTCACCATCTGGCCACCATTTGGTGACCCCTGTCTGTTCCCAGAGCAGCTTCAGCATGTCAGGGAAGGGAGGGTCTTATTTGGCTTGGTGTTTTTGTAAATAACATTCACTCTCTTCTGCCAATTTGGAGTGAGAAAGGGAGCGAGCTGTGTGGCAGCTCAGCTCTGTCTGGCCTGAATGCCACATCTATTCACGGAGCCTGGGGGTGTCAGGGAGCACTTCTTGTGTGTCAGGCGCTGTGCCGGGCACAGTGGATCCGAAGATGAAAGAGATGAGTGCACAGCCTGGGGGACCTCACTTGTCTTGTGGGGGAGACCAAACATGACACGTAGTGCCACCCGGGGGCATCTGCAGGGGGCTGTGGAAGGAGAGATCAGGAAGGAAGATGACTCAGGGGAAGCGATGCCTGAATCTTGAAAGATGGCAATGTGAAAATCCACAAACTCATCTGGGATAGCTGAGGAAAGCAAGCCTGGAGAGTTTGTGTTGAGGGGTGGGGGTGGGGGGTAGACAGTTGGTAGTCACTGAAGCATCGAATTATTTTGCTCTGAAGGGATGAACTTAGTCTCTGGGGTCAAACAGTTTTGAGCATGGGTCCTGATTCTGCCACTTATTGCTAGCTGTGTGATCTTGGGCAAGCTAGTTAGCTCCACTGCATTTGCTCAATGGTGAAATGAAGATAACAATGGTAACTGTTCTTCCCAGGACTGTTGAAAGGATTAAATGAGAAAATGTGTGTAATGCACTTGGCAAAGCGCCCAGAACATTGTAAATGCTCAATAAATGGTAGTCATTGTTGTTATTATTATTTTTTAGCCCAGGAACTTTCCTTTGATGGAAGACACCTTCTGGAGCCTGCATATCTTTGTGGCTTTTTTTTTTTTTTTTTTTTTTTTAGATAGGGTTCCTCACTCCCCCAGGCTGGAGTGCAGTGGCACGATCTTGACTTACTGCAGCCTCGACCTCCTGGGCTTAAGCAATCCTCCCACTTCAGCTTCCCAAGTAGCTGGGACTACAGGCATACACCACCATGCCCAGTTGGTTTTTGTATTTTTTTGTGGAGGTGATAGTCTCCTTATGTTGCTCAGGATGGTCTTGAACTCCTGGGCTCAAGCCATTCACTTGCCTCAGCCTCCGAAAGTGCAGGGATTACAGGTGTGAGCCACTGCACCCAGCCTTCTTTGTGACTTTCTTATGTATTTACCATCTCTACCCCCACTTCCACCCTGGATTCTCTGTTCCCCAACACCAGCTGCAGAAAAGGATATATTTTTCACCCTCATCTCCCTCTTCCTTGGTGTACCCCAAGATAAACAGCCCTTTTTGTTATAGATTTTACTGTGAAATAAGAGAAAAACAACAAGAACACATATGGGGAAGCTAAGGGGCCCTATTAAACCTCAGCGAATCCTTCCAGCTATGGTCGCTGGTCTAGGATTCTGACTCCCTTCAGAACACTAAATGCAAACAAGCTGGTCTTCTGTCCTGTGTGTTTCTTCAGGGTTCTCCAAAGGCTCTCCTCTTTCTGACACAGACTTGTAAACCCTCTCCTGGTTAAAGCCACTCATCCAAGGGCTGGGGTCTGGAGAGGTGACAGAGGAGGCAGTGGCAGAACAGTGAAAAATTTGCATTTCTGAGGACCGCCCTCCACCCCCAAGAGTGAAGGACCTAGTTCCTTAGGCTTTGCCCTGCCTAGGTACAAAGATCAAAGTTTCAGGGTTAGGCTGAGATACTTGAGGATTCAACTTTGATGCGGATTCCATCCAAGGATATGCTAATAAAGTTGCAGCTGACTTCTCCTGGGTTGTTAAGAACCTTTGGCGATATTGGGCTGGGTAGGGTCAGAGAGGAAGATAATTTAAAAATAGATGGTGTTCTCCCATTCAGGTTAAATTTCCCCCTAACTGAATTTTATTATTCTGTCAAAACAAAACAAAATAGTTAACCAAATTTTTAATAGTGGTTTTCTTTGGGAATGTGATTGTAAGAGGCTTATACTTCGGTTTAGTTTTGTTTTTTTGAGCCAGGCTCTATTTTTTTGAGCCACCTCTCTCTGTTGCCTAGGCTGGAGTGAAGTGATGTGATCACAGCTCCCTGGAGCCTTGAACTCCTGGGCTCAAGTGATCCTCCTGCCCCAGCCTCCCAAGTAACTGGGACTACAGGTCCATGCCACTATGGCTGGCCAATTTTTAAATTTTTAATTTTTTGTAGAGACAGAGTCTAGCTATGTTGCCCAGGCTAGTCTTGAACTCCTGGGCTCAAGTGATTTTCCCACCTTGGCCTCCCAAAGTTCTAGGATTACAGGTATGAGCCACTGTGCCTGGCCCATTTTTTATGTACCTTTACATTGTTTGACTTTTTTGAGAGGAGTTTTTTTTATAGGCCCTGGGCTGGAATCCTGTGTGCTACTGCCCGGCTGCCTCTGCCCAGAGGAAGTGGCCTTCCTCCAATGTGCTCCAAGGCACCCTGGCCCTGATCTTGTACTAGTTTTCTAATCAGCAAAATATAATAATAATGATAATAATAATATATAGTGATTTTTTTTTGAGGCAGAGTTTCGCTCTTGTTGCCCAATCTGGGGTGCAATGGCGCCGTCTCAGCTCACCGCAACCTCTGCCTTCCGGGTTCAAGCGATTCTCCTGCCTCAGCCTCCAGAGTAGCTGAGATTACAGGCACACACCACCACGCCCATCTAACTTTTTGTATTTTCAGTAGAAACAGGTGTGGCGCGTGCCTGTAATCCCGGCTACTCAGGAGGATGAGGCAGGAGAATCACTTGAACCCAGGAGGTGGAGGTTGCAGCAAGCCGACATCGCGCCATTGCACTCCAGCCTGGGTGACAAGAGTGAGACTCCTTCTCAAAAAAAAAGAAAAGAAAAGAAAAGCCTTCTTAGTCATCCAAAGAGAAAGAGGGACAACATGAAAGCTGATCTCCTGATATCTCAGATGACTAAAGAATGGTTTGGGTTCTGGAAGGGCTGGAGATGCCTCTGACTGCCTGTCTTCACCGAAACCTGGTTTCCTCCATGCCACTGAGTGCAGAGAGCTTTCAGGGCACCTTTTTGAGGCCTGCCTAGCCCAGGAGAAGCCAGGCATACCCTGACAGTGCCCGGCAGCCAATATAGGGTTTTGGTTAGCAGATGAGGGGGGCCTGTAGGTATCTCTTTGCTGAGTCAGCTGGGGTGGATTTCTCAGGCCTATCTAGAAAGTAATCTGCGTGGGTGTTAAGTCCCCTTAGTTCTTCCAGGATGTTTCTTGCTAAGGCTAGATAGAGGCCAATTATTTGCTGCTCTGTTCCTAACACCATTTGTCTGGTTCTGATAGGTTTCCAAGCATGTGAGCATGTGAGCTTATTTTCTGAGAAATACACAGATGGACCTTGTTTGATGGTGCTTTGCTTTTTTTTTTTTTGAGATGGAGTCTTGCTCTGTCGCCCAGGCTGGAGTGCAGTGGCGCGATCTTGGCTCTGCAATCTCCACCTCCCAGATTCAAGCAATTCTTCTGCCTCAGCCTCCTGAATAGCTGGGACTACAGGTGCGTGCCACAATGCCTGGCTAATTTTTTTTTTTTTTTGTATTTTTAGTAGAGACGGGATTTCGCCATATTGGCCAGGCTGGTCTCAAACTCCTGACCTCGTGATCCACCCGCCTTGGCCTCCCAAAGTGCTGGGATTACAGGTGTGAGCCACCGCGTCCGGCCAGTGCTTTGCTTTATCGTACTTCCCAGATAGTGCGATTTTTAAGCATGGAATGTTTGTGGCAACCCTGAATTGAGCAAGGCCATTGGCGCCATTTTTCCAGCTGAGTGTGCTCACTTCATGTCTTTGGGACACGTTTTGGTAATTTTTGCAAAATTTCACACCTTCTCATTATTATTATATCTGTCATGGTGATCTATGATCAGTGATCTTTTCATTATTGTCATTGTTTTGGGGCACCATGAATCATACCCATATAAAACAGTGAACCGAATCGATAAATATGTGTTGCAACTGCTCTACCGACTGGCTGTCCCCCACCCCTCCCTTTCCTTGGGCCTGCCTATTCCTTGAGATACCACAATATTGAAATTAGGTCAATTAATAATCCTACAATGGCTTCTGAGTGTTCAAGTGAAAGGAAGAATTCCATGTCTCTCACTTTAAATCCAAAGCTAGAAATGATTGAGCTTAGTGAGGAAGGCATGTTAAAGACTGAGATAGGCCCAGACGCAGGCCTCTTGTGCCAAATGATTAGCCAAATTGTGAATGCAGAGGAAAAGGTTTTTTTTTTTTTTTTTTGAGACGGAGTCTCGGTCTGTCCCCAGTCTGAAGTGCAGCTGCGTGATCTTGGCTCACTGCAATGTCCATCTCCCAGGTTCAAGTGATTCTCCCACCTCAGCCTCCTGAGAGTAGCTGGGATTACAGGCATGTGTCACCACACCCAACTAATTTTTGTATTTTTAGTAGAGATGGGGTTTTGCCATGTTGGCCAGGCTGGTCTTGAACTCCTGACCTCAGGTGATCTGCCTGCCTTGGCCTCCAAAGAGCTGGGATAACAGGCGTAAGCCACCACACCCAGCCAAAAGTTCTTTAAAAAAAATTAAAAGTGAGGCTGGGTGTGCAGTGGCTCACATCTGTAATCCCAGCACTTTGGGAGGCCGAGGCAGATGGATCACGAGGTCAGTAGTTCGAGTCCAGCCTGGCCAACATAGTGAAACCCCGTGTCTACTAAAAATACAAAAACTGGCTGGGTGTGGTGGCGCGCCCCTGTAGCCCCAGCTACTCTGGAGGCTGAGGCGGGAGAACCACTTGAACCCAGGAGGCTGAGGTTGCAGTGAGCCGAGACCACGCCATTGCACTCCAGCCTGGGTGACAGAGCGAGACTCTGTATCAAGGAAAAAAAAAAAATTAAAAGTGCTACTCCAGTGAACATATGAATGACAAAAAAGCAAAACAGCATTATTGCTGATATGGAGGAAAGTTTGGGTGATCTGGATAGAAGATCAAACCAGCCATAACATTCCCTTAAGCCAAAGCCTAATCCATAGCAATGCCCTAACTCTCTTCAATTCTGTGAAGGCTGAGGGTGATGAGGAAGCAGCAAAAGAAAAGTTGGAAGTTAGCAGAGGCTGCTTCAACTTAAGGAAACAAGCCATCTCCATATAATAAAGGTGCAAGGTGAAGCAGCAAGTGCTGATGTAGAAGCTGCAGCAAGTCATCCAGAAGATCTAGCTAAGATCATAGATTTTTTAATGTAAATAAAACAGCCTTCTATTGGAAGAAGATGTAATCTAGGACTTTTCTAGCTACAGATAAGTCAATGTCTGGCTTCAGAGCTTCAAAGGACAGGCTGACTCTCTCTTGTTAGGAGGTAATGCAGCTGGTGAGTTTAAGTCGAAGCCAGTGTTCATTTACCATTTCAAAAATCCTATTGCTGTTAGAAATTATGCTAAATCTACTCTGCTTGTGTTCAGTAAATGGCATAACTAAGCCTGAATGACAGCACATCTGTTTACAGTATGGTTTACTGAATTTTTTTTTTTTTTTGACAAGGAGTCTTGCTCTGTCGCCAGGCTGGAGTGCAGTGGTGCGATCTCGGCTCATTGCAACCTCTGACTCCCAGGTTCAAGCCTCAGCCTCCTGAGTAGCTGGGATTACAGACATGCACCACCACACCCAGCTAATTTTTGTATTTTTAGTGGAGACAGGGTTTCATCATGTTGGCCAGGATGGTCTCGATCTCCTGACTTCGTGATCCGCCCACCTCAGCCTCCCAAAGTGCTGGGATTACAGGCGTGAGCCACCGTGCCTGGTGGTTTACTGAATAAAACCCGCTGCTGAGACCTACTGCTCAGAAAAAAAGGATTCCTTCAAAGGTATTACTGCTCATTGACAACATACCTGGTTACCCAAGAGCTCTGATGGAGATGTTCAAGGAGATAAATGTTGTTTTCATGCCTGCTAACACAGCATCCTTCTACAGCCATAGACCAAGGAGTAATTTTAACTTTCATGTCTTATTGTTTAAGAAACACATTTTATAAGGCTGTAGCTGTCTTAGATAGTGATTCCTCTAATGGATCTGGGCAAAGTCGACTGAAAAACCTTCTGGAAAAGATTCACCATTCTAGATCCCATGAAGAACATTTGCAATTCATAAGAGAAGGTCAAAATATTTACATTAATTGGTGTTTGGAAGAAGTTTATGCCAACCCTCATGGATAACTTTGAGGGGTTCAAGACTACAGTGAAGGAAGTAACTGCAGATGTGGTGGAAATAGCAAGAGAACTAGAATTAGAAGTGGAACCTGAAGATGTGACTGAATTGCTACAAGCTCATGATAGAACGTGAATGGATGGGGAGCTGCTTTGTTGCTTCTTATGGATGAGCAAAGAGAGTGTTTTTTTTTTTTTTTTGAGATGGAGTCTCATTCAGTTGCCCAGGCTGGAGTGCAGTTGTGCGTTCTTGGCTCTCTGCAACCTCCGCCACCTCCCAGGTTCAAGGGATTCTCATACCTTAGCCTCCCGAGTAGCTGGGATCACAGGCATGTACCACCACGCCAAGCTAATTTTTGTATTTTTAGTAGAGACAGGGTCGGAGTTTCCCTCTTTTGCCCAGGCTGGAGTGAAGTGGCACTATTTTGGCTCACTGCAACCTCTGCCTCTTGGGTTCAAGCAATTCTTCTACCTTAGCCTCCCGAGTAGGTGGGACTACAGGTGTGTGCCACCACACCTGGCTAATTTTTATATTTTTAGTAGAGACAAGGTTTCACCATGTTGGCCAGGTTGGTATCAAACTCCTGACCTCAGGTGATCCACCCTCCTTGGCCTCCCAAAGTGCTGAGATTACAGGCATGAGCCACAGCACCTGGCCGAGAGTAGTTTCTTAAGATGGAATCCACCCTTCGTGAAGATACCGTGAGCACTGTTGAAATGACAGCAAAAGATTTAGAATATCCCATAAACTTAATTGATAAAGCAGCAGCAGAGTTTGAGAAGATCTAATCCAATTTTGAAACAAGTTCTGCCATGGATAAAATGCTGTCAAACAGTATCACATGCTACAGACAAGTCTTTTGTGAAAGGGATAGTCAATTGATGTGGCAAACTTCACTGTTGTGTTATTTTAAGAAATTGCCACAGTCACCCAAACCTTTAGCAACCAACCACCCTAATCAGTCAGCAGCCATCAACATTGAGGTAAGGCCCTCCACTAGCAAAACGATTACAGCTTACTGAGGGCACTGATGATTGTTAGCAATTTTTTGGCAATAAAGTATTTTTAAATTAAGGTATGGACTTTTTTTAGACATGATGTTATTGTACACTTAATGGACTGCAGTATAGTGTGGATATAACTTTTTTTTTTTTTTTTAAAAGGGAGTCTTGCTCTGTCTCCCAGGCTGGAATGCAGGTGCAGTCTTGGCTCACTGCAACCTCTACCTCCTGGGTTCAAGCGAGTCTCCTGCCTCAGCGTCCGGAGTAGCTGGGTCTACAGGCACGCGCTACCATGCCTGGCTAATGTTTGTATTTTTAGTAGAGGCAGGGTTTCACCATGTTGGCCAGGCTAGTCTTGAACTCCTGACCTCAGGTGATTGACCCGCCTAGGCCTCCCAAAATGTTAGGATTACAGGCATGAACCACCGCACTCGGTCAAACGTAACTTTTATATGCACTGGGAAACCAAAACATTCATGCGACTCACCTTATTGCAATATTAGCTTTATTGTGGTAGACTGTAGTCGAACGCACAATATCTCCAAGGTATGCCTGTATAGAAAATACAAATAGTGGACCAGGCATGGTGGCCTGTAATCTCAGCACTTTGAGAGGCTGCAGATTAGTGGAGCCCAGGAGGATCAAGCCTGCAGTGAGCCATGTTCATGCCACTGTACTCTAGCCTGGGTAACACAGGGAGATCCTGTCTCAGTAAATAAATAAATAAATAAATAAATATCACAGTGTTAGATTTTATCTCTCTACATAAGGCTTTTTGGTGGTATGTTTTATTTTGAAGTCATGATAGCTACTATTAATGAATGCTTACTATGAGCAGGTACTATGGTAAATGGTTTTATAGGAGTTATCCCATTTCAACCTCACAGATGCTATTGTTAGCTCCCAATTCACAGGTGAGAAAACTGAGGCTACATAATTCCCCAAGTCATTATGTAAGGAAGCAAACCTATCAATGCAGATAGGCTGACTCCAGAGCCTTCATGGCCAGCCAGTCCATGTGGGAAAAGAGGCTGTTCTTGATTAACAGAAGGGAATTTAAAACCCCTCTTTCTTTAAAAATTCAATTATTAGAAAAAAGTTTAAACCACACCAAACAGAATTGTAACAGTTTGAGTGTGTGTTTTTAGAGAGAACTTGTTAGTAATCTGCTTGAATCAACACCAGTGCCATTTTTCTAAAACTGTTTTACTTCATAGGATCTTGTGAAGTGTGTGTGTGTGTATGTCTGTGTGTGTGTTGAGGGAGGGGGTGGGATGATAGAAAAAAAGAAGAGCTGAAATCTGACACCTGTGTGCCCAAATCTCAGTGTCACTAGGGGTGTCCCTAGGTTTCAGAACCACCCTGCCGGTTCCAGTTCTGCCAGCCCACTTGGAGGTGGTGTTCAGGAATTATGAGTTCATGCCAAAGCAGGGGCCAGTGAAAATATGGAAGGCATTTTTGAGGAGACTCAACCCACCAGTGCAGAAACTGTATTTTAAGAAACCATGTTTCTGTGTTATGAATAGGTCCACAGAAAACTGAGATAGAATCTTTCAAATCAAGTGTGCTTTCTGCTAGGTATGTTTCAAGTTTATTTTTCATTTGTATCTTTTAGCACGCCTTCTGCCCGCCTATAGTTCCACCTCCTTCTGTCTTTCATAATTTTTTTTTTTTTTGAGATGGAGTCTCACTCTGTCACCAGGATGGAGTGCAGTGGTGCGATCTTGGCTCACTGTAGCCTCTGTCTCCCAGGTTCAAGCGACTCTCATGCCTCAGCCTCCCCAGTAGCTGGGACTACAGGCACACACCATCATGCCCAGCTAATTTTTGTATTTTTAGTAGAGATGGGGTTTCACCATGTTGGCCAGGATGTTCTCCATCTCTTGACCTCGTGATCTGCCCACCTCGGCCTCCCAAAGTGCTGAGATTACAGGCATGAGCCACCTTGCCCGGCCTTTCAGAATTTTTAGTAGAGGAGCAAGGGGTAGGTAGTCTTCTGATTAAAGAAACGATTTTGATCGGGCATGGTGGCTCACGCCTGTAATCCCAGCACTTTGAGAGGCCAAGTGGGGTGGATCACTTGAGCCCAGGAGTGGGAGACTGGCTTGGGCAACACAGTGAGACCCTATGTCCAAAAAAAAAAAAAAAAAGAAAGAAAGAAAAGAAAAAGAAAGTAAAAGAAAAAAAGAAATGGTTTTGTCTCTGACTTCGCTGTCAGGTTTCTCACCATAAACTTTGTTTGGCTATTGTGTTCCTTACGTCTATGAAAGATCCCCTGTCCCTGCCTCCCAGCTTCCCGAGCAGAACGCAGGTCACTAGTTGCCTAAATTAGAGCTGTACTTCATACGATAATTCAAAACCAAGTTTTTAAGTGCAGTGAACATTATTATAACAATCAGGAAGAAAGTTTGTTTTTTTGGGGGGGTGGGGACAGAGTCTCGCTCAGTCGCCCAGGCTGGAGTGCAGTGATGCAATCTTGGCTCACTGCAACCTCCACCTCCCAGGTTCAAGTGATTCTCCTGCCTCAGCCTCCTGAGTAGCTGGGATTACAGGTGCCCACCACCACGCCCGGCTAATTTTTTGTATTTTTAGTAGAGACAGGGTTTCACCATGTTGGCCAGGCTGGTCTCAAACTCCTGATCTCAGGTGATCCACCTGCCTCGGCCTCGCAAATTGCTGGGATTACAGGCATGAGCCATTGTGCCTGGCCAGGAAGAAAGTTTGTTATGTCAAAATGTTGAATATGGGGGCACAGAAAAGAGAACAATCCAGGAATACAAATACTCAACACATCTCTGTCCCCTGTTCATCCTTAAGCCTGTTCCTCCACCAGGAGGGTCCCCTCCGGGACAGCACCTGGCAATCCGCACTGAAGCTGCACAGTCCTCTCCTGAGTACTTAATGGAGACTCAGGAAGGACTTGCTGATGTGGACTCCGCTCTGTGGCTTCTTCCTTCCTGCATTTTTATTGAAGCCCTGGGAAGGGAGCCAGGACATTTGATGATGTTTGTTTCTACAGATACTCCATTCCTTTTTTTTTTTTTTTTTTTTTAACTTCCAGATTAGATTATCATGTGTTGGTGGCAGCAAAAACAGAGGGTTGATGACAGGTAGAGGATCGTTGGAGCACACATTGGGACAATAAATGCCCACACAACTTTGTCCAGACAAAGATGTGGTCGGTCCCCCTGGTCCTGGCTAAGGGGGCTTTGTCCTGGGACTGGGGAGCAGTTACACACCCTTCCTACCTTCCTCTTCCTGTTTCTGCTTCAGGTAGCCTTTTATTTAAATTCTAAAGCCCTTCAGAGGATCTAAATGAGACTATCTCTATCCTTGATCAAATATGCAGAATAACTGCAGCCCTCCTTAGCATTTTGCTTCACTGACTTTCCAATATTCTCCTAGGAGCTGGGTAAGCATCGGTCTGTCCAATGTACAAATTTTTTCTTTTGTCACTTTGGCAAATTTAGCAGCCTCTCTGCACCTCAATTTTCTCAACTGTGAAGTGGATTTGTAGAGTTATGAGAATGTAAAGCTCAGGGCTTTTTAGCTGGGTTGGTAATAGGTGCTCATTAGATGTGGACCACCTTTACCTGAGCTGCTGTGCACGGTACCAGGAGTCACCGATGGGCAAGAAGGCCTGAACTACCCTCTGGTTTATTGCTCAGACATTTGGGGGTGGTACCAGGCTCACCTCTCCACAAAGCCATTCTGAAGCTGCCACCTAGATTGATGCCAGTTTGGGTCTAAAGAGGTGGGGGCCAGGCACAGTGATTCACACCTGTGATCCCAGTGCTTTGGGAGGCCGAGGTGGGAGGATTGCTTGAGGCCAGGAGTTGGAGACCATGTCTCTAGAAAAAATTTAAAAATTAGCTGGGCATGGTGGTTTGTGACTGTAGTCCCAGCAACTTGGGAGGCTGAGGCAAGAGGATCCCTTGAGCCCAGGAGGTCAAAGCTGCAGCACGCTATGATCACACCACTGCACTTCAGCCTGGGAGACACAGCAAGACCCTGTCTCTTAAAAAATAAAAAGAGGTGTGGGGAGGTCCTGCCCCCTTTGCCTTCCTTATTCTCATCAGTGGTCTTCCTTTGTTCCATCCTCACTCAACATTTCATCCTGCACCTGGATTTCATAAGGACAGATGTCAAAGAAAACGTGATTGAGGCAGAGAAAGAAGGGCGAGCAATCCAGGAGCCTGAAACACATTGGTGATTCTCAAATCCCTTTCCTCAATAACTTCCTTGGCAATCTCTTGTGCTCTCTGTCCTCTTGCTCTCTGGCTTCAGATTTCCCTTCCCCTCGGCGTCACTGCCAGGGCTGAAGTGATGGAAAGCTGCAGATTGATGGAGTGGCTGCAGTGCTCTGGCCCTGGCTTCTGCCCTCTGCCACTTCTCCCCTCCTGGACAGAAACTGCTGTCTTTCTTCTTTCTCTTTGGAAAGCTCCTTTCAATTCCTCTTCAATTGCATTATCCTTCTCTAGGGAATCCACTAGTGAGCTCAGGAAGACCCTCAGCATTTCCTGACCACATTTTGTAACACACAGAGCCCCGTAATCTCCATTCATCAAGACTGATTTTTCCACAGCTCTGGTTCTGAAGAGGTCGGGTGGGGGTGGAGAGTGCAGGCTGAGGGATGGATGGTGAAGGAAAGCCTGCAGTGGCAGAGGGGACCCTCCCCAGCAGTGGGGCTTCTTACAGACTGATTGACAGCTGAAGCCAGCCAGCCAGGCTGTAGGGAAGGCACCCAGGAGACGCCCTAAAGTGTGGCCTGGGCTGGGAGGGGCCCCCAGTGCCCATGATTGGTTCAGCCTCTGCTGCCCATGGCCCCTGTCACTGCCAATCCAGGAAGGAAGAGCAGGAAGGCAAACATACCCAACTGCGCAGTTTCTAGATCAGAACTTTGCAATTCTCCATAGTGGCAGAGAAAAAGAAGCCATCCTGCTAGTGCTTAGAGAACTTTAAAATGGGGGCATGGCATGGCAGCACACACAACTAACTTATATCACAGTGGCTTTTCCTTTCAATCACAGAGATGCGCTGACTCTTCCACACTCCCAGCAGCAGGGAAAGCAGGATTTAAATACAGCCTCCAGGGCGGGCGCCGTGGCTCACTCCTCTGTGTTCCAGCACTTTGGGAGGCCGAGGTGGGTGGATCACTTGAGGTCAGGAGTTTGAAACCAGCCTGGCCAGCATGGCAAAACCCCATCTCTACTAAAAATACAAAAATTAGGGGCCGGGCATTATGGCTCACGCCTGTAATCCCAGCACTTTGGGAGGCCAAGGCGGGTGGATCACGAGGTCAGGAGATCAAAACTATCCTGGCTAACACGGTGAAACCCTGTCTCTACTAAAAATACAAAAATTTAGCCGGGCGTGGTGGTGGGTGCCTGTAGTCCCAGCTACTTGGGAGGCTGAGGCAGGAGAATGGCGTGAACCCGGGAGGTGGAGGTTGCAGTGTTGCAGTGAGCCGAGATTGCGCCATTGCACTCCAGCCTGGCAACAGAGTGAGACTCTGTCTCAAAAAATAAATAAATAAATAAAAGCAGTCCCCGGAAAGGAGAGGGGGTACATGCTGCAGCAACTGATCAGCTCTGTGATCCAGGAATGGGGCAACCACAGGGCAGGAGTGAAGGGCGATTTTGTGTCTAAGAAACAACAGAAATCAGGAGGGTGGAGGAGAAGGAAGAGATCAAAAGGGAACAGGAGAGTTAAAGTAGATAAAAGACAAAGGTAAGAAAGAAAGGAAAAGAAGAGAGATGCCGGAGGTTGAATAAGAGAGGAGGTTGCCACAACACAGCCCCTGCCACTGCTGAAAAACAGCAACCTATTCAGAGAGCCTGTGCCACTTGGCCATTGTGGGATTCCAGAAGGGACTCATTAAGGCCTGTCACATGGGCTGCATTGTCTCCAGACAACAGTTCCGCCAGACAGTCCCACCACGGTCTGTGCAGCCAGGGCAGACTCTCCAGGTCTGCTGGACCCAGATCCTGGGGCTGGGTGGGGAGCTGCTCCCTCGATTGTTTCTGTCACCACAATGACAGCTCTAGGGAAGAATACCTCCCTTCCCTCCTGGCTGATCTGTTGTGAAATTCTGGGAGCCCATAGCCTGGGGTGGGTTCTATTAAAACTGCACACACAGCTTCTTTCATCTGTGTAGAGCACAGAGTCTCTGGACCTCAGAGTATAGAAGTGACATCTCACCTACGTTCATTGAAAGACATTGTTTTGAGACGGAGTCTCACTCTGTTGCCCAGGCTGGAGTGCAGTGGCAAGATCTTCAGCTCACTGCAACCTCTGCCTCCTGGGTTCAAGTGATTCTCCCACCTCAGCCTCCCGTGTAACTGGGACTACATGTGCACGCCACTATGCCTGGCTAATTTTTGTATTTTTAGTAGAGATAGGGTATCGCCATGTTGGTCAGGCTGGTCTGGAACTCCTGACCTCAAGTGATCCACCCCCACCCTCGGCCTCCCAAAGTGCTGGGATTACAGGCATGAGCCACCGTGTCGGCCCATTGAAAGACATTTACCTACGAGCGCTGCAAGGGTGAGGTGCGGTTCCTCCCCAGTGTGATTTATTGCCTCCAGTGCAAGAAGTGGGGGGTATCTCCCAGCTTTCTGCCTGTAGCACCCTGCTCAGACCTTCAAAGCTACAGGAAATCCCTAGAGGAAGCTTCTTGGGCACCTCAGAACACAGGAAAAATTGGAACAGCTAAACAAGAGGAATGATAACTTTCATTCCAGGTGTCAGGGATCACCTGCAGAGAGTACATCAGTCACCATTCTCTGAGGGTTATTACTATGCTGCAGCCTTGGGGAAATACCCAGTCCCTATCTATATTCTCTCATTGAGCCACCCTCATTGTATAGAAGTTCAAAGGGTGATTAGGTGATTTGCTCAGGTGTGATTCAAATCTTGAAATCTTTGGAGCTAGGAAGCTCCTCTGGAATCATCTATTAGTTCCCCAATGCTTGAATCCGTTTCCCTCCATAATGAAGCTTTCAAGAGTCTTTGATGAAATGAGACAAGTACGATCATGTAGTGGAGTTTTCCATATAGCTGAATTTCTTTAAAGGCCTCTCCTTAGTATTCTAAGATGATGTCTTATCTACTTTTTTTTTTGAGACGGAGTCTCACTCTGTTGCCCAGGCTGGAGTGTAGTAGCACGATCTCTGCTCACTGCAACCTCTGCCTTCTGGGTTCAAGCAATTCTCCTGCCTCAGCCTCTTGAGTAGCTGAGATTACAGGCACATGCCACCACACCTGGCTAATTTTTGTATTTTTAGTATAGACGGGGTTTCACCATGTTGGCTCAGGCTGATCTCAAACTCCTGACCTTGTGATCTGCCCACCTCAGCCTCCCAAAGTGCTGGAATTACAGGCGTGAGCCACTGCGCCCAGCCTCATCTACTTTTTTAGTATCAAAATGTGCTTTCTTTTTAAAACTGATAGTGATGGTGATATTTTTAAAATATTCTTTTTTGGCAGCATGAAAAGTTAGTCCCCCAAACTTTTAGTTAATTGGACTGGTCCAAAATTCAGGAAATCACTGATCAAATCCAACTCCTTCCTCACCTAGGTGAGAAAACTGAGGCCCAACCAGCTTGAAGTGTCATCCAAGGTCACTCCGCAGGTAAGCAGCCTCTGCCTGGCTGTGTCTATTTTCATTGTGTTCCCCATTCTGGGGATTTTGTGCCACTGGACCTGTGGAATGTGACGAACACTACCTGGTCCCTGGTAGTGGGATGATCTCCCTCTGTGCAATCTCCTCTCCCTGTGTCTGGTATTAAAGCATCAGTCCCTCCCTTCTACCCAGCTGCCACTGGCTCTCTGCATTTGCTCCTGCGCTTAGTGGGCACAGCGTCCCATGCCGGGCACACCACGGCTCCCCTTGTAAACCTGATGGCAGCCTGGCACTCGTCTTCGTGACAGCGGATTGCTGGCCTCCTCTGCGAGGTCATTCCTAAAACGCAGGCATGAAAGTCATCCCCAGCAGCAGTCCCCAGGTCTGACCCGCAAGACATGTGCTTTGTGCCAGGCACTGGCTCATAAATTTTGTATTGAAGTGGCTTAGCCTTGTGCTAACCTGATCTAAATTAAACTTTCTGAGGGAAACTACTGTTTCTTCTCTTTGTTCTGTAACTCTCCACCCCTTTGGTGGGTTATCTGTAACAATGGAGTGTGCTCTATTCTGAGTTCTCTGAAGGTTGGATGGCAGGAATAATATGGCAGATAAGTCAGGGGTGCAGGAGAGGGTGGAACTGGACTGCGGAGAAAGAAATTCTTGAGGCCAAATTTGAAAGGAGAGAGGAAAGCTCAGCCCTATGGACCCAGAGCTTAAAGATGTCCCATTCTTTAGTTCTGGGACAGGATTGCAATGGGAAGGTACTGCGTTCTGACCTCTGTAGGAGGAGGAAGGCCTTTGAAGCCCCCAGAAGTCAAAGAAAAGCTGATAGAGTGAAGAAGTTCCTTCCTGTTCTGGAACCTTCCCAGCTTCCTCTCTCTGGCAGAACCAGCTGAATTGGGGAGTGGATACGTCTAGCCTTCCAGCTCCAAGGGAAAAACAATGATCCTGATCCTCCCCCTCAGCCTTGTTACTGTCTGGGAGAACCACTGCCCGCCCCATGTTTACGTGTCCTAACCAACGAGGGTGGGGCTCAGACTAAAATAGGAGTTATACTTTGCCTTGGATGCATGCACACCCCTCCCTCCACAACACACACACACACACACACACACGAGCACAGAGCACTCCCTGCTCCGATGCCATGTTCCTGGCCAGCTCATAGGGCTCTCAGCCAGTTTGCAGATCAATGAAGGCTGAATAGATCATTCAGCTTGAAACAGGCCCATTCAGTCCTCTCTGCTGTAGCCAGTGCAGTCACCCTTCTCTGCTGAGATTCTGCTAGAAGGGAGCATTACTGTCTTCTGGAATAAAAGTGTTCACTGAAGGAAGGAAGAGAGGACCGCATTCGCGGGGAGAAGGAAGCACTAGTTCTCTTCCTGGAGAATTTCATTAGGGAGAAGCCCAAGGGCGGCCATCTGGCGGAATCCAGGGTTGGAAGCCTCTACTTCACCTGTCAATTGTCTGAATCAGAGAATAAGAAGGAAGTTGCCCCTGTCCCATTCCCTCCTGGCATATAAATCCTCTCTGAGAAGACTTGCTTATCCTGGGCTTTTTACTGAAGGATAGCAGTCTGGATTTACAGAAATAAAAAACAAATTGTTTGCATTCAGATAGCCATTGGGCAACAAGATGTGAAAATGGAGGCCTGTCACAGTGGCTCACCTATAATCCCAGCATTTTGGGAAGCTGAGGAAGGATCTCTTAAGGCCAGGAGTTCAAGACCAGCTTGGACAATATACTCTACAAAACTTTTAAAAATTAGGTGGGCGTGGTGGTGCATGCGTGTAGTCCTGGCTACTTGGGAGGCGAGGTGGGAGGATTACTTGAGCCCAGGAGTTGGAGGCTGCAGTGAGCTGTGATTGTGCCACCACACTCCAGCCTGGGTGACAGAATGAGGCCCTGTTTCTCTTTTAAAAAACATCCTGAAGTTGGGTGATTTAGTGAAGGTCGCTGCTGTGACTTAGCTTTGTAAGTTTGGACAGTTCCATAGCCTCTTTTTTTTGAGATAGAGTCTCGTCTGTTGCCCAGGCTGGAGTGCAGTGGCACAATCTCCTCTCACTGCAACCTCCACCTCCCGGGTTCAAGTGATTCTCCTGCCTCAGCCTCCTGAGTAGCTGGGATTACAGGTGACCGCCACTATGTCTAGCTAATTTTTGTATTGTTAGTAGAGATGGGGTTTCACCATGTTGGCCAGGCTGGTCTCGATCTCCTGACCTAGGTGATCCACTGGTCTCGGCCTCCCCAAATGCTGGGATTACAGACATTGCTATCACGCCCTGGCCCCATAGCCTCTTTGAGTGTCAGTTTCCACATCTGTAAAATGGAGGGAAAAAGTCATCTTACAGCTGGAACTAATGCAGAAGATTAATTAAGGAGGAGACATATGGGGGAGCTGGTGCTTGGCGGTCTTAACACGGCTCCTTCCCTACTGCTTCCAGCTGCCTACCTTCTCCTGAAACTTCCAAAAAGGCACGCGCCAGACTTCTGAAAAGGGAAAGGCGAGGAATTCATTCTCTCATTTCAAAAGCTGTATAGACTCCCTGTCACTGCGTCCTGTCCCCAGGTGGCTGAGTGAACCCTACCATCCTTGGAGTTCATTTGTCCAGCCACTCATCTGTTGAAAGGCAGCTCAGTGTGGTGGAGAGACGTGGGAATCAGAGTCCAGATTCTGGCCCACTGCTTACCTGTCACCTGGTCTCAGAAACAGCATCGACTCTTGGGACAGGAAGGGATCTTTGATGTCATGTCATCCAACCTCACACCTGAAGCTTGAATCTCACCACACACACACATACACGCCACCCCGAATTAAGTGGCTGTCCAGCTTCTATAGGGATGATTCATTACTCCCCAAATGCCTTGCCCTGTCTTTAGACCAGTCTGACTATGACAATGGTTTTCTTCCTATTCAGGTGAAATTTGTCTGCCTGGGGTTTCTTCCTATTCACCATCGTTCCATTCCTTAGGGCTATAAAGAAGGGCTATAAAGGGCTGTCTCCCATGATAGCCTTTCTTCATGTAAACCAGATGATTACATCTGCCTGAGTTTTCTCTGGCCCTTCATATGGCGATTTCAGTTTCTTTGTCATCCTGGTTATCCTCCTTTGCACTCACTTAAATATTGTGAGCCTTGGTTTCCTCATTTTATTTTATTTATTTTTTTGAGACAGGGTCTCCTTCTGTGGCCCAGGCTGGAGTGCAGTGGTGCGATCTTGGCTCACTGCCTCCTCTGCCTCCTCTGCCTCCTGGGCTGAAGCAGTTCTCCCACCTCAGCCTCCCAAGTACCTGGGACTACAGGCATGTACCACCATGCCCAGCAAGTTTTAAAATTTTTTGTAGCGACAGGGTCTCACTGTGTTGCCCAGGCTGGTCTTGAACTCCTGGGCTCAAGCAAGCCTCCCACCTTGGCCTCCCAAAGTGCTGGGATTATAGACATGAGCCACCACACCCAGCCAGTTTCTTCATTTTATAAACAGGAGTGGTTATTCCTGCCTTAAAACACTGCAGTGAGGATTTAACAATGAAAAGTGCCTTAGACCGAGGATGTGCTCTGCTAATATTTGATGATGAATGAGTAGCTGAAATAAGGATGTGGAGATGCTATGTACACCATAGTTTGCTCCCTGTACTGAATGCACAGACTGGGTGGCTAAAACTATAGACATTTATTGTCTCATGGGTCTGGAGGCTGGAAGTCCAAGATCAAGGTGCTGATGAGGTGGGTTCTTCTGAGCCTCTCTCTGGGCTTACAGAGGGACCCTTCTCCCTGCGTCTTCACATGGTTGTCCTTTGGTCTGTGTCCTAACATCCTCTTCTTATAAGGACACCAGTCCGATTGGATTAGGCCCACCCTAAAGACCTCATTTTAACTTCAGGCACCCCTTAAAAGACCTTGTCTCCACATATGGTTACATTCTGAGGTATTGGAGGATAAGGTTTTAACAAATAATTTTTTGGCCTGGCTCGGTGGCTCATGCCTGTAATCCCAGCACTTTGGGAGGCCAAGGCGGGTGGATCACGAGGTCAGGAGATCGAGACCATCCTGGCTAACATGGTGAAACCCCGTCTCTACTAAAAATACAAAAAAAAAAATTAGCCGGGCACGGTGGCGGGCATCTATAGTCCCAGCTACTCAGGAGGCTGAGGCAGGAGAATGGCGTGAACCCGGGAGGCAGAGCTTGCAGTGAGCCGAGATAGTGCCACTGCAGTCCGGCCTGGGCAAAAGAGCAAGACTCCATCCATCTCAAAAAAAAAAACAAATAATTTTTTTTTCTTTTGAGACGGAGCCTCGCTCTGTTGTCCAGGCTGGAATGCAGTGGCATGATCTCGGCTCACTGCAACCTCTGCCTCCTGGGTTCAAGGGATTCTCCTGCCTCAGCTTCCTGAGTAGCTGAGACCACAGGCATGTGCCACCATGCCCAGCTAATTTTTGTATTTTTAGTAAAGACGGGGTTTCACCATGTTGGCCAGGATGGTCTCGATCTCTTGACCTTGTGATCTGCCCGCCTCGGCCTCCCAAAGTGCTGGGATTACAGGCATGAGCCACCGCACCCAGCCACACAAATGAATGTTTGAGGAATGCAGTTCAGCTCATAACACTCACCAGTGTATTGTTAGCAGTTTTATTTATTGTGACACTGTTCAGAGATGATATTTGTGTGTAAAGTGGTAGGCCCTTTGTATATGAGAAATGAGTTATTGCAGGCCCACTTTAATAAATAAATATTTTGGACAGGTAATATATTTACATGGTTCAGAATTCAAAAGGTCATAGAAAAGGAAACACAAATGGCCAATAAACAGAAGAAGATGCTCCCAATGTTAGCAGTAACCAAAAAAATGTGAATGAAGCTCCTAAGATCGCACCATTTTACACCCACTGGTTTGGCAAAAAATTTAAAGACTGTTCGTATCAAGCATTGATGAAAGTGATAAACAAAAAAAACCCCTTCATGCTGCTTGAGAGGATTGGTACAACCACGTTGGAAGCCATTTGGCAAAAGCTGGGAGTCTGTCTACCCGCTGGCCCAGTAGTTCCACTGCCAGGAGCCAACCCTGGAGAACTCTTGCATGAGTGCAGCAAGAGGCAGATACATGAATGTTCATAGCCACATAGATGGGAAAGAACTCATTGTGGATCACCAGGAAAAGGGATCAAGAAAGTGGGTATATGCACTCAATGGAATGTTAGTTAACAATGAAAATACATGAATAAAAGTTGCCAGGCCAGGTGCAGTAGCTTACGCCTGTAATCCCACCACTTTGGGAGGCAGAGGCGGGCAGATTGCTTGAGTTCAGCAGTTGGAGACCAGTCTGAGCAACATAGTGAAACCCTGTCTCTAATAAAAATACAACAATTAGCTGGCCGGCTGGGCGTGGTGGCTCATGCCTGTAATCCCAGCACATTGGGAGGCCGAAGCGGGAGGATCACCTGAGGCCAGGAGTTCGATTCCATCCTGGCCAACATGGTGAAACCCTGTCTCTAATAAAAATAAAAAAATTAGCCAGGCATGGTGGCACATGCCTGTAATCCCACCTATTCGGGAGGCTGAGGCAGGAGAACTGCTTGAACCCAGGAAGTGGAGGTTGCAGTGAGCCGAGATCACACCACTGCACTCCAGCCTGGGCAACAGGGTGAGACTCCATCTCAAAAAAAAAAAAAAAAAGCCGGGCATGATGGTGCATGCTTGTAGTCCCAGCTATTTGGGAGGCTGAGGCAGGAGGATTGCTTGAGCCCAGGAGGTGGAGGCTGCAGTGAGCCAATATCGTGCCATTGCACTCCAGCCTGGACAACAGAGTAAGACAGAGTTACCAGCATCAGCATGGATGATATTAGAAACTATGGTGAGAGCAACTAGCAAGTCACAGTAAGATACAAACAGTGTGATACCATTTTTACAAAGTTGAAAGCAAGTAAAGTGAAATGATATATTACTTAGGAATATATACATTTGTGATAAACTACAAGAAAGCATGAAAATAGGACTGAGGCCAGTGTTTCCCTCTGTGGAAGCAGGGAGGGGCTGCAGGAAGATTCAGCACCATTGGTGAGGTTCCATTTCTTAAGATGGGAGGCTGGTGGCTCCATGGGGAAGAAGTATTTCTTATTATACCTCAAGATAAACATTCATTTTAATTAAGCTTCGTATACATCAAATAATTTATTATTTTTTAAGTTTTAAAAGCTGTAAAGGCATATAATGAAAATCTCCAAAGGCAACTGATATTTTCAGATGTTGGTGTTCATTCAGAGATAATGTATAGTTACGAAGATAATTTAGACTTATATCATTCCAAGATAAGTTAAACTTGACAGCAAGAACATACATACCTATGCATGTACATATTTATGTGTAGATATCATGTGTGTGTGTGTGTGCGTGTGTGTGTGTGTGTGTGTGTTCTACCCCCCTTCCTTTTTCGACAAATAGTAGCATTTCTGCAGGCCCCTTTTAAACAACACTAACCTCAGATAACCAAAGATCAGGGTAAGTAGAAAGTCTGAGGAAGAAAAATGGGCCAGGTGTGGTGGCTCATGCCTGTAATCCCAGCACTTTGGGAAGCTGAAGTTGGGGAGGCTTGCTTGAGCTGAGGAGTTCAAGACCAGGAGTTCAAGACCAGCAGTTCAAGACTAGCCTGGGCAACAGAGCGAGACCCCATCTCTACAAAAAATTAAAAAACTAGCCAGGCGTAGTGGTGTGCACCTGTATTCTCAGCTCCTCAGAAGGCTGAGGTGGGAGGATCACTTGAGCCCAGGAGTTTGAGGCTGCAGTGAGCCGTGATCATACCACTGCACTCTAGTCTGGGAGACAGAGCGAGACTCTGCCACGAAAAATAAGTAAATAAATAAATTGACTTTTCTATTTCTTTCATAGCTTAGATGAAAAAAATCAAAGATAGAATTGTTGCTCATGGATAGAGAGAATTCTGGGAAGCAGGAATCCAGTTAGCTAGCTGAAGCTGGTGAGACATGGAATTTGGATTTGTTTAAAGCACTGGAAATGAGAGTCCAGCCATCTCCTCATCAGACCCAAGCAAAGGGCAGAGGCATGAGATTCTCCCTTCTTGATAATGAGACCCCCTGAGTTACAAATGTCTCCGATGAACCACACAGATGTGAAAAAGCAAAGAGAGGGGACACTTGCCACCAAATGAAAGCAGGAGGCGAATACATGAGGAGATGAAAAAGTATTAACATCAAATGTACGTCAAGCTCCAGACCGGAATCGGGGCAGACTGGGGAGCTGTCGGGTGCGGGAAGGGAAGTGGGGAGCCAGGATGGGCCTAGCAACTGGGAGGAGGGGACAAGGCCATGTGCCCGCAGGGGTGGAAGGTGGGTGCATGACATCCAGGGAAGTACGAGGTTCAGACCGGGCAAATCACAGAAGCTGCCAGTCGCTTAGTTGATCTGGGAAGACTTCCCAGAGGAGACGGGCTTTCAGGAGCAGCTTGGATGAGGGAGAGTAACAGGTTGGTGAACAGATTGAAGCCGGGAGTTCCAGGCATACTGCCGATCCACACTGGCAGAGCGCCCAAGGAACACTTGGTTATCATCTTTCTGTTGTGTCTTTCACTCTTTTGTATTTCCTTAAAGATCCTAGAATCTGGCATGGGTGTTTGGTTATATGATAAGCTGGCAGGGAGCGGGTGTGTACTAAAATGCAAATGATGGCTGTTGGGTTCTCGGTGAGGGAGGCGAGAGGAAGGTGTTTAGCGCCAGGAGAATCGGCCCTGCCAGACATGGAAGCCGTGTGGCATGAGCCACGGAGCCCTGTGAGAGAATTGGGGGCCCTGGGCTGTTGCCCCAGCTCAGATACTGACTTGTTCTGGGACAAGGGAGGTCACAACATCACATGCTCTAGCTTTTCTCAAGGACCACATGGGCGTGTTGGGCTCAATGACCTGTAAGACTTCCCAATCTAAGCAACTCAGTCATTGACAGCCAAAAGAAACAAAGTCTCCCAGTTCAATGGAACTGAATATCTCAACAGCCTCAAAGCTTCACAGTGTAAACACCCTTTAGAGTCATGCCTGCCAAGCACTTCACACAGGTCTTTCCCACACAGCGTTTCATCTGTATCTCATAATAACCCATGAGGCAGGTAGGGCAGGGATAGGATTAGCCCCATTCTACAAATGGGGACACAGAGAGACAGACTGATTGTTCAAGGTCCCAGTGCTGGACGCTGGCTAAGCTGAGCTAGACCCCTGAGGCCCTGCCCTCCCTGCCAACTCCCACTTGGATGTTAAGTGGTGTTCAGAGCACGCCCAATGCTGGCTCTGGGAGGAGGGCCTGAAGCACTGATGCCAGATCTACTCTCCCAGCCTCAACTTCAAGGCCATAGTGAGCAGCTTTCACCTGAGTGCCACCCAGCCACAGTTCCCTGCCCCACCCTGCACACCTCTGCTGCACAGGGGCTGGGTCAAAACATACCCTTTATTTCCATAAAGACCTGCCCTGGGGCCGGTGAGGTGGCTCACAGCTGTAATCCCAGCGCTTTGGGAGGCAGGAGAATTGCTTGAGGCCAGGAGTTCAAGACCAGCCTGGGCAATATAATAAGACACTGTGTCTACAAAAAAATTTAAAAATTACTGGGCGTGGTGGTACACGCCTGTGGTCCTGGTGCTGGGAAGGCTGAGGCAGGTGGATTGCTTGAGCCTGGGGGTCAAGGCTGCAATGAGCTACGACTGTGCCACTGCACTCCAGCCTGGGCGACACAGTGAGATCCTGGCTCTAAAAAGTGAAAAAAGAAAGACCTGCTGTGGGCTGGCACTCAGACCCCAGAGGTCTGATCCTCTGGGCTCCTGAAGCAGTGGGACAGCCTGCCTGGGCTCTAGTGTGAGGGGAGTGTCCTTGCTTTTGTCTCAGCCTGACTTCCTGTCTAGACATCTCGAATGGTCCCCTGAATTTAGCGTGCCGCATTTGCCTGCCAGCTCTGTCCAACCCACACAGGCCAGTGCCCAGCAGCTGCTGCCGCCCCCTCACCAGGCTGAGTCCTAAGAGGAGGGGCTGGCAAGGGAGGGTCGAGCCTAGAAAATTGTATAATGAAGGTACCCATCAAGATGACAACACTCTTAGAGGCAGCTCAACATCCTAGAATCCTGTCCTTTTCAGAACTCATGCAGGCGCTCGCTCTCTCCCCCACACCTGGAAGGATGGGTTGTCAAGGCAACTTCTTGAAGGCACCAGCATCCACAGTGCCATCGGTCCCCAAGGACCCACTGAAGCCGGCTGTGGAGGAAGGAGGCCGTCCCTCGGGTTGGCTCTGGAGAGACATGAAGAGTCTAGTCCTCTGGAATATCCAATCCCAAGCTAAGACCCTCCCTCCTGGACCCATCTTAGTGGGAGGCCAAATCTTCCGCAAGACGCGAAGCTGAAACATCGGACCCAGCCCTGGTGCAGTGAGACCAGAACCTTTTTTTATTTAATTAATTAATTTATTTAGGAGATGGGGGTCTCGCTTTGTCACCCAGGCTGGAGCGCAGTGGCACAATCATAGCTCACTGCAGCCTCGACCTCCCAGGCTCAAGGGAATCCCTCTGCCTCAGCCTCCAGAGCATCTGGGACCACAACCACGAGCCACCACACCTGGCTAATTTTTAAATTTGCTGTAGAGGCGGGTCGCAGTGGCTCTCACCTGCAGTTCCAGAACTTTGGGAGGCTGAGGTGGGCGGATCACTTGAGCCTGGGAGTTCAAGACCAGCCTGGGCAACATGGTGAAACCCCATCTCTACCAAAAAATACAAAAACTAGCCAGGCATGGTGGCATGTACCTGTAGTCCCAGCTACTGAAGAAGCTGAGGAAGCATGAGAATGGCTTGAGCCCAGGAGGGTGAGTTGGCAGTGAGCCAAGATCATGTCACTGCACTCCAGCCTGTGCAACAGAGTGAGACCATGTCTCAAAAATAAAAACCATGCCTGGCGCGGTGGCTCACGTCTGTAATCCCAGCACTTTGGGAGGCTGAGGTGGGCGGATCACAAGGTCAGGAGATCGAAACCATCTTGTCTAACATGGTGAAACCCCGTCTCTACTAAAAATACAAAAATATTAGCCGGGCGTGGTGGCGGGCGCCTGTAGTCCCAGCTACTCAGGAGGCTGAGGCAGGAGAATGGAGTGAACTCGGGAGGCGGAGCTTGCAGTGAGCCGAGATGGCGCCACTGCACTCCAGCCTGGGTGACAGAGCGAGACTCCGTCTCAAAATAAATAAATAAATAAATAAAAATAAAAATCAATAAATCAATAAATTTGTTGTAGACACAGGGTCTTGCTATGTTGCCCAGGCTGGTCTTGGACTCCTGGCCTCACACCTGTAGTCCCACCACTTTGGGACTGTAGAACGTGCCCGTCCTTCTGAGCCTGTTTTCTGAAAACCTTCCATGCTTCCCCAAAGCACAGCTTTACCCCTGAGCCCTAGCTCCTCAGTTTCCCTAGACTCATGGCGTAGGGAACAGAGGTTCTTCTCGCTCCTACTTGCCCAGGGAAAAGCAGTGGTTTCAGCTCTGTGGGCCCTATCATGGTTCTGAGTGACTTGAAATCAAGTTGAGAAGAACAGACAAAGCCCAGTTGGGGGATGTTCTGCAAAATACCTGACTCCTCAAAATTGCCAAGGTCATTAAAAACAAGAAAAGTCAGAGAGACTGTCACAGCCAAGAGGACCCTATGGGCACATAGAATATGCCCAGCAACCATGTGATGGGACAGGATGAGCACTGGATTGGGAGTCTATTATTAACATTAACAATCCCAGCATTTTTGAAGGCTGAGGTGGGAAGATCACTTGAGGCCAGGAGCTCAAGACCAGCCTGGGTGACATAGCAAGACCCCATCCCTACAAAAAAATTTTTTTAATTAGCTTGGCATGGTGCCACCCTCTTGTAGTCCTGACTACTCAGGAAGCTGAGGTGGGAGGATCCCTTGAGCCCAGGACTTTGAGGCTGTAGTGAACTATGATCACGCCGCTGTACTTCAGCCTGGGCAACAGAGGGAGACCCTGTCTCAAAACCAAAAAAACAAAACGAAACAAAAACCCTTGTAATGACTAACATTGACAGAATGCCCTTATTGTTTAAAAGCACAATTACTAGACTGGGCACTGTGGCTCATGCCTGTAATCCCAGAATTTTGGGAGGCCGAGGTGGGTGGATCATTTGAGGTCAGGAGTTTGAGACCAGCCTGACCAACATGGTGAAACCCCGTCTCTACTAAAAATACAAAAAAATTAGCTGGGCGTGGTGGCCCACACATGTAATCCCACCTACTTGGGAGGCTGAGGCAGGAGAATTGCTTGAACCTGGCAAGCAGAGGCTGCAGTGAGCCCAGATTGTGCCACTGCACTCCAGCCTGGGTGACAGAGTAAGACTCCGTCTAAAAAAAAAAAAAAAAAGCACAATTATTTTGAATAAAAATGTTCTTTTAGAACCATTTAGATTTACAGAAAAATTGCAAAAACACTACAGAGTTCCCATCTACTTGCACCATTTCCTCTATTATCAACATCTTACATGAATAGATACATTTGTTACAATTAGTGAACCAATGTAGATATACTGTTATTAACTAAAGCCCATATTTTATTCAGCTATCCTTAGTTTTTACTTAGTCCTTTTTTTCTGAATGCAGGATCCCATATTACATTTAGTTGTCATGTCCCCTCAGGCTCCTCTTGGCTGTGACAGTTTCTCTGGCTTTCCTTGTTTTTGATGAATTTGACAGTTTTGAGGCATATTGGTTGAGTATGTCTGATGTGTTTCTCATGATTTGACTGGAGTTATGGGTTTGGAGAGAAGAACTGCAGGCATCAAGGGCCATTTTCAGCCCATCATACCAAGACTACATACTGTCAACATAACTTGTCACTGTTGATGTGGACCTGGGTCTCCTGGCTGGGGTATAGTAATTGTTAGGATTCTCCACTGTAAAGTTATTTCAGAGCATAATTTTTTTTTTTTTTGAGTCAGAGTCTCACTCTGTCACCCAGGCTGGAGTGCAATGGAGTGACCTCGGCTCACTGCAACCTCCGCCTCCCAGGTTCAAGCAATTCTCCTGCCTCAGCCTCCCGAGTAGCTGGGATTACGGGTGCATGCCACCATGCCCGGCTAATTTTTGTATTCTTAGTAGAGATGGGGTTTCACCATATTGGCCAGGCTGGTCTCAAACTCCTGACCTCTTGATCAGCCTGCCTCAGACTCCCAAAATGCTGGGATTACAGGCATGAGCCACCGCGCCTGGCCTGATTTTGTTTTGTTTTAGCTTCAGGGGTATAAGTGGTTTAGGTTACATGGATAAATTGTATAGCGGTGAAGTCTGGGCTTTGAGTGCACCCATCAACCAAATAGTGTACGGTGTACCTGACTGATAGGTGATTTTCTTTCTTTCTTTCTTTTTTTTTTTTCTTTTTGAGATGGAGTCTTGCTCTGTTGCCCAGGCTGGAGTGCAGTGGCGCGATCTTGGCTCACTGCAAGCTCCGCCTCCCGGGTTCATGCCATTCTCCTGCCTCAGCCTCCCAGGTGGCTGGGACCACAGGTGCCCGCCACCACGCCCGGCTAATTTTTTGTATTTTTAGTAGAGACGGGGTTTCACCGTGTTAGTCAGGATGGTCTCGATCTCCCGACCTTGTGATCCGCCCACCTCGGGCTCCCAAAGTGCTGGGATTACAAGCATTAGCCACCGCATCCGGCCGATAGGTGATTTTTCAATCCCTCGACCCCTCTCTGCTTCTGGGTCTCCAATATGCATGATACCACTGCGTATGCCTTCGCATATCCCTAGCTTAGATCCCACTTATAAGTGAGAGCATGAGGTATTTTGGTTATCCGTTCCTGAGTTACTCCACTTAGGATAATGGCCTTCAGTTCCATCCAAGTTGTTGCATAAGACATGATTTTGTTCTTTTTTTAATGGCTGAATAGTATTCCATTGTGTATATATACCACATTTTCTTTATCTACTCATCTGTTGATGAGCACTTAGGTTGATTCCATTTCTTTGCAAAGCACATTTTCTTTTTTGTTTTTTTGAGACAGGGTCTTTCTCTGTCACCAAGTGGTGCAAACATGGCTCAATGCAGCCTCAACCTCCCAGGCTCAAGCAGTCCTCCCACCTCAGCCCCCCAAGTACCTGGGACTACAGGTGCACACCACCATGCCTGGCTAATTTTTGTATTTTTTTTTAAATAGAGACGGGGTCTTCCTATGTTGCCCAGGTTGGCCTTGAACTTCTGAGCTCAAGTGATCCACCTGCCTCAGCTTCCCAAAGTGCTGGCATTAGAAAGCACACTTTTAAATGTGTGATTTGCTTTCATCTCATTGAAGTATCTTTGGAACTTTGTGCTTCCACTTATAATCTCTAGCTCCTGGCTGTAAAAGCAAAACAAAGACCAACAGCTCTGAGGTTCTGGTTCCTAGGTTCTACATTGCACTCTGTTACTCACTCTGACCTACAGAGTAAAGGCAGCAGCCACAGGGCTACCCAGGGTAGGATTCCAACCTTCCCTGGAAATGAGAGACTCACAGAACTGGGAGTGGGCTGGATGTGGGCTCCTACTTTTCTGTAATGTCTGTGCCAGGCATTATAAGGGATGACCAGGTCTAAGCCATAATCAATAAAATGTAGTGTGGGAGACCAGCTGTAAGCCAATGAATGGTGAGGGATACATTCAGGCTGTCCTTTCCAGCCCATCATGAACACCACCTCCTCCACGCAGCCTTTCCTCATGGTCCTATCTGGGTGTTTTCTCTTCCTCCTCTGAACACTTCTTTTTTTATTTTATTTTATTTTTTATTTTATTATTATTATAATTTAAGTTTTAGGGTACATGTGCACAATGTGCAGGTTTGTTACGTATGTATACATGTGCCATGTTGGTGTGCTGCACCCGTTAACTCGTCATTTAGCATTAGGTATCCTCCTCTGAACACTTCTAATACTCTGTGTTGACATATGGCATGTACCTCACTGAGGCTGCTAGTAGTTTCAATGACTTGCCCTGGTAGACAGAGATTCTGCCATTTATATCAGGGAGTTATCATAAAAAGTCATTAACTATGGGCTGACTAGGTCTAAATCTGAGATCATGAGAAATTACACTCTTAGAGGCAATAGATATGCTGGGCTCTGAGAAGGGGAGATCTTGGGTGGCTTCCTGGAAGAGGTGAACGTGGAAGCATGGCTGAAGGATAGGTGGAGGTCTTTCTTCTTCCTCAGATGAGGCAATAGTGAGTTCAACACCAGGTCCAACCTCAGTGCAACCCAGGGACTAGACCCTTAATACCCAATTCTTCAAGGTTGGCTCTTCTCTCCACAACTTCCATAATCCTACCTTAAGTCTCAGTTCATGGCAATCTCTCCACCTGGAATGCTCTTGCCTTCTCCTCTTTCCCTCATCAATCCAGCCCACAGTGACGTTGTCCTCCTCTGACCACCCAGACTAGCACTTAGGGTTTGCAAGCCCTTGTGTGGCAGGTCATAAACTACCCTGGGTTAGGCGTTCTCGCGTGGGAATGGGTCTGGGTCTCCTGGGCTCCCCGGCTCAGCCCTGGCCCCTGCAGGTGCTCAGTCAGCAGTGGCTAATGGGATTCCCTCTCCACAGTCTGTCTTCATGGGCTGAAGCCTCCTGTGACCTGTGTTTATCGTACCTCCAGAGCCTACGGGAGCCTTCCTGTCAGGCTGCTCGTCCTGAATGCCCAGCGGCGTCTCCATGGTGGGAAGATGCTGCGGAAGAGAACACGACTCCCACCTTCACATCGACAAGGAACTTTATCATTGCTCCAAAAACGCCCACACAGTCTGTATCCTAGCGACTCTGGAGAGCTCCTCCCAGCCTCTCATGAATGAGGAGCAGCTCGCTCTGCAGCGGTCTCTGAGACAACACTGGTGTGTGAGTGTGTGTGTGTATGAGAGTGACTATATGAGTGTGTGCGAGAGTGTGTATGTGACTGTATGTGTATGTGTGTGAGAGTGTGTGTGATTGTGTGAGGGTGTGTGTGAGTGTATGTGATTGTGTGTGTGTATGTATGTGTGTGTGAGGGTGTAATAGTGTGAGTGTAGTCGTGTGTTTGTGAATGCATGTGAGAGTGTATATGTGCGTGTGAGAGTGTGTGATAGTGTGTGTATATGTGGGTGTACTTGTGAGTGTGAGTGATAGTGTGAGTGTGTGAGTGTGTATCCGTGTATGTGTGTGTCAGTGTGTGAGTGTGATAGTATGCATGAGTGTATATGAGTGTGAGTGTATGTAAGAGTGTGTGTGATTGTATGTGTGAATGGTAGTGTGAATGTGTGTGAGTGTATGTGACAATGTATACGTGTGACTGAGTGCGAATGTGTGATTGTGTATGTGTGTGTTTATGTGAGAGTGTGTATATGTGTGAGGGTGAGGGTGTGTGATAGTGTGTGTATGTGTGTGATAGTGTGTGACTTTGTGACCGTGTGTGAGGGTGTGAGTGTGTGTGTGTGTGTGAGAATGATAGTGTGAGTATGAGTGTATGTGAGTGTATATGTGAGTGTGAGTGAGGTTGTGTGTTACATGCATGGTATGTGTGGGTGTGAGTGTGTATGTGGGTATAGGCCTGTGTGTTCTGTGTGTGTGAGAGTGTGTGAAGGGGTGTGTGTGTGTGGTATGTATGTGACTGTGGGTGCGAGTGTGCACGTATGTGTCTAAACCTGTGTGTGCTGTGTGTGGGGGTATATGGGTGTGTGTGAGTGTACATGAGGGAGGGTATGTGTGTGCATTGTAGGTATGTGAGTGAGGGTGTATGTGACTGGACGAGTGTGCTGTGTGTGAGTGGGGGTTTAGATTGGGCATATGTGAACCTGTGTGGGAGGTGTGAGTTTGTGCAGGAGTACAGAGACACGGGTTGCATGTGGATGTGTGGGGGTGTGTGTGTGCAAGTAGGTGTGTGGGAGGGAGGAAACGTGCCCCAGCCTGATCCTGTGAGAACACTCAGGACTGTATCTACTCCCGTGGGTGGAAGACAGCGTGGTCCTGGGACCGTCCCTGATGCGAGCGCTCACTCCCTTTTCCCTCCCAGCCCACACCTCTCCCTCCTACCGCCAGAGAATCTCCACACTCCAGGGCACCTTTACAAGAGGTCAAGTCGTCCAGCACCCACTGGAGATGGTCCCCACCGTGCAGACCAGTCTCCTTCTTCCCACTCCGGCCCTGCCCGCTTCCAGCAAGGGCAGGAAACCTCAAAGATGCTGGAAAGTGGTTTCCCGCTCCACTCAGGCCACGTGCCAAACCTCTGGAGTCCCCTGGACCCCATAGCCAAGGGAGATGAATTTGCCATTAGACACCAAAGGATAAGAAACTGCTGACACAGGCCCAAGGCTGTCTCGTCCCTGCTGGGGTGATGGATGATGAGTTTTCAAGCGAACTCTAATAGGAAGTCCATGCATAATACATCATTAGGGGAGCAAATTCCAATTTGCATCCCATTAGGCCTCTGAAGGCTGGGAGGCCCAGCCATGCAGCCCAAGCCTTCCCTCAGGACTCAGAGCAGGGAGGCGCCCGTGCCATCAGAGGCTGACCTGCCGGGCGCAGCGCCCGACTGTAGGATGTGTGTGCGGTCAAGGGTGGGGCTGTGTTCTCCCAGCACTGTCCCCTGGTACAGTTTCAAGAGCACCTGGCTTGACTCTAAGCTGCTCTGGTCCTGTCCACTGCCTCCACAGCTCTTGTTTTTTGTTGTTGTTGGCTTTTTTTTTGAGTCAGGGTCTCACTCTGTGGCCCAGGCTGGAGTGCTGTGGTGCGATCATGGCTCACTGCAACCTCAAACTCCCGGGCTCCATCAATCCTCCCACCTCAGCCTCCAGAGTAGCTGGGACTGCAGGCATGCATCATAATACCCAGCTAATTTTTTTTTTATTTTTAGTAGAAACGAGGTCTCACTATGTTGCGCAGGTTGGTCTTGAACTCCTGAACTCATGCAATACACCCACCTCCATCTCTCAAAGTGCTGGGTCTACTGGAGTGAGCCACCGCACCAGTCCCAGCGCCACAGCTCTTCACAAGCAGGATGGAAGGAAATCTCCAGCTTCCTGGGGCTGCTGCCATTTATAGTCACTGCCGTGCTGAAAGTCAAGTATAGGGAGCAGAATAATGTGTGCCTCAGTTTCCAAAGACCTAAATGGGGGGGGCCAAAGAGAAGGGCCCCCCTGGCAAGGACTGGGAGCCATAGGGCAGTGGAGAGTGCCAAGCCAGGGACCTGCAACCTGAGCTCATTCCCTGCTCTGCCACTCACTGCACTAACCTCCTTTCTATCCTCTGCACTCAACCTCTCTGAGCCTCAGTTTTCTTATCTGTGAAAGAGGGATGGTCACCTGCCCTGCAGAGCTTTTCTGAGTATGGGAAAGTGCACTTGAGACTTTATGGTGTTGCGATGCTTTGGAGGGTGCTCTGCAGACCCTGAGATGGGATTGGGTGGGAGGTGGAGGTTGGGTGTGAGACTGATGTTTGGGGTGGGCAGGGTAAGGGGAAGATGGAGTAGAGTTTCTGGTCCTGGAGCCCAGCATTCTGTCTTCTGCTTCCTGCCTTAGGAGAGGCTTCAGTCTTCCTCTGAAGGCTGCAGGGCGGGTTAGGCGCATGGCAGTGGGGCGCTGAGAAGTCAGGGCTTAGTCTGAGAGTGTAGTGTGGTTTTCCTTTCAGGGGCAGAGCCTGTCTGGGGAGGAGGCGCCTGAGCAGGGGGTCAGTACAGCTAAACTGGAGCTTGTGATATTTTAAAAGCATTCTGGAAAAACTGGGAGAGGAGCCAGGCTTGGGTGGTTGGCGGGGCATGAAATCTGGTCAAAGATTGCCCAGTAGAGGAAGGGCCCAGCTCTGAGGCTGTATAGCAGAGTGGGCAATTCTCTCTGACAGTGATCAGGGATGGCTGGTATTTCTCCCCAGATCCCCTAAAAATGCTTTAGAGGCTTGGGCCATAGGCCACACCCATTGGCCTTTAAAGAAGTCTCCCTCTTTTTTAAAAAATTATTATTTTATTTTTAATTTTTTAGAGACAGGGTCTTGCTCTGTCTCCTAAACTGGAGTGCAGTAGCACAATCATAGCTTACTGCAGTCTCGAACTCCTTGGCTCAAACCATCTTCCCACCTCGGCCTCCAGAGTAGCTGGGAAGAGGTGCAGAGTACCTGTAGAGGTGCGAGCCACCATGCCCAGCTAATATTCTAATTTTCATAGAGATGGGGTCTTGCTATGTTGCCCAGGCTGGTCTCAAACTCCTGGCCTTAAGCAAGCAATCCTCCCACCTTAGACTTTGTAGTATCCTCCTGGTTCTCAACTGGGACAGGGATGTGTTTGTGGGGGCAGGGGTCTCTGCGACAGAGCCTGTCTGTGAGCCCCACCCAGATCCTGTCTGACCTCTGCCCTGCCAGCTGCTGGCCCTACCTCACGTGTTCTGCAGCCCACCAAGGACGGATTGATCGGCACTCCCTAGACCCAAACTCTTAAATTATTTCCCATGGTTCATGGAGAGGTGCAGGGCTGTGGTCAGGTGAGTCAGGGGCCAGGACAGAATCATCCTGGCGAGATGTACCTTCCCCTGGTGATGTGGCAGGGCAGGGTGCGGAGGGAGCAGGGAGGGCCTCCCAGGTCTCAGATGCATGCAGATGGCACACTTTACATGGAAGTTTTGCAATTGTCTAACAGCTTAGGGTTGCGAAATACTTTCCAGTTTTTCCTCTCAATTATTGGGGTGACACAGGGGAAAGCCTGTGACGTGTTGGAGGGTATCATTTGGATAATATACCTTGACCTGTAGGGATGTGTCCATGAGGGAATGAATGTCCCAGTGTTGCTCCAGCGATACCCCTGGCCACAAAGACACGCCTGAAATTGCTGAGGGCTTAAGGCACTGGAAGGCCTGACTGTGCTTTAGTTTTCTCTCTTGTCAAATGCTAGCTCAACTAGTCCCACAGTTTTCTTGTGGGTAGTAAAATGAGAGCATAGAAACAAAAATATGCAGTGAGACATGATCACGCCACTGCACTGCAACCTGGGCAACAGAGTGAGACCCCTGACTCTAAGAGAAAAAAAGAAACTGAAAAAAAAGTTTAATAAAAGTGCAATAGTGCTTTGAAAATACTATCGATACCGTGAAACTTTAAGGTATAATGTGATTGTGTTTGTGTAACTTGTAACAGTCCTTGCGGGATTAATAGCTAACAATGTGGAAATAATCTGTTGTTGGGACAGGAATGTCATGCTGATATGGCAAGTGTCTAACTGTACTGCCTTTTGAATGGATGCCAAAGTGTGCTAAGTTCTGATACCTGAAAGATGGGCAGTGAGTGTCTGGAAACCTCTCCAGCTCCCAAAGGGATAGCAGATTTTACTATAAGAGTTTCTCAGTTTCCATAGTTACTCTAGGACTGTTCTGCTGGGGACACGCATTGTTTTATTAAAAAAAAAATAATAAGTTCTGTGATTTTCTATCAAGACTTTTGTGTTTCTGTTGATAACTTCCGGAGTAATTATTCATATTCTCCAACAGACAGACTGTTTGCTCAGTGGAACAGGATTTGTTGATCTACTGTTACAACTCAATCCCAGCACATTTTGTGGTGGTGATTTTCCAAAGCATTCTTCAGGTTGTGCTACCATATTGCACGAATCCATTTATCAGCCCATATTTGAGGGCTAACTACTGCTGTGTCATCATTACATACCTGTTTGCAGGATCTGTGGGAGACAGGGTGGCACGTCCCCCAATTATACCTCCAGTCATTTCGTCAGTTGGTTGTTACCGAGCATGTTCTTTTCTTTTCTTTTCTTTTCTTTTTCCTTTCCTTTCCTTTTCCTTTCTTTTCTTTTCTCTTCTCTTTTCTTCTTTCTTTCTTTCTTTCGTTCGTTCTTTCTCTCTTTCGTTCTTTCTTTCTTTCTTTCGTTCTTTCTCTCTTTCTTTTTGAGATGGAGTCTCACTCTGTTGTCCAGGCTGGAGTGCAGTGGTATGATCTTGGCTCACTGCAACCTCTGCTGCCTGGGTTCAAGCAATTCTCCTGCCTCATCCTCCTGAGTAGCTGGGATTACAGGCGCCTGCTACTGCGCCCAGCTAATTTTTTTTTTTTTTTGTATTTTTAGTAGAGATGGGGTTTCACCATCTTGGCCAGGCTGGTTTTGAACTCCTGACCTTGTGATCCACCTGCCTCGGCCCCCCAAAGTGCTGGGATTACAGGCATGAGCCACCGCGCCCGGCTCCTCTTCTCTTCTCTTCTCCTCTCTTCTCTTCTCCTCTCTTCTCTTCCCCTCTTCTCCTCTCTTCTCTTCTCCCCTCCTCTCCCCTCCCCTCCCCTTCCCTCCCCTTCCCTTCCCCTCTCTTCTCCTCTCTTCTCTTCTCCCCTCCTCTCCCCTCCCCTCCCCTCCCCTTCCCTCCCCTTCCCTTCCCTTCCGTTCCCTTCCCTTTCTTTCTTTTCTTTCCTTCTTTTTTCTTTTTTTTTTTTGAGACGGAGTTTTGCTCTTGTTGCCCATTCTGGAGTGCAACGGTGCGATCTCGGCTCACTGCAACCTCCGCCTCCCGGGTTCAAGCAATTCTCCTGTCTCAGCCTCCCAAGTAGCTGGGATTACAAATGCCTGCCACCACGCCCTGCTAATTTTTTGTATTTTTAGTAGAGACAGGGTTTTTCCATGTTGTGCAGGCTGGTCTCAAATTCCTGACCTCAGGTGATCTGCCTGCCTCAGCCTCCCAAAGTTTTGGGATTACAGGTGTGAGCCACTGCACCGGCCATTTCTTATGTGCCTGTCATAATGTTTAGTGGTGAATGCATGATCCTGAGTCCCCTAAGCAACTGTGTAGTCCTGACCAAACATCGTACTTTATTTCAGTCACAAGCTAGACCTTGCTTTATCCGTATGATTTTACCTAATAGGTATCTGCTTTAATAGGTACCTGAAGGTTTTTTTTAGTTGTCTTATTTACATTTGCTCCAGGGGCTTTTTTTCCCCCTGTAGTTTTTCCAACAGATTTGGCTGTTCAGTTTTCAGGTTTTAATGCGAAACTGCTATAATTTTCACAGACCAGTGAGGTTGCTATGATACTCCCTGAAGACTTGCCTCATTTTGCATCAGGGGGCTGCATCTGTTGTCAATGTGAATTACTTCCTTTCCACCTGGGGAACAGGAAGGCTTTTAATCGGGGCATTTCCATAGATAGTTACTCATTAACACTTTGATACTGTATACAAGGTCGGCTTTCAGACCATTTTATAATACCATTAATATGTTAGAGAGAATAAATGGCATTAGTTGCCTAAATCTCGTTGCCTGTGTTGAGGCAACTTCTTAATTTTTTTCTCCATAGGAATTTTATATATATAAATATTTATAAATATATATTTATATATATTTATATATTATATATAATATTATATATTATATATATTTATATATTATATATAATATTATATATTATATATATAAATATATATTATATATTATATATTATATATATTATATATAATATTATATATAATATATATAAATATATATTATATATTATATATTATATATATTATATATATAAAAATATTTATAAATATATATTATATATAAATATTTATAAATATATATTATATATATATATTTTTTAGATGGAGTCTTGATCTGTCACCCAGGCTGGAGTACAGTGGTGTGATCTCAGCTCACTGCAACTTCCACCTCCTGGATTCAAGCAATTCTCCTGCCTCAGCCTCCTGAGTAGCTGGGACTACAGGAACGCACCATCACGCCCGGCTAATTTTTGTATTTTCAGTAGAGACGGGGTTTCACCATGTTGGCCAGGCTGGTCTCGAACTCCTGACCTCAGGTGATTCGCCTGCCTCGGCCTCCCAAAGTGTTGGGATTACAGGCGTGAGCCACCACACCCGGCCAATTTTTCTATCATTTAAAAATGAGAAATTCTCTTTAGGGTGGGGACATGGTAGGGGATGTTTTAGATTGGGAGAGGGCAGTTTGAAAAAAGATTTTTCTACATTATACTATAATTTAGTATTTATAAATTTTTTTTTTAAGAAGAACTTATTACTTTCAGAGTACAAATCAGAGAGAGTCAAACATCTGAGAGGGGAGAGAGAGAGTATCAGTTATTCTCGGGAGGAGGGAGGAGCACACGGTCTTCATCACAAGTTGTTCTTTCACAATTTGGTTCAGTTTACATTTCTTCTTGGCAGTCCATCTGTGCCAGGGAACGTGGGGACCTGGCTGACCTGTCAGATATACCTAATGGATCTGGAAGCCAACTGTCTTCCGGCAGACCCAAGGAGACAAGGGAGCCAGCCTGACTTTGCAAAATCCAGCATCTCCCAATATATGCCCTGTCTTTAAAGCAGGAGAAGCCTCTCAGAGAATGGGTACCTAGTCTCTTGGCTGTCGAAGGCAGAGGCAATCTGATTCAGGGAGTAGGATATAGCACAGTGAGACCGGGGAAAAGAAAAAGAATACCCAAAAAACAAAAAGCCTGAATACAGAAAGGATTCCTTTGGAGAGGAGGGCCTGGTGGGGAACTGCAACCTTATCCCCTGAGACTGCGGCTCAGAAGCCCAGCCTGGAGGTTCAGTGAACCTGTTAGTAACATGAACTTGGTCACTGTATTTCTCAGCCCGAGCTCATGCATTATTTACCTGGCGTAAGTAAACCTGCTTCTCCCACGGTTGCTGGGGAAACCACTTTGATTTATTGAGTTCTGTTTTACTCTCCAGTGAAAAACGCTGCAGGGTGGAAAGGAGGGAGGGGGGCACTACTGGGTCCCAGGGGCTCAGGGTGTGGAGCAGTAAAAGGGATCCCCCACTTTTCCCCCGGAAAGGGGCCAACTAGGAAAGAATGCAGATTCCAGTGCTGGGAGCTCCAAGGTTGCCATTTCCTGCTTCTCTGAGTATCCCTTTTCTCTATAACACATCCTCCAGGAAGAGTTGGGAACAGGGAGCTAAGGAGAAAGGTGTCCCTTTCCCGAGGCCCCGGTGAAGGCCACTTGCAGCTCTCCCTCTGACTGCTTGCAGAGATAACATCAGTTTGTGCAGAGCAGGGAGGGGAAGGAGTCAGGTTTCCCCAGAGGCTGTTTCCCAGGTGGATCATCCTGGGGAAGCCAACTCCATAACACAGGTAAGGTGGTCCTATCTGCCCCCAAGTTCGCTGCAGCTCATATTCGGGGAGTTGCCTTATAGACCAGGCAGCTATGGTGGCTTAGAAAGAGCTTGGGACCCTGGGCTCAAATCTCAGGGCTTTTATTTATAATTTGAACAAGCTGTATAATCCTTCTGACTCTCAATCCCCCAGTGTGTGGAAGATGGATAGTAGTGTCTGCCTTGGAGTGTTCTTGTGAAGACTTCTCAGTGAGTGATCTATGGAACACGTCCATGCCCCAGCATTACAATGTGGGGTGAAGGGTTGCCTGCTTAGACCACCTGTTTCCTTTTCTTGCCAGCGAGATTCAGACATCGCGCCGGGCTCCCTTCCTCCTCTTTACTGCATATTGATTTTTCCTTTCCTCCCTTTGTTCTATTTGTGGCTCCTCTGGCCCCACACAATTGCATTATTTCTTCAGAGGCACACTGTATGAGGAGGTCTGTTCATGCCCAGCAGCATCTTGGGACTTCCTCCATGCCCAGCCGGCCTGGGCTGCTGTCCTTCTGGTCTGTGACCTTGTTGCATTTCCTTCTATAAAATGGCACTGTGTGGAGCCTTTTCCATTCCTTTCAGATTCTTTGCTTTTACTGGAAGGAAGCTGCTGCCTGTCAGGTGAGTGTCGTGATGTCCACCAGGGTAACGCAGACCGAGAGACATGTCAGCAATATGCTTGCAATGACCCAGGCATTTATAAATTCTTTAGGCAATAGCCATAAATGGGTGAAGTTTCAATTTTCATTTGTTTCATTTGTTTGTTTGTTTGTTTTGAGATGGAGTCTCACACTGTTGCCCAGGCTGGAGTGCGGTGGCATGATCTTGGCTCACTGCAACCTCCGCCTCCCAGGTTCAAGCGATTCTCCTTCCTCAGCCTCCCTAGTAGCTGAGATTACAGGCGCCCACCACCACGCCCAGCTAATTTTTTGTATTTTTAGTAAAGATGGGGTTTCACCATGTTGGCCAGACTGGTCTTGAACTCCTGACCTTGTGATTCGCCCACCTTGGCCTCCAAAAGTGCTGGGATTACAGGCGTGAGCCACCACGCCCGGCCTCAATTTTCATTTGTAAACCACAATGACATGTTAAAAGAAAAAAAACTTTCCTAGGTATCACTAACATAACTGTTTTTAGCAGCAACTTCTAGATTTTCTTTGGTTCTCCTGGGGTTATTTTGTTATATACAGGCTTATGTTTAAGTCTGTACTTAGCTACTATTGAGATTAGAATATAACTGTTAATTACATCTTAGACATTTCTGCCTTGACATTAGGTGCTAAATATCCCCAAATGACTTAGTTTCTCTCTACTTAAGCCAGTTCACCTGCTCCAGGCCTCTGTGCGTTGTTTTCTCTGAAATGTCCATATGGCCAGAAAACCTACGTGTGTTACTGCGCTGCCTCCAGATCTTCTGACTTCATCCAGAACTGTTCCCATGGGGTGAATGTTTCAAATTGGCTTCTTAAAGAGACTTCTGATTTCTTCCAAACTAAATGATAAATCAACAAAGAAAACCCAGGCCATCTCACAAACGTTTTTTGGCAGCAGCCACTCTTCAGAGAGGAATAAGAAGGAATTCCTCCGCGAGGGAGGGGCCGGGCAAAAGAAGAGCAGACCTAAGAATGTTCTCGGCCAGTGGTTCTTAAACTTCAGCACACACCAGAATCACCTGTGCCCCAGAAAGCACGGCTTGCTTGTCCCACCCCAGGGTTTCTAATTCAGGAGTTCTGGGCGGGGCTGGAGAATGTGCATTTCCAATCAGTTCCCCGGAGATTCTGATGCTTTCTCTGCAGGAGCCACAGTTCAAGCAGAGAGGACTGCGGAGGCTTGAGACAGGAAAGAGTTTGATAGGTTCCAGGACAAGAAAGGAGTCCAGTGTGGCTGGAGGGTAATGACTGAGGGGATGGAGAGGGAGGCAGGTATCACAACATGCAGTGGAGACACAGACAGACACAGACAGACACACACACACGATGTTTGAAGTGGGGTGTGCATGCGGGGTTAATGACCTGATTTGCCTTTGCAATTGTTATTTCATTTGATTCTCTTCGCAGTCACCATGCTGTGAGCTCGGTGCCTTTGATCTCTGTAAACCCCCCCACCCCGCACCATCCACAGAGTAGATGCTGGCTAAGCTGTATTATGTGCCAGATGCTGTCCTAAGCTCTTTATAAACATGATCTCATTTAATCCTCCTAATGACCCTGTGAAGCAGGAACTCTTATAATCCCATTTTACAGATGAGGAACACTGAGGCATCAGAGAGGTTACATAACTTGCTTGGGGTCACATAACTAGGAAATAACAGCCTGGCTGGTAAACTCGAGCTGAGCCCTCAGCCTCCACCCTGCGCTGCCTCTGCTGCCCCACGGTGCTGCCCTTTTACATGAGTGACCAATCTTGAAAGGCAGCCAGGTCAGACATGATGATCACCATCTTTTTTTTTTTTTTTTTTTTTTTTGAGACGGAGTCTCGCTCTGTCGCCCAGGCTGGAGTGCAGTGGCGCCATCTTGGCTCACTGGCAGCTCCGCCTCCCGGGTTCACGCCATTCTCCTGCCTCAGCCTCCTGAGTAGCTGGGACTACAGGCACCCGCCACCAGGCCTGGCTAATTTTTTGTATTTTTAGTAGAGATGGGGTTTCACCATCTGAGCCAGGATGGTCTCGATCTCCTGACCTTGATGATCACCATCATTTAAAGATGGGGAAACTGGCCGGGTGTGGTGGCTCACGCCTGTAATCCCAGCACTTTGGGAGGCCGAGGCGGGCAGATCACAAAGTCAGGAGATCGAGACCATCCTGACTAACACGTTGAAACCCCGTCTCTATTAAAAATACAAAAAATTAGCCGGGCGTAGTGACGGGCGCCTGTAGTCCCAGCTACTCAGGAGGCTGAGGCAGAAGAATGGCGTGAACCCGGGAGGCGGAGCTTGCAGTGAGCCGAGATCGCGCCACTGCACTCCAGCCTGGGCGACAGAGCGAGACTCCGTCTCAAAAAAAAAAAAAAAAAAAAAAAAGATGGGGAAACTGAGGCTCAACTGAGGCTCAGACAGGCACCTGGTCATAGGTGGAGGAAGAGTATCACCCACATCTCCTGAGGCCAGATCTCAAAGGTCTTGTCACAAAACTGGGCTGCCGATAAACCGCAAACCCGGAGAGTCTCCAGTGTGCCTGGTGCTGAACCAGGCAGACGAAGTTAACTGAGAAAGAAAAGGCCCCCGCCTGGCAGGTGTGAGGGCGAGGCTGGTACCCTGCAGAGATGGGGCTGATAGCTTTGTTCTCGGGCTGGATGCCCTGTCCGCAGCCTCCCTCCCTCCCTGGGCTGGGGCAGCAGCTGGGCTCCTGTGCCTGGAGGTGCCAACAGGGCCGGTCATTCACAAAGCCACCGTTGGTTTTGTAGCCATAAAGAAAGATACAGCCCTTCCCTCTGGGGAGCGAAAGCTGATACTGTAAACACTTTGGGCTCTATCTTTGATCTGGTGGGTCATAGGAGTGGCTTTTCTCCCCAGGTAGGGTTACCAGGAGAGGACTGGGCAGACCTTTGGGAAGCTGTGCCCTGCTGAACAGATGGTGCAGGGTGGGAGGGCAGGTCTGAGAGGGGAACCCAACAATTACCCCCAGGCCTGGAACCCAGACACCAAATTTCAGGCCTCGGGGAAATTCTCAGTTTTAAAATAAATACCTGGGGCTGCTTGTAACTTTTAGTCTTTGGCTTTAAAAACAGCTCTTTTCTAGATAAAGGAAAATAATAACTTGCAAACTTTAAAAAGCCACAAACCCCTTTACGGCCGGGTGCTGTGGCTCACGCCTATAATCCCAACACTTTGGGAGACCAAGGTGGGCAGATCACTTGAGGTCAGGAGTTCGAGATCAGCCTGCCCAACATGGTGAAACCCCGTCTCTGCTAAAAATACAAAAATTAGCCTGGCGTGGTGGCAGGTGCCTGTAATCCCAGCTACCCGCGAGACTGAGGCAGGAGAATCGCTTGAACCCAGGAGGCAGAGGTTGCAGTGAGCTGAGATTGCACCACCACACTCCAGCCTGGGTGACAGCAAGGCTCCGTTAAAACAAAACAAAACAGTCACAAATGCCTTTAAACTACAAGTTGGTAAAGGCTAGTGTCAGGCCTGGAAGAGACCTAGGGGTGGGATGGTGGATGGAGGGCCCAGGTCTGAAGTGCTTTTCTCTCTTCCAATCAGCTGATTTTGATTTGGGGTCATTTCCCTGGCATTGCATGAGTCATAGTTCTGTTCAAGAAGGTGGTTATCTTCAAACTAACTTTAAAAATTGTGAGTGGCTTCTCTTATTCTGCTTCTTCTAGTTATGATGCTTTTGTTGTTTTTCATCTCTGTGAACTCCTAGTTATCCTTCAAGACCCTGTTCAAACATCACCTTCCAAACTGCCATCTCCTACCCTCTTCCAACCCTAGAAAATCACGACTACATCCAATTATCCCTTCGTTATGCTCCATCCAAAAGTGCCTGTTTACAACTTCACATAACATGGGAGTTCACCATCAAGGCCATTTTTTCTGGCCAGATGACCCACAGAACTTGAGAAAAGACTTTTTTACGTATCATTTTATCCCCAATACCCAGTACATTGCCTGATACATAACAAATGGCCTTGGCTGGGCATGGTGGCTCATGCCTGTAATCCCAGCACTTTGGGAGGCTGAGGCAGGCGAATTACCTGAGGTCGGGAGTTTGAGACCAGCCTGACCAACATGGAGAAACCCCGTCTCTACTAAAAATACAAAATTAGCCAAGCATGGTGGCACATGCCTGTAATCCCAGCTACTTGGGAAGCTGAGACAGGAGAATTGTTTGAACTCAGGAGGCAGAGGTTGCGGTGAGCCAAGATAGTGCCATTGCACTCCAGCCTGGGCCACAATTGCGAAACTCCGTCTCAAAAAAAAAAAAAAAAAAAAAAAAGGCCTTGAATGAATGTTGTTGAATGAATGCTATTCGCTTTTCATCATAAGTAAAGGGAAAGAAATATTTATAAGTTTATAAGCATCTATCATAGACAAAGTACTGTCTAGGTATCATCTATATGTTATTTAATTTCATCTCTATTAGAAGAGCTTTCATTTGTTTAAATCTAGACTAAACGGGCAGTGATATCTTAACACAGTTAAGATAACTGGGAGGCTGGGCACAGTGGTTCACACCTGTAATCCCAGCATTTTGGGAGGCTGAGGCAGGTGGATCACCTGAGGTCAGGAGTTCGACACTGGTCTGGCCAACATGGCAAAAACTCCATCTCTACTAAAAATAGAAATATTAGCCGGGCGTGGTGGCATGTGCCTGTAGTCCCAGCTACTTGGGAGGCTGTGGTGGGAGGGTTGCTTGAACCCAGGAGGCGGAGGTTGCAGTGAGCTGAGATTGCACCACTGCGCTCCAGCCTGGGTGACAGAGTGAGACTCTGTCTCAAAATAAATAAATAAAAGATACCTGGGAAAACAGTTGATGAATACCTGTAAGGTGCTACAGGGCTACAGGAAATGCAAAGAAGGACAATGTCTGTCTTCTGGGAGTTTCAGGTATTATTGAGGACAGATATATGTACACACACACACATCCCACACATATAAACCTTACCCACTCAAAGAAAGATTATTGAGCTTGTAAAACACACTGATTTCTAAATGCCTGGTACATACCTGAATGTGATAGAAATGGAAGAATGAGAGATCACTGTGGGCTGCTGTGTTTTTGAAGAAACCACAGATGCGAGTCTCTCCCAGTGGCCTGTATTCTCATAAGCCTAGAGACAGGGAACAGATTAGATGATCTCCAGCCAGTCTGCTGGCTGGAGAACTGGAGAATTGTTTATAACGATACCTTATATTTACGACTTTTCAAAAAGTGCTGTAACATCCATGATCCTATTTTTATCTCCAAAGTCATACAGCTGATAATGAAGCAGAGCCTGGGGTTGGAGTCTGTCTCTGTCAATTACTAGTGGGGCTTCTGTCTGCCCATATGGCATCTCTGTGCAAATTGGAAAACAATGCCCCTTGCTCAGGTAAAATTGTGTTAAATTTAGTATATTACCGCATAGCTTGAACAACTGTGCGTGGCAGCCTTATCCTGGCTGTGCCCAGCAGAGAGCTTTCCGGAACATCTACACTGCAGTCTTCCTGGCTGAGGGCACACATGTGCCACACTCTCATTGCTCATGCTCCCTGCCCACCCCTGCCCTCCAATGCCAGGGCATGTATGCCTCTGGCAGCTTGTACCTTTGCCTTAACCCGAATTCCTCCATTAAGTAAAGGGGTTATACCAGGTTCAAAGTGAGGAAGGGTAAAGAATTGGGTCTCCAAGGGTGCAGGGTCACCTGAATTTTGGTTGGGAGAGGCACAGTGGTGCATATGAGAGTGTCAGCAATGTATGTGCAGGCTCTTCTGAGTGTGTGTGTGATCCATTGTATGGTGTGGGTTTTAAGTAGGGGAGGACTCTCCCCTGCAGCTTCAGAACTTTGGCTGGTGTCTCCACACATTCCTTCATTCCCTGACGTGTACGATGTGAAGATATGAATACTACACATACCTCCCACCCCAGATCGTTTATACAGTGCTGAACCTGAACAACTGTACATAGTGATCCTTGAATTTGAAGAAGTTCATTATTTATTTACTTATGTTTATTTGTTAAATAAAGTAAGTTTCAGTATAACAGTGAGATATTTGTTTATTTTTGAGACAGGGTCTCACTCTGGTTGCCCAGGCTGGAGTGCAGTGGTGCAATCAGGGCTCACTGCAGCCTCTACCTCCTGGGCTCTGGTGATCCTCCCACCTCAGCCTCCCGAGTAGCTGGGACTACAGGCCACCATATCTGGCTAATTTTTGTATTTTTAGTAGAGTCTAGGTTTCGTCATGTTGCCCAGGCTGGTCTCAAACTCCTGAGCTCAAGTGACCCACCTGCCTGGGCCTCCCAAAGTGCTGGGATTACAGGCATGAGTCACTGCTCCCAGCCTGGAAGTTCCTCGATTTTTTAAAATTGTGAAAGTTACAAAAGTTACCTGCTCTTTTCTAACAAATTAAATTAAATAGGGATACAAAAACAAATTGAAGAACCATTCTTGCTACTCTTTGCCTCTCTTATGTCTACTAAGTAACCAGTACTAAGTTTGCTTGCATATTTCCACTACTTAATGTGTGATAAGGGAAACAGAAGCAAACATATGTATGCATATATGGGTTTTTGTTTCTTTTTTTCTTTTTCTTTTTTTTTTTGAGACGGAGGCTCGCTGTCTTCCAGGCTGGAGTGCAGTGGCGCGATCTCGGCTCACTGCAAGCTCCGCCTCCCGAGTTCACGCCATTCTCCTGCCTCAGCCTCCCGAGTAGCTGGGACTACAGGCGCCCGCCATCACTCCCGGCTAATTTTTTTTTTTTTTTTTTGTATTTTTAGTAGAGACGGGGTTTCACTGTGTTCGCCGGGATGGTCTGGATCTCCTGACCTCGTGATCCACCCGCCTCGGCCTCCCAAAGTGCTGGGATTACAGGCCTGAGCCACCACACCCAGCACTTTTTAATTTTTTAAGTGTTTAAATTTTAATTAATTAATTAATTAATTAATTTTTTGGAGATGGAGTCTCACTCTGTCACCCAGGCTGGAGTGCAGTGGTGCAATCTTGGTTCACTGCAACCTCTGCCTACTGAATTCAAGGGTTTCTCCTGCCTCAGCCTCCCAAGTAGCTGGGACTACAGGTGCGCACCATCATGCCCAGCTAATTTTTGTATTTTTAGTAGAGACGAGGTTTCACCATGTTGGCCAGGATGATCTCAATCTCCTGACCTTGTGATCCGCCTGCCTCAGCCTCCCAAAGTGCTGGATTACAGGCGTGAGACATCGTGCCCGGCCACGCCTGGTTAATTTTTTTTTTTTTTTTTTTTTGATTTTTAGTAAAGATGGGGTTTCACCGTGTTGCTCAGGCTGGTCTCGAACTCCTGACCTCAGGTGATCCACATGCCTTGGCCTCCCAAAGTTCTGGGATTACAGGCGTGAGCCACCGCACCCAGCCCTATGCACTTTTTTAAAGTTTAAGAATATAGTGTGGAAATCTACAGTCTAGGTCAATATGTTGGCATGCATTCATTAATATTTTTGATAACTGCATGATATGCCATAGTATAGTTGTACCATAATTTATTTTAAATTTACATTTAACTTAATTTATTTTTTTTTAGAGACAGGGTCTTGTTCTGTTGCCCAGGCTGGGGTGCAGTGGTGTGATCATAACTCACTGCCGACTTGAACTCCTGGGTTCAAGTGATCCTCCCACCTCAGTCTCTTGAGTGACTGGAACTACAGGTACATGCCACCACACGTGGCTAATCCTTAACAATTTATGTAGAAATGGGGGTCTCACTATGTTGCCCAGACTGGTCTTGAACTCCTAGACTCAAGCGATCCTCCTGCCTTGGCCTCCCAAAGTACTGGGATTACAGGTGTGAGCCACTGTACATGGCCCCTCTTTTTCTGATTGTCTTTTTCTAATCAATTTGTAGGCAATCTTTGTATATTTAGGGCTATCAATTCTTATGTTATGGGCTACCAATTCTTATGTTTCTTTCAGTCTTTTGTCTTTTAGTTTTGTTTAAGGTGTCTTTTACCATATTTCACATTTTATATAACCAAATGTGTGTTTTTAATGTCTTCTAGTACAGAGTCTGGCCTGTGCAGGTCTCTAGTTCCTGCAGTTATACAAATATTCTACATTTCTTCATTGAAAAAAAAATACAGTTAGATTGTGAATTCATTTGGATTTTATTTTAAAATCTTGTGGGAGGTATGGAGAAGTATTTAAATCTCTCTGAGGCTTCGGGTTCCTCTGTCGTAACATGGGCATCATTAGGATGAAAGAAAACGTGTGTAAAACTTACAGCACGATGCCTACAACAGGGCTGATCCTCAGTAAGTGGTTATAAGAGTTAGTTTGTGAGTGGTGGCATGCACTTGTTGTCCCAGCTACTTGGAAGGCTTAGTGGGGAGGACCACATAAGGCCAGGAGTTCAAGTCGAGCCTGAGCAATGTAGCCAGATTTCCATATCTTAAAAAAATAAAAAATAGGCCGGGCGCGGTGGCTCATGCCTATAATCTCAGCACTTTGGGAGGCCAAGGCGGGTGGATCATCTGAGGTCAGGAGTTCGAGACCAGCCTGGCTAACATGGTGAAACCCCGTTTCTATTAAAAATACAAAAAATTAGCCAGGTGTGGTGGCACGTGCCTGTAGTACCAGCTACTCAGGAGGCTGAGGCAGGAGAATCGCTTGAATCTGGGAGGCGGAGGTTGCAGTGAGCCAAGATTGCACCATTGTACTCCAGCCTGGGCAACTGCCTCAAAAAAATATAAAAATAAAAATAAATAAATAAAAAAGAGAACTAGAATCCTGACTGTGGCCTAGAGATTTTTTCCTCCATCTCAGTGACTTGGCTCATATTGGTGACTTTGCTTTTTTCTCTCAGGCAGATGTGCTGCTTTGAACTGGGTGAGTGCTCCCTCCTGGTGAGGAATATGCTGGAGCTGGGGTTGGGCAGCGAGTCAGGATGGGAGGAAGCAAGGAGGAGTGGTTTACAGAAAGTATTTCTGTGTAAGGGATACCACAGTTGGAAGTTCCCTCTGGATACCCATGGGACTTGAACTCACGCTGCATCAGGGCTTCCTGAGCTCCTCAGGGACATCAGGTCACCAACTCCTTGTTTAGGATGGACTCTCCCTGTGGGGACAGGGAAGGAACTGGAGCTGAAGTAGATGTGAGAGGTGAAGGTGGCAGACTGTTGGGGCTCTGGAGAATCTTCCAGACATTCCTGCTGCCTCTCCCAGCAGACTATGCCAATGAATGAATCAGAAAGCTTGAAGAGGGAAGCAAAAGATGAAAGAAATCCTGGGACCACGCAGCTTCAGAGGGCTGGATGCCACAGTCCCCAGGCTCGGGAATGAACGCCTTAGCTGGAGCTTGGGGGCTTGGTGTCCCTGGACTACCCACACCGTAGCTCCAGGCAGGTTGCTATGCATGCTCACGTCATCATCCATATTCAGTTTCATCAATTACACTCAGTAATATCCTTGACAACTATTTTTTTCCTCAATTCAGGATTTAATCCAGGATCACACATTGCATTTGGTTGTTATTGTCTCTTCAGTTTCTTTTAAATTGGGCAAATCCTTAACCTTCTTTGTGTTTTATGACCTTGACTTTTTTTGTGTGTGGCAAAAAAGTTCAAATTATACCTTGACATTTTAAAATAGTACAGGTCAATTATTAAGTAACATTTCTTGTGATTAAATTCAGGTTATGGGTTTTGGGCAGGACACTGGGGAGATGCTGTGACCTTCTCAGAACACTGTATCAAAGATATACATGAGGTTGGCCTATTCCAACACTGGGGACGTTAACTTTTTTTTTTTTTTTTTTAGATGGAGTTTCACTCTTGTTGCCCAGGCTGGGGTGCAATGGCGCAGTCTTGGCTCACTACAACCTCCATCACCCGGGTTCAAGCGTTTCTCCTTCCGCAGCCTCCCAAGTAGCTGGGATTACAGGCGCCTGCCACCAAGCCTGGCTAATTTTTTGTATTTTTAGTAGAGACGGGGTTTCGCCATGTTGGCCAGGCTGGTCTCGAACTCCTGACCTCAGGTGATCCACCAGCCTTGGCCTCCCAAAGTGTTGGGATTACAGACGTCAGCCACTGCCCCCAGCCAGCGGACGTTAACTTTTGATCACTGGTTAAGGTAGTAGCCTTCAGGTTTCATCACTGTAAAGTTACTATGTTTCCTCTTTGCAATTAATAAGTAATTTATGGGGAGATGCCTTAAGACTTTGTAAATATCCTGTTTCTCATCAAACTTTTAACCACCAGTTTAAATATCCACTGATGATTTTGTAACATCGTTATTCCTTGTTAATTTACTAGTTAACATTCTACTGTAAGAAGAGCTTTTCCTTGACCTTCTCATGTATGCATAAATGGATGGATGGATATCAGTATGAACTTGTAGACTGTTATTTTATTAGTGGGTTATAATCCATTATTATTAGCATTTATTTATTGCTCAAACTGTCACAGATTTGGCTGGTGGGTGTGGTGTGGGTTTTCGTTTTGTTTGTTTTTTTTTTAGCCTACTGTTTTCTCACTTATTTATTTAATCATTTACCAATGGGTAAAAGTTTATTTACCCATAAACTTTTTCCATCTCCTGACTCTGACTTAGAATCAGAGTTTTGAAGCTGGAGACAACTTTACATTTCATGTTGCTTTCCCCAGCCCCTTTATTTTACATATGAAAGCTCTGACCGCCCCCAACACTTAAGCATGTTTTCAAGGTCATGTGGCTCGTTAAAGGCAGAGCTTGAGCTGAAACCTGGGTCCTTGGCTCCTGGGAGGACATTTCCAGCCTCCTTAGCATTGAGAAGCTTCTACTGTTACAGTTCTTTAGGCAACTGGAACTCCCCATATCCTGTGTGGGGTGTCAGGAACTGATGGTTCTAGTATTTATTGACAAGAGTTTTCACAGAGTTCTTGGGCATCCTTCCTGAATCCTTAACCTTGGCAATGGGAACAGAGGGTTCTCAGGGTCTTCAGAACTTCTGTCATGTTGAGCAATTTCCAAGGGCGTTGTGGTGGCCAAGATATGACAAATAAAAAACTAATGCCGGCTGGGCGCAGTGGCTCATGCCTGTAATCCCAGCACTTTGGGAGGCCAAGGTGGGCAGATCACGAGGTCAGGAGTTTGAGACCAGCCTGACCAATATGGTGAAACCCCGTCTCTACTAAAAATACAAAAAAAATACAAAAAGCTGGTGTGGTGGCAGGCGCCTGTAATCCCAGCTACTCAAGGCAGGAGAATCGCTTGAACCCGGTAGGCGAAGGTTGCAGCGAGCTGAGATCGTGCCACTGCACTCCAGCCTGGGTGACAGAGCGAGACTCCGACTCAAACAAAAAACAAAAACCAACAACAACAAAAAAACTAATGCCTACCAGCTTCTCACATTCTCACAGTTTACAATTTGTTGGTGGGTTTCCCTTCCTTCCTTCCTTCCTCTCTCTTCTTTCCTTCCTCTCTCTCTTCTTTCTCTTTCTCTCTTTCTTTCTTTCCTTTCCTTTCTTTCTTTCTCTCTCTCTCTCTCTCTCTCTCTCTCTCTCTCTCTTTCTTTCTTTCTTTCTGGTCTTGGCCTATTGCCCAGGCTGGAGTGCAGTGGTGCAATCATAGCTCACTGCAGCCTTGACATCCTGGCCTCAAGTGGTCCCCCAACCCCAGGCTCCCAAGTACTTGGGACTATAGGAGTCCACCACCATGCCCAGCTAATTTTTAATTGAGATGAAGTCTCACTATGTTGCCCAGGCTGGTCTCGAACACTTAGCCTCAAGTAATTCTCTTTCCTTAGCCTCTTGAGTCATGGGGATTACAGATATGAGTCACCATCCTTGTCCTCTTATTGGTAGGATTCTACGTGACATTGTGATGGGCATCTATCATCTGCTTGTCCAACATCCCTCCTATATTCCTTTGCCACTATCCTTCCATTTTTTTTTTTTCATGGGAGGATCACTACCCCATTTCTAGTCCATGTGATATGGGAAGGGCTGACCCACCCTGGGCAATCAGATCAGCATGGTAGTTAATTCAGAAATGGGAATGTGACCCAAGCTAGGCCCATGACAGTCATCCCTGCACTTTTGCTGAAACTGCTGGGAATGAGGTGCTTTCTTTTCATTGGAATAGCTACTTGCAAGGCAGCAAGTAACATGGAATTACCGGGGCCATCTTTGCTGCTCTCTCAAAAGAGCCTGCTTGAAAAATGGAGCCAATGCAGAAGAAATGAAGGGACTGAATGAGTCTTGGTTGATATTAGCTGACCCCTGATCCCACTGAGCCAGAAGCCATCTACTCATGGACATTTTTAGTTATGAGAGCCAAATAATTTGCTGCCTTGCTGGATTGAGTTAGTTTTCAATCACTTGCAGTGAAGAGAGTGCTGCCTCATTTCACTTCCTTTTAGGCTTAGGTCCCGCCTCTCAGAGCTTTAGAGCGGTAAAAAGGATAAAGCGAACCCAGGCAGTGCTGAGCTAGCCAGTCTCCTGGCTAAGTGTGCAAAGAACCCTGGAATTACTACTACCCTGGTCTGATCAGTAGCCTTGCCTGCGGTTTACCATACAGCAATAGGGGTATTGCTTTCTTGAGCCCTGAGGCACTATACCTGTTTTTAAAAATGATTTTTATTTAGGTCAGGTGTGGTGGCTCAAGCCTGTAATCCCAGCATTTTGGGAGGCCAAGGCGGGCAGATCACTTGAGGTCAGGAGTTTGAGACTAGCTTGGCCAACATGGCAAAACCCCATCTCTACTAAAAATATAAAATTAGCTAGGCGTGGTGCCTCACACCTGTAATCTCAGCTACTTGGGAGGCTGAGGCATGAGACTCACTTGAGCCTGGGAGGTGGAGGTTGCAGTGAGCTGAGATCGCGCCACTGGGCTCCAGCCTGGGTGACAGAGCGAGACTCCATCTGAAGAAAAATAAAAGATTTTTATTTAAAAAATGTTTTGTAGAGATGGCATCTTGCTATGTTGCCCAGGTCTTGAACTCCTAGCCTAAAGCTCCGGGATTATAGATGTGAGCCATTGTGCTTAGCCAGCACTATACTTCTATTAGTTGCCAATGCTTGCTTTGTTCTGTATTTTCTAGTGCATGCTTGAGTGTGAGTGTATGAGTATGTGTGTGATCATGTGTGTGAGTGTGTGTGTCAGTGTATTTGTGTATGTGTGTGTTCCTTTTACTCCTGCCTTGCAGGGTTATTGCAAGCATCAGGTGGGATAGTGTAGGCGCAGCACTCAGCCCAGTGCCTGGCACATACGGTGCGTGCTCTCTGCCTTCCCCTTTTCTCCTCCGGATTCAGAGAATGACTTAAGGATCTGTGATGTGTTCCAATTTTCAATGCCCTCAATAAATAATGGGGAGTTGGAATACTGTTGCCAGAAATTTGCACTAGTTTTAATTAATTTTATCTCTTTAGAGTAAGATATCTCAAAGTCACTGAATAAATTTATGTCACATACGATTATGCACATCAGTATTTTTCTTGAGAACTGACAGCCTTAGTCCTTGTTTTGTTCCCTGATGCTGCAGCAGAGGCCAAATGTGTCCTGATTTCTTGAGTGATGGCTGCCAGCTCTCCAAGTGTCACAGTAGATGAGGCCTCCATGGGGGCAAGCGCCAAGGATGAGTGTGGCCAGGCAGCATCTGCAAGCCCCTTTTGTCTATTCTTTATTTTTGTAATACATTTTATTCTTAAGTTATATATATGTTTATAAGTTTATTAATATATTTAATATAAGTTTATATTTATAAATATATTTATAAATTTATATATTTATAAATATTTATAAATATAAAAATTATATTTATAAATATAAACTTTATAAAGTATAAAGTTTGTATGTATAAGCCTTAAATATGTTTTGACTTATCCATATTTGTAACTTATATGGATAAGGCAAAACATGTATACAAAATATTAATTTTCTTACCCATTTTAACCCCACCCTCTGAAGTAAACATTATAACCAGCTTCACGTGTATCCCTCTACATTTTTTATATACTACACATTTTCCCACTTGTATACATTTTCTTATTTTCTTTTTTACTTATGCAAATATATAAACATACGTATTTACTTATAGGATACCTCTTTTAATTTTTTAATGCAAAATAAGATCATATTCTGTTCCTTGCTCTTTCTTTTCTTTTCTCTCTCTTTCTTTCTTTCTTTTTTTTTTTTGACGGAGTCCCGCTCTGTCGCCCAGGCTGGCATGCTGGTGTGCAGTAGCATGATCTCAGCTCACCGCAAAACCTTCGCCTCCCGGGTTCAAGTGATTCTCCTGCCTCAGCCTCCGGAGTAGCTGGGATTACAGGCATGCGCCACCACACCCGGCTAATTTTGTATTTTTAGTAGAGACAGGGTTTCTCCATATTGGTCAGGCTGGTCTCGGACTCCTGACCTCAGGTGATCCGCCCGCCTCGGCCTCCCAAAGTGCTGGGATTACAGGCGTGAGCCACCGAGCCCGACCTTTCTTTCCTTCCTTTCTTTCTTCCTTCCTTCGTTTCCCTTCCCTTCCCTTCCCTTCCCCTTCCTTCCTTCCTTCCTTTCCCTTCCCTTCCCTTCCCTTCCCCTTCCTTCCTTCCTTCCTTCCTTCCTTCCTTCCTTCCTTCCTTCCTTCCTTCCTTCCTTCCTTCCTTCCCTCTCTCTCTTTCTTTCTCTTTCTTTTCTTTCTCTCTCTTTCTTTTATCTGGCTCTGTCACCTAGGCTGGAGTGTAGTGACGCAATCATAGCTCACTGCAGCCTTGACCTCCTGGGCTCAAGTGATCCTCCTGCCTCTGCAGGGATTATAGGAGTGAGCCACTGTGCCCGGCCTCTTTTCCTTTTTTTAAACCTAATAATCCTGTGCCTCTCTTTGGGTCAATGTAGGTAGATCTAACTCCTTCTTTATAGTTGCTTATCTGCCAGTGTATGGTTGTACCATGATTGATTTATTTAACTGATGTCCTATCAATGGATTTTTCAGGTCCTTTATAGCTTTCTGCAATTACACATAATGCTGACATAACCACCCTTGCAAATATATTTTTTTATATTCAAGGAAACATTTGGTGATTCTACTCTTTTGGCCCATGTGTCATATATGAAGGACACTTACTATATCAACCCTTAATCTGTCTGTCAGTCTGCCACACGAGAAAGCATCCTTTTTTTTTTTTTTTGAGGCAGAGTCTCAAAAAATCAGGCTAGAGTGCAGTGGCGCGATCTCAGCTCACTGCAACTTCCGCCTCCCAGGTTCAAGCGATTCTCCTGCCTCAGCCTCCTGAGTAGCTTGGATTACAGGTGTGCGCGCCACCACACCTGACTAATTTTTGTATTTTTAGTGCAGACGGGGTTTCACCATGTTGGTCAGGCTGGTCTCGAACTCCTGATCTCAGGTGATCCACCCCCCCCTCAGCCTCCCAAAGTGCTGGGATTACAGGTGTGAGCCACCGCGCTCGGCTGAGAAGGCATCCTTTTACCTCCCTTTCCAGGGCATGTTTTTAGCAGAGCCCTGTTGGGAAAAGCACCAGTTTATGAATGTAGAACCTGGGCCCAAATGTAAGACCACTCCACTCCAGATCTAGTCTGGAGCAGTGATTTCTCTGCCCCTCCCATTCTCCTTGCCTCATGTGCCCTGAGCACCTCAGCCGCCTCCATGGTCAGTGACAAGCTGTAATTGGAGTGAAAGGGCTTTGAAGTTCTGATAAATGAGATAATAAATCTCTGCTCTCCAGGGATGTAGGGCAGTGTCTGTGCCTATTGAATGGCCTCAACAGTGCTGTGTATATAGTAACTACTTAATTATTATGAAATAATTATTATGAAATAAGTGGTTGAAGTGATCCCTTTGAAGTTCAGGTCAACTCTGAGCCATCTGAGAAGAATGAATGGAATGGGTAATTGAAACAGATAATCCCCAAACCTCAACTTACTAGTTAATAGGGTTAGGCTCTTTACCTATTAAACCCTTTGAGATACTCAATTTGAAAACTGCTAAAATAAATCCCCTACTTTCATTTATTTTTTCATTGTTGTGGGGCAGGAGAAATTGAGCTGTGAAATGGCCACCAGGAAGGTGGCAGGATGACGAGTCAGGAGTCCTGTGTGAGACATCCGCAAACATCTCATAAGCAGCTTCTGAATCACACAGCATCAAGGCTGCCAAAGTGCCTGGCCAATCTTGGACCTAGAGACCTAAGAATGGGTCTCCCTGTGGACTCCTCCTGACCTGGGTGGGGCAAGGCTCTTGGAAAATAGGTCAAATGACTCTCAGTCTAGAACCGTCTGGCCAGAGATGCCCCAACTTTGCCTTTTGGGCTATTCATCAAATCCAGCCTTTAGGACGTGACATCAGGGTTTCATTTCATGGGAAGATCTGGGTGCATTTTAGTTAAAAGAAGTGATGTCATCACATCCCTGCTGAAAAAAGGAAAAAGGACCCACTTTGTGCTGACATACCGAGTCCTGGGCAGGGAAGTCTGGACAGACACCTGGGTCCACACCTGGCTTTTCTACCAGCTAGCTCTGTGACTCTGGGACCATTGTGTCAGCTTTCTCTGCCACAGTTCCTCCCTCTGCAAAACGAAGGGCTTGAAATGCAGGATTCTAAGATTGTGGCCATCTCTGACTCTGATAACAACCCCGTGAGCCTGAAGAATTCAGCACTGCTGCTCCATAGGGGGTTTCAGCAGGAAGCGGGCACAGATGGCTTTCTCTGGAACGTGTTCAGAAATGTGGTGTGTGATGTACGGTGTGAATGAAGCGTGGTGCCCTTTAAACACAGCTTCCCCCTGGGAGTGCTCTGAGCTCCTCGGGTTCTCTGGCTCTCATTCACATTCCACTGTCACTCTGGGCACTGGCAGCCCTCACGTGCTTGTGCACTGAGCACACACACACCCCGCCCTGACTGACACACAATTGGTGACTCACAACTGACACAATCATTACACACATGGAATGACTCAGCGGGGACACTCACATGCATGGGCTCACGCTCACCGTGACGTGTAGAAGTGGCTGTGCTCGTGGCATCAGGCACCCCCACAGCAGCCTTGGTGGAGGCTCTCGCCAGCGGCGTCTGCAAATGATTTGCATTCTTGGCTCTTTGGAACTGCCTGTTCTTTGTCTCTCTGTTCGCTGCTCAACCCTTTCCTTCCCTTCTGTCCCAAACTTGGCTGGTTTTAGTCTCTTGCTCCCAAGCTCCTCAGCCAGCTTCCCGGACTGGCTCAGGCAGTCTCTAAGGCTCCTGCCAACTCCAAGATTGCTTCTAATCAACTCCTCAGCTGGGAGGAGTCCCTTCCCCAGGGGTCTCATTCCCTCCCTGACCTGAGCATCTCTTCCTGTCTTCTTCAGGAAGATCTTCAATATCTGTGCCATTTGAGCCAGCCCCTTTCGCTAGATAAGGAGCACCCAGAGCTAGTCACATGATAGAAAGTGCTGGCGGCTTCTGGAGGGTGGTCTTCAGTGTCTCTGAGGGTGCCCTTTCTCTTTCTGGCAGCCCAGGCAGATAGTAGTGTTGGGGTTCTTGAAAATCATCTTTGGGAGTTGAGCAGAACCAGCTGTTACTGGAGAAGCAGAGAAAAAAGATGCTGCACGTCCCAGCCATAATGGTCTGGGAGGGACCTACCCCAGAGCGGGAACCAGGGTGGGGAAGCAGTGCAGAGGAAAGAGAGGCCTGTGTCCATGGCTGCTGGCTGAGTTCTGATGGGAAGATAGGGGAACACGTCCTGGAGCTGCACTTCCTTGCAATTCATCTTCTGCTTTCAGATTTAAGGTTACTTTGCCTAGAATAGCTCCTGTCTTTCCTCTTTTCCTGGGGGAGCCCTCACACAGGAGAGGGAGTGTGGCAGAGTGTGATGTGAAGTCAGGGGTATAGGTGTAGCCTCTGCTAGTAGCTGTGGTCCTGGGCTAGACATTAACCACTGGAGTCTCTGCTTCCTTGGCTGTCAGATGTCCTAATACCACCTTTCTGTATCCTCTGATGTGGTGGCATAGATCAGGTGAGCTAGTAGATGTGACAGTGCTTTGACAAATTAAAAGTGGCACACAAATAAAAGTGAGAATTTGAACAGCAGCGAGGAGATGGTGGAGGGGCTGCCCACAGAATGTCCTGAGGGTCTTTGAGGGAGACCTGTAGATTCCCCTCCTGAATATGGGGTAAAGTCCTTGCTGGAATCCCAAGGCTGGATCAGGACCTCCTTTGACTCCGGCACCAGAGGCCCAGACAAGGACTTGCTAGGCCCCTGCTCTGGACCCAGCTGTCATTAAGCTGAGTGTTTTCCTGGAGAGAGGAGAAGGGGTCCTTCCATGTGGATTTTCCCTAAGTATAGATGCTGGCCCAGCAATGCCAAGAACTGAGACACCCTGTGCCTAGCTCTTGGCTGGCTGCTTATAGCTTGAAATGCCCTTTTCAACTCTGAAACTTTTAGAGTCTGGCAATCCTTGAGAGCGTTTTTTTCCTCCTGCTTGGGTGAGAGCTTTATCTTTGACCTCATTCTATCCATCTGAAGAACTAGAATCCAGAGGGAATGACCTTGCTTTGGCAGACCCGAGTCTTCGTCTCTCTGCCTCAAGTCCTTGCCCTGTGAATATCCTCAGCTCTCCCTGCAACTTCAAATCTGGAAAAGGCGCCAGGTGCAGTGGCTCACGCCTGTAATCTCAGCACTTTGGGAGGCTGAGGATGGTGGATCACCTGAGGTCAGGAGTTCGAGACCAGCCTGACCAACAGTGAAACCCCTGTCTCTACTAAAAATACAAAAATTAGCCCAGCGTGGTGGCGCGTGCCTGTAATCCCAGCTACTCAGGAAGCTGAGGCAGTAGAATCATTTGAACCCAGGAGGCAGAGGTGCAGTGAGCCAAGATCGCACCATGCACTTCAGCCTGGGCAACAGAGCGAGACTCTGTCTCAAAAAAAAAAAAAAAAAAAAATCTGGAAAAGGCTTCTTCAGCAAACAGACTTATAAAAATTTCCAGTTAGCCCTTTCCTTACAATTGGTCTGCTGTTTTTGGATTTAAGGTTACTTTGCCAATGTGTCTGGCCTTAACTGTCAGTTAAATATTTAACACACATAGCATGTACTATGCATCAGACACGGTTCTAAGCATTTTTCTACAATATTAATTAATTTTTACAAAACCTTTTATGGGGTAGGCATTCTTATCCCCATTTTGCTGCATAGGACTCCAAGGACAGAGGTTAAATAACATGCCTAAAGTGGGGCAGATTAGCCTACAGTGGCGGGCGTGGAATTCAACCCAGGCCACCTGCCTGGGGAAATTAGCCTGTGACCCCAGCTTTCTTCTGCCCACTGGTGGGTGGTGATTCCAACAGCAACATATGCTTCTGATGGTTTTCTGGAGAGCAGCAGGAATTCCTGATCAACTGGCAAGAAGGAGAAATGAAGCAAAGCCAGAGCTGTGCCCGATACCTTTGTTCAGGCTCAGGTCCACTCCAGCACACGTGCCTGTGTTCTCATCCCCCAGGTTGGTCTCTTCCTTGGCTCCTCCAACAGCCACATCTACAAGAGAATAGAGCCACTCTTTCTCTAACTGTCCTCTCCCTTCTTCCCTCTCTGGGGGAGTCCTGTGGAGCCATTGTTCTCCCAACCTCAGCTATTGGGCCTTTCTTGGCAAGGACCTAGTGGCGTCTCTTATTTACCCATTAACAATTAAGCTCCAGGCATTTGACATATAAACACAGAAAACATCAGCATCATTACAGCAAAGATTTCAAAAGCCCTTTGGCAGGGAAGGGCTTGAATATTTACTTAACAAAAGAATTCCTTACTCCGGTTTTAAGAAAGAATTCACAATAGGATTTAACAAGCCAGTTTCTCCAGTAAATTAAAAACATTCTTTTATTCATTCAGAATATGATTTGTGTTTTTAAAAATGTGTCTCACATACAACTTTTCAAGAGAACACTCGCGGCGTTTTCCCTGAGAACTCTGTTCCCACATTATCTTCCAGTGTTTCTCATTTGTTGAGATGGTCCTGCACTAAGCAGAGAGAGATAATAGCTGCGGAGTGGGGGGTGTGCCTTAGGATCTAAGATTCCACCCTTAGCGATTCTTTCTTTTGTTTCAAGAGTGACTTCTACAGAAGGGTTTCTTTTATTATACAAGAAGAGTGTTGCGAAGTATATCTTCCATGACTAGAGGTACTTAAGCCAGTCTATTAGAGTACTGGGCCCTTGGGAAGAGGAAGGAGGAAGGGGAGAAAGAACACAGGTAGGTTTATTGGGGGAAAGAAGGGATATTCACCTGTTCATTTGTTTGTTTGTTAGTAATGACTCATATTCCTACCATTGCCAGACATTTGGAATACAAAGGTAAATAAGAAAATAGTATAGTCAAGGACCAGGTGCAGCAGCTCACACCTGTAATCCCAGCACTTTGGGAGGCTGAGGGGGGTGGATTACCTGAGGTCAGGAGTTTGAGACCAGCCTGACAAACATGGTGAAACCTCATTTCTACTAAAAATACAAAAAAATCAGCTGGGTGTGGCAGGTGCCTGTAATCCCAGCTACTTGGGAGGCTGAGGTAGGAGAATCGCTTAACCCGGGAGACGGAGGTTGTAGTGAGCCGAGATCACACCACTGCACTCCAGCCTGGATGACAGAGTGAGACTCCGTATCAAAAAAAAAAAAAAAAAAAAAAAAAAAAAGGAAAGAAAGAAAGCTACCCACTAAGCAAGGTAAAAACTCAGGATGGGGTGCCCAATTAGACACGGGGACAGTGTTGGGGAAGCCACCACAGAGTGGACAGCAGAGTTTCGGTGCAGTAAGTAGTTCATGCCTGCAATCCCAGCACTGTGGGAGGCTGAGGTGGGAGGATTGTTTGAGGCCATAAGTTCCAGACCATCCTGGGCAACATAGTGAGACTCCTTTCTACAAAAAATTAAAAAACTAGCTGGGTGTGGTGGCAGGCTTCTGTAGTCCCAGCTACTCAGAAGCTGAGGTGGGAGGATTGCTTGAGCCCAGGAGGTCCAGGCTGCAGTGAGCTATGATTGTGCCACTCCACTCCAGCCTGGGTGACAGAGGGAGACCATATCTCAAAAAATAAATAAATAAATAAATAAGAAAGAAAAGAAAAGAAAAAAATTAATTAAGAAAAATTCCTAAAACTTGTATTTGCTATGTGCCCAGCATTATATAATACTAAGCATCTTGCATTTTAACTCATATAATCTTCATAAAAATATAAGGAAAGTGCTGTTGCTATCCTTATTTTACAGAAAAGCAAACAGGCTCAGAGAAGTTAGGTAATTTGCTAAAGCCCACAGATAATGAGCAGTAGAAATGGGAGAAAAACTCAGGCTTTCCAGCTCCAGAGCTCATGGTTAGTGCTCTTAACCACTATGATATATTTTTGTATACAGAGGCAATGATTATTTTGACTATGAAATGTTAAAAATGCCAAGAAAAATGCAAAGAATAACATCATGAAGGTCCATGAATCCACCATTCATCTCTACTAAATTCCAGTATTTTGCCTTGCTTACTTCATTTTTCTTAAAAAGAAAAGAAGTTACAGATACGATGGAAATCCCCTTGTGTACTGCACCCTGAGACAACGACTGAATTCGGGTTTCTCTTTTCCAGGCATGTATTTATATTATTAAAGCATTTGTAGATGTCTAACAATATGTAACAGTGTTTTACATGTTTTCAAATTTGTATAACTAGTGTCATTTTTACAGGTTGCTTTTACATTTAACATTATATTTTTGAGATTTTATCTTTGTTAATTCCACATAATTTTAAGTTCATTTATTTGAAATACCATGTCAGGCTGGGTGCAGCAGCTCGCGCCTGTAATCCCAGCATTTTGGGAGTCTGAGGCAGGTGGATCACTTGAAGCCAGGAGTTAGAGACCAGCCTGGCCAACATGAGGAAACCCTGTCTCTACTAAAAATACAAAACTTAGCCGGGTGTGGTGGCAGGTGCCTGTAATCCCAGCTACTCAGGTGGCTGAGAATCTTTTGAACCTGGGAGACGGAGGTTGTAATGAGCTGAGATCGCACCACTGCACTCCAGCTTGGGTGACAGAGTGAGGTTGTCTCAAAAATAAATAAAATAAAATATCATATCATATCATAAAATATTATATTATATGTCTTTAAAATACTACCATATAGTATTCCATTGTATGAATAATATACGATGTTTGAATTTCCTAGTTTTTGAAAATATTTTGCTATTACAGACAATGCTGCAATGAACTTTCTTGAGCACATCCTTTTTTGTGCTTTTAGGAGAATTTCTTTTTTTTTTTTTGAGACAGGGTCTTGCTCTGTTGCCCAGGCTTGGGTGCAGTGTCATGATCGTAGCTCACTGCAGCCTCAAACTTTTGGGCTCAAGCGATCCACCTACCTCAAGCTCCCAAGTAGGTGGGACTACAGGCACACACCACCACTTCTGCCTATTTTTGTTATTAATATTTTTTGTAGAGATGGGGTCTTACTGTGTTGCCCAGGCTGGTCTCAACGTATCCTCCTGCCTTGGCCTCCCAGAGCTCTGGGATGACAAGTATGAGCCACGATGCCTGGCCTCCTAAGAGAAGTTTTAGAAGGGGCATTGCTGGGGTGAAGGGCAGGCCCATTTTCAGCTTCATCTCATTAAATTCCACTCCAAAGGGGTTGACCAGTTGTACTTCTACCAGCAGCATGTGAAAGTCTTGTTAATCTACATCTTCCCAAGACTTGCTGTTGTTAATGTTTGTGTCTGAAATAATTTCTTATTGTTATTTTAATTGCATTTCCTGGTTACTAGGACAGTTGAATATTGTTACAATTTTTGTTTGTTTCTTCTGAAAATGTCCTATTTACTTGCGTCCACTTGATTGATTTGGCCTTTTCTTAATTGATTTTATAAATTTTAAAAATTAACAGTAAAATTGACTTTTTAAAGGAGGGGATATGTATAGCTCTGAGTTTTGTTTTGTTTTGTTTCATTTTGTTTTTGAGATGGAGTTTCGCTCTTGTCGCCCAGGCTGGAGTGCACAATCTCGTCTCACTGCAATTTCTGCCTCCCGGGTTCAAGGGATCCTCCTGCCTCAGACTCCTGATTAGCTGGGATTACAGGCGCATGACCCCAAGTCCGGCTAATTTTTGTATTTTTAGGAGAGAAAAGGTTTCACCATGTTGGCCAGGCTGGTCTTGAGCTCCTGACTTCAGGCAGTCCACCTGCTTCAGCCTCCCAAAGTGCTGGGATTACAGGTGTGAACCACCTCGCCCAGCCTAGTTCTGAGTTTTAGCACATCTAGATTCATGTCACCACTGTAGCAAGTAGGATGCAGAACAATTCTATTACCCCAAGAAATGATCAGAATATTTTAACCGTTCATTAAAATGAATTCAATTTTTTGGCTTTATCGCTTTCAAGAAATTGGTTCATTTTATGTAAGTCATCAAATTTGTATCTGTGTAGAGTGTTTGTAGTATTCTCTTATTATTCTTTAAATGTCTGTGGTGTCTGTAGTGATATCTTCTCTTTTGTTCCAGATACAGGTAATATGTTTCCCTTTCCCCACTTTTTTGGTTCATCTGGCTAGAGGATTATCAATTTTATGGATGTTTTCAAAGAAGTAGCTGTGGTTTTATTGATGTTCTTCATTGTTTTTGTTTTTAATTTTATTGGTTTCACTCTTATTTTTATTCTTTCCTTCTGATTGTTTTGAGTTTATATTGGTTTTGTTTTTCTAGCTTCTCAATGTGGAAACTTATAATATTGATTTAAGATTTTTTCTTTTAAGATAAGCATTTAATAATATGTATTTTCCTCTATGCACTGCCTTAGCTGCATCCCACAAATTTTATATTGTATTTTTCATTCACTTCAAAGTATTTTCTAATTCCCCTTGAAACTTTCTTTTTGACATATAGATTATTATGTTGTTTAATTTCCAAGTGTTTGGGATTTTTCAGTTATCTTTTCATTATTGATTGCTAATTTAATTTTATTATGATCTGAGAACATACTTTGTATGATTTCAAGGCTATTGCACTTAGTAAGGTTTGTTTTATGACCTTGGATATAATCTATCATAGTGAATGTACAATGTGCATTTCAGAAGAATGTATATTCTGTTCTTGTTGGGTGGGCGTAGTGTTCTGTAAATGTCAATTGAATCCAGTTGGTAGATGAAATAGTTCAACTCTTTATATTTACTGATTTTATGTTGGCTTGTCCTATCTGTTACTAAGAAAGGAATGTTGAAATCTCTAACTATAGTTGTGGACTTGTCCAGTTCTTTCAATTCTAACAGGTTTTGCTGTGTGTATTTTGAAGCTCTTTTGTTAGGTGCATACACATCTAAAATTGTTATGTCTTCTTGGGGAATGGACTTTGTTTTTTTTGGAGACAGAGTCTCACTCTGTCACCCAGGCTGGAGTTCAGTGGCATGATCTCAGCTCACTGCAACCTCCGCCCCCTGGGTTCAAGCAATTCTCCTGACTCAGTCTCCCAAGTAGCTGGGATTACAGGTGCCTGCCACCACACCTGGCTAATTTTTGTATTTTTAGTAGAGATGGGGTTTCGCCATGTTGGCCAGGCTGGTCTCAAACTCCTGACCTCAGGTCACCCACCTGCATAGGCCTCCCAAAGTGCTGGGATTACAGGTGTGAGCCACCACACCTGGCTGACTCTTTTATTTTTTATTTTTATTTTATTTATTTATTTATTTGAGACAGAGTCCCACTCTGTTGCCCAGGCTGGAGTGCAGTGGTGCTATCTCAGCTCACTGCAACCTCTGCTTCTTGGGTTCAAGCAATTCTTCTGCCTCAGCCTCCTGAGTAGCTAGGATTACCTGCACACACCACTTCGCCTTGCTAATTTTTGTATTTTTAGTAGAGACAGGGTTTCACCATGTTGGCCAGACTGGTCTTGAACTCCTGACCTCAAGTGATCCACCCATCTTGGCCTCCCAAAGTGCTGGGATTACAGGTGTGAGCCACTGGGCCCCACTGGGCTGACTCTTTTATTATTATGTATTGCCTCTCTTTATCTCTGGAAATTATCTTTGCTCTGAAGTCTCTTTTGTCTAATATTAATATAGGCACTTCGACTTTCTTTTGATTAGCGCTTGCATGGTATATCTTTTCCCATTGTTTTATTTTTAACCTACTTGTATTATAAAATTGTAGATGGTAAATAGTTGGGTCTGTTTTTGTTTGCTTTAAAATCCACTCTGGGCCAGGTGCAGTGGCTCGTACCTGTAATCCCAGCACTTTGGGAGGCCAAGGTGGGTGGATCACTTGAGGTCGGGAGTTCGAGACCAACCTGACCAATGTGGAGAAACCCCGTCTCTACTAAAAATACAAGAATTAGCTGGGCGTGGTGGTGCATCCTGTAATCCCAGCTACTCGGGAGGCTGAGGCAGGAGAATCACTTGAACCTGGGAGGCGGAAGTTGTGGTGAGCAGAGATTGCGTCATTGCACTCCAGCCTGGGTAACAAGAGCAAAACTCTGTCTCAAAAAAAAAAAAAAAATCCAATCTGATAATCTCTTTTGGATCACTTTATTTCATGTAAATATCAATATGTTTGAAATTAGGTCTCCCTTTTTAGTATTTGGTTTCTGTTTGTTCTGTTTTTAAAATTCCTGTTTCCTCTTTCTTGCCTTCTTTTGGATTATTTGATTTTTTTTTTTTTTTGTATTTCATTTTAATTTATCTTTTTTTTTTTTTCTCCTTTGAGACAAGGTCTTACTCCCATTGCCCAGGCTGGAGTGCAGTGGCATGATCAAAGCTCACCACAGCCTCCACTTCCCAGGCTAAGGTGATTCACCCCCCTCAGCCTACTGAGCAGCTGGGACTACAGGCCCACACCACTACACTTGGCTAATGTTTAGTTTTTTTTTTTTTTTTTTTTTTTTTTGAGACAGAATCTTGCTCTGTTGCCCAGGCTGGAGTGCAGTGGCATGATCTCAGCTCACTGCAAGCTCCGCCTCCCGGGTTCATGCCATTCTCCTGCCTCAGCCTTACAAGTAGCTGGGACTACAGGCGCCCGCCACCACGCCCGGCCAATTTTTGTATTTTTATTAGAGACGGGGTTTCACCATTTTAGCTAGGATGGTCTCAATCTCCTGACCTCGTGATCCTCCTGCCTCAGCCTCCCAAAGTGCTGGGATTACAGGCGTAAGCCACCGCACCCGGCCAATAGTATTAGAGATGGGGTTTCACCATGTTGCCCAGGCTGGTCTGGAATTCCTGGGCTCAAACTACCCACCCGCCTTGGCCTACCAAAGTCCTGGGATTACAGGTATGAGCCACCGCACCTGGCTATCTGTTGAGTTTTAACCACATCTTCCATTGTATAGTTTAACTTTTTTTTTGGCTGGGTGGTGGTGGCTCACACCTGTAATCCCAGCATTTTGGGAGGCCAAGGCGGGTGGATCGCTTGAGGCCAGGAGTTTGAGACCAGCCTGGCCAACATAGCAAAACCCTGTCTCTACTAAAAAATACAAAAATTAGCCAGGCCTGGTAGCACGCGCCTGTAGTCCCAGCTACTCAGGAGGCTGAGGCATGAGAATCTCTTGAACTCAGGAGGCAGAGGTTTCGGTGAGCTGAGATCATGCCACTGCACTCCAGCCTGGGCAACAGAGTGAGACTCTGTCTCAAAAAAAAATTTTTTTTAAATAGATTGTTCTATAATATTATGATATATATACCTAATATTTCATAGTCTACTTAGAATTCATATTTTACCACTCCATGTGGAATGTAGGAACCTTACCACCACGTGGGTTTCTTTACCCTCCCCCTTTCTGCTTGTAGTTGTTAACTATATTATATTTACATACATCAAAAACTCTTTAAACCATGAGATAATTTTTTTTTTTTTTTTGAGACAGGCTCTTGCTCTGTCATCCAGGCTGGAGTGCAGTGGTGCAGTCATGACTCACTGCAGCCTCTACCTTTGAGGCTAAAGTGATCCTCCCATCTCAGCCTCCCAAGTAGCTGAGATTAACAGGTATGCACCACCAAACCCAGCTAATTAAAACAATTTTATTTTTGTAGAGACGGTCTCTCCATGTTGCCCAGGCTTGTCTCAAACTCCTAGGCTCAAGTGATTCTCAGCCTCCCAAAGTGCTGGGAATATAGGTGTGAGCCACCGCGCCTGGCCATGATATAATTTTTAAAATTTTATTTTTAATTATTACAGGTACATAGTAGTTGTATATATTTATGGAGTACTTTTTTTGTAGAGATAGGGTCTTGCTCTGTTGCCCAGGCTGAAGTGCAGTGGCACGATCACAACTCACTGCAGCCTTAAACTTCTGGGCTTCATTGATCCTCCTGCCTCAGCCTTCCAAGTACCTGGGACAATAGGCTCATGTTATCACACCAGGCTGGCTAATTTTTAACATTTTTTGTAGAGACACTGTGTCACTATGTTGTCCAGGCTGGTCTTGAACTCCTGGCCTCAGGTGATCCCCCTGCCTTGGCCTCCTAAGGTGCTGGGATTACAGGCATGAGCCACTGTGCCCAGCCTACATGTAACGTTTTCATACAGGCATACAATGTATAATGATCAAATCAGGGTAAATGGGGTATCCATCCTCTCAAGACTTTTTCATTCTTTTTGTTAGAAACTCCAATTTCACTCTTTTAGTTATTTAAGAATATACAATAAATTGTTAACTAGAGTCACCCCATTGCCCTATTGTGCTACCAAATACTTGATCTTATTCATTCTCTCCAACTGTATTTTTGTACCCATTAACCATCTCTGCTTTATCTCCCACTTCCCATTATCCTTTCATCCTCTATCTCCATTCACTCAGGTTTTTTGTTTTTTTTTTAACTTCTTATATATGAGAACATGTGGTATTTGTCTTTCTGTGCCTGGCTTATTTCACTTAACATGTTGTCTTCCAGTTTCATCCATGTTGTTGAAAATGACAAGATTTCTTCTTTTTTGGAGAAAGAGTCTTGCTCTGTCTCCCAGGCTGTAGTGCAGTGGCGCAATCTCTGCTCACTGCTACCTCCGCCTCCTGGGTCACGTGATTCTCCTGCCTCAGCCTCCTGAGTAGCTGGGATTACAGGAACCTGCCGCCACGCCTGGCTAATTTTTGTATTTTTAGTAGAGATGGGGTTTCACCATCTTGGCCAGGCTGGTGTTGAACTCCTGACCTCATGATCCACCCACCTCGGCCTCCCAAAGTGCTGGGATTGCAGGCATGGGCCACCACGCCTGGCCTAAGATTTCATTTTTTATTGCTAAATAATATTCAATTGTATATTTGTGCCACATTTTCTTTCTCTGTTGCCCAGGTTGGAGTGCTGTGGCATGATGTTGGTTTACTGCAACCTCTGCCTCCCAGGTTCAAGTGATTCTCTTGCCTTAGCCTCCTGAGTAGCTGGGATTACAGGCATGTGTCACCACACCCAGCTAATTTTTGTATTTTTAGTAGAGATGGGGTTTCACCATATTGGCCAGGCTGGTCTCAAACTCCTGACCTCAAGTGATCCTCCTTAACCTCCCAAAGTGCTGGGATTACAGGCATGAGCCACCATGCCCAGCCCACATTTTCTTTATCTATTTATCTGTTGATGGACATTTAATTTGCTTCCATATCTTGGCTATTGTGAGTAGTGCTGCAATAACCATGGGAATGCAGATATCTCTTCCATATACTGACTTCATGTCTTTTGGATAGATGCTCAGCAATAAGATTGCTGAATCATATGGTAGTTCTACTTTCAGTTTTTTGAGGAGCCTCCATACTATTCTCCAGGGTGGCTGTACTAGTTTATATTTCTACCAACAGTGTAGGAGGGTTCCCCTTTCTCCATGTCCTTGCCAGCATTCATTATTGCCTGTCTTTTGGATAAAAGCCATTTTAACTGGGGTGAGATGATATCTTACTGTAGTTCTGATTTGCATTTCTCTGATGATTAGTGATGTTGAGCATTTTTTCTTATGCCTGTTGGTCATACATTTGAGAAGTGTCTATTCATATCTTTAGCTCATTCTAAAATTGGATTGTTTTTCTCCAGTGGAGTTGTTTGAGCTCCTTATATAGTCTGGTTATTAATTCTTTTTCAGATGGGTAGTTCGCAAATATTTTCTCTCATTCTGTGGGTTGTTTCTTCACTTAGTTTCCTTTTCTCTTCATTGTTTCCTTTGCTGTGCAGAAACTTTAGCTTGATGTGATCCCACTTGTCCATTTTTGCTTTGGTTGCCTGTGCTTTTAAGGTCTCATGATGTAATTTTTCTTTCAATTGTCATACGCAGGGGCAGAGGGAAAGCTTCCCTTTTGTTCTCTCTAAAGATTTGCTAAAGGCTGTGCGCGGTGGCTCACGCCTGAAATCCTAGCTCCTAGCACTTTGGGAGGCTGAGGTGGGTGGATTACCTGAGCTCAGGAGTTAGAGACCAGCCTGAGCAACACGCGGAAACCCTGTCTCTACTAAAATACAAAAAATTAGCTGAGTGTGGCGGCATGCACCTGTAATCCCAGCTACTCAGGAGGCTGAGACAGGAGGATTGCTTGAACCTGGGAGGCAGAGGTTGCAGTGAGCCAGGATTGCCCAACTGCATTCCAGCCTGGGTGACAGAGCGAGACTCCATCTCAAAAAAAAAAAAAAAAAAAAAAAAAAAAGATTTGCTAAAATGACTGACAATACACAGATTAATAGGAGAAAAAGGCATATAAATTTATTAACATACAAAAACATGGGTACAATATTAAATATGAGACCCAAAGGGCCAGATGATTGAGGCTTATATATCTGCTTCATAGGGAAGAGGGAGATGGGGAAAATGCAGGGGTTGTTAATGATTTTTAGGGGAAATGAATGGGCCCAGGAGGCTCAGACATTATCTTGTAAATGATTCTCCTAGGAAACTAAACGACGCCAGCAAGTTACCGGAAGGTGAGGGGTGAAACTTAACCTGGTAGATAAAGCCTCCCAGGTTATCTCTTGGCACTGCCTCAGAGGACTAGATGAAGAGTCATCTGACTTTAGTCTCCATTCTTCTCTGGTGGTTAATCTTTTCTGATTATTTGATGAGATTCCTAGGAAGGGGATCTTAAGACAATTGCATTTCTTTTGGAAAGAAGTTTCCTTAGTCAGATAAGGAAATTCTAGGGGAAGTCTCTAGGGGGATAGAGACTCCAGAAGTCTCTAGAAGTCTCTAGGCGATAGAAACAGATGAGGCCAGAAAGGCCTTATTCTGAGGTAGCTTCTAAGTCCTTTCTATTTTAGTTCAAAGTGTTCAGCATACCAAAGCGCCATACTTTTGAGGTGTTGTTTTCTGAGCCCCAACATATACATATTATAAAGAATTTAAGATAAAAATAGTCTATTATATTTAACCAGATTTTTACCATTTTTGTTTCTCTGTCTTCATTCTTGATGTTCTAAATTTCTTTCAGGTATCCTCTTTCTTCCGTTTGAAGAACTTTCTTTAGTATTTATTTTACAACAAGTCTACTAATGACAAATTCTCTTGATTTTTCACTTGAGAACGCCTTTATTTCCCTCTCATTCTTGAAGAATATTTTCATTGGATATAGAATTCTTTTACAAAATTGTCACATAATATAAAATTCACCATTTTAACAATTTTAAAGTGTACAGTTCAGTGGTTTTTGGTATTTTCATAATGTTGTGCAACCATCACTATTATCTAATTCTAGAAGATTTCATCACCTGAAAACTCTGTACCCATGAAGCAGTCATTCCTGATATCCCCCCCGTCCCTAGCCCCAGCAACCCCTCAGCTGCTCTTCATTTCTATGGATTTGTTTATCCTGGATATTTCATTAAATGGAATAATACAATGTGTTGCCTTTTTTTCTCTGGCTTCTTTCACTTAGCATGTTCTTTTCTTTTCTTTTCTTTTTTTTTTTTTGGGAGAGAGTCTCACTCTGTCACCCAGGCTGGAGTGCAGTGGTGCAATCTCGCGTCACTGCAACCTCAACCTCCTGGGTTCAAGCAATTCTTCTGCCTCAGCATCCTGAGTAGCTGGGACTACAGGTATACATCGCCACGCCCAACTAATTTTTTTGTATTTTAGTAGAGACGGGGTTTCACCGTGTTGCCCAGGCTGGTCTCGAACTCCTGAGCTCAGGCAATCCGCCCACCTTGGCCTCCCAAAGTGCTAGGATTACAGGCGTGAGCCACTGCACCCGGCCAGGATGTTCCCCTCCCCTCCCCTTCCCTCCCCCTTCCCCTCCCCTCCCCTCCCCCTCTCCATTCCCCTCCCCTCCCCTCCCCTTCTCTCCTCTCCTGTCTTCTTTCTCTTTTCTGTTTTTTCTTTTCTTTCTGAGACAGGGTCTGCTCTGTCACCCAGGCTAGAGTGCAGTAGCGCGATCTCAGCTCTCTGCAGCCTCGACCTCCCAGGCTCAAGTGACCCGCCCACCTCGGCCTCTTAACATGCCGGGATTACGGACTAGAGCCACCCCACCCAGCCACTTAGCATGTTTTAAAAGTTCGTCAATTTTGGCATTTATCAGCATTTCATTTTTTATGATTGAATAATAGTCCATTGTAGAAATACACCATATTTTGTTTATCCATTCATCAGCTGATGGACATTTGAGTAGTTTCTTCCTTTTGGCTATTATAAATAATGCTGCTATGAGCAATCCTGTACAAGTTTTTGTTTGAACACCTGTTTTCAATTCTCTTGGTTGTATACCTGGGGTTGAATTGCTAGGTCATATTACGTTTAAATTTTCAAACATCCTATGTTTAACTTTTTGAGGAACTGCCAAACTGTTTTCTTTTTTCTTTTTTTTTTTTTTTTTGAGACAGAGTCTCGCTCTGTCACCCAGGCTGGAGTGCAGTGGCACGATCTCAGCTCACTGTAAGCTCTGCCTCCCGGGTTCACGCCATTCTCCTGCCTCAGCCTCCCAAGTAGCTGGGACTACAGGCGCCCGCCACCACTCCCAGCTAATATTTTTTTTTTGTATTTTTTAGTAGAAACGGGGTTTCACCGTATTAGCCAGGATGATCTCGATCTCCTGACCTCGTGATCTGCCTGCCTCGGCCTCCCAAAGTGCTGGGATTACAGGCGTGAGCCACCGCGCCCGGCCTAATAGATTTTCTTATGTCAAACATTCCATTTTTGAATTCCAGAAATTAAACACAACTAGGTCATGGTATATATATCTTTCCTTGAATATGCTAGTATTTCATTTGGAAGCTCTGCATCTATGATCATAAATGATATTGCTCTACTGTATTTTTTATTCTGTGCTTAGGAGGTTTTGATATTATAGTTAAGATCCTAATGAAGTGAGTTGAGTAGCTGTATTTCTTAGAGTAAAAGCTAAGCTCCTATAACAACAACAATAACAACAACAAAAACCCCAAATATGGTTGTTTAAATAAGATGGAAGTGTACTTCTTGCTCATAGTCTAGAAATGAATGGTGCAGGCTGGTGGGGCAATTCTGCTTGGTGTAGTCATTTGGAGACCTGAGGGTTTCCCATTTTGTTTCTCTGCCATCTCCTAAAGGTGTTTGTCTTCATCTACACGGCGATACAAGTTCAGCTCTGTATGTGTGCGGCCCTTAGGAAAGGGAGAATAGGAAAGAGGAGGGTGAGCAATTTCCTTTGAAACAAATGTTGTCCCCTTGATTCATATGTTCAAGTTTTAACTCCCAGTAACTCAGGATGTGACCTTATTTGAAAATAGGGTCATTACAGATATAATTAAAGTGATATTGGAGTAGGGTGGGCCTCTAATCCAATGTGACTGGTGTCCTTATAAAAAGAGGCAATTTGGGCCAGGCACAGTGGCTCATACCTGTAATCCCAGCACTTTGCCAGGCCAAGGAGGGAGGATCACTTGCAGCCAGAAGTTGGAGACCAGCCTGGGCAACAGAACAAGATCCCATCTTTACTAACAATAAAAATTAAAAAAAAAAATTAGCTGGGTGTGGTGGCACATGCCTGTAGGTCCCAGCTACTTGGGAGGCTGAGGTGGGAGAATCCCTTTAGCCTGGGAGGTTGAGGCTGCAGTGAACCATGATGGTACTACTGCACTCCAGCCTGGGTGACAGAGTGAGACCCCATCTCAAATTAAAAAAAAAAAAGAGGGGTGGGGGGATTTGGACACACCTGAGGGAGAACTCCATGTGAACATGAAGGCAGAGAGACACCAAGGAATGCCACAGATTGCCAGCGCACCACCTGAAGCTAGGACACAGGGTGGAACAGACTTCCCCTCACAATCATCAGAAGGAACCAACCCTACTGACAACTTGATCTTGGACTTACAGCCTCCAGAACTGTGAGGGAGTACATTTCTGTTGTTAATCCCCCAGTTTGTGACACTTTTTTACAGGAACCCTAGGAATCGCCATTTCTCCATAGCAAGTAATGGAGAAATGGCACCATTATTTGCTCATCATCAAAGGTGAGCATTTAGTCAGACACTCCTCAGTTGCAAGGAAGGTTGGAAGATGCAGGCCGTAACTGGGCTATTCTGTGCTCCACAGAAAATCTCACCAGAAGAAGAATTTAGGAGAACAAATGGCACAGGAACAGAAAACATTTTTTTTTTTTTTTTTTTGAGATGGAGTCTCGCTCTGTCGCCCAGGCTGGAGTGCAGTGGCGCAATCTCGGCTCATTGTAAGCTCCGCCTCCTGGGTTCACACCATTCTCTTGCCTCAGCCTCCCGAGTAGCTGGGACTACAGGCGCCCACCACCGCGCCCAGCTAATTTTTTTGTATTTTTAGTACAGACGGGGTTTCACCTTGGTCTTGATCTCCTGACCTCGTGATCCCCCCGCCTCTGCCTCCCAAAGTGCTGGGATTACAGGCGTGAGCCATTGCGCCCAGCCACATGTTTTTAAGAGTTTATTTGTGGCCGGGTGTTGTGGCTCACACCTGTAATCCCAGCACTTTGGGAAGCCAAGGCAGGTGGATCACCTGAGATCAGGAGTTTGAGACCAGTCTGACCAATATGATGAAGCCCCGTCTGTACTAAAAATACAAAAATTAGCTGGGCATGGTGGTGTGTGCCTGTAATCCCAGCTACTCAGGAGGCTGAGAAAGGAGAATGGCTTGAATTGGGGAGGTGGAGGTTGCAGTGAGCCAAGATTGCACCTCTGCACTCCAGCATGGGCGACAGAAGGAGACTCCATCTCAAAACAAACAAACAAACAAACAAATAGTTTATTTGTGCCTTAGTGGTTTAAGAAAATGAGTTTCTAAAACCATCTGGGACAGATATCATTTAGGGAAAGAGACTTTTTTTTTTTTGAGCGGGAGTCTTGCTCCGACTGGAGTACAGTGGCATGATCTTGGCTCACTGCAACCTCTGCCTCCCGGGTTCAAGTGATTCTCCTGTCTCAGCCTCCTGCATAGCTAGGATTACAGGTGCCCGCCACCATGCCCAGCTAATTTTTGTATTTTTAGTAGAGACAGGGTTTCACCATGTTGGCCAGGCTGGTCTGGAATTCCTGACCTCAGGTGATCCACCTGCCTTGGCCTCCCAGAGTGCTGGGATTACAGGTTTGAGCCACTGCACCCAGCATAGGGCAAGAGACTTTCGATTACTAGTTCAAAAATTTTGATGGTAATTGGTTTAGTTAGGCTTTCCATTTATTTTTGCATCATTTTAGCTATTTATGACTAGAAAATTATCCATTTTATCGGAAGTATTTAATACATAAAACTTTTCATAAAATTTTCAAATCTTCTGTGTAAGTGGAAACAGTAATTTTTTATTCCTGATATAGTTTGCTAATGCATCCTTTCCTTTTTTTTTTTTTTTTTTTTGAGATGGAGTCTTGCTCTGTTGCCCAGGCTGGAGTGCAATGGCGCTATCTCGGTTCATTGCAACTTCTGACCCCCGGGTTCAAGCGATTCTCCTGCCTCAGCCTCCTGAGTAGCTGGGACTACAGGCATGTGCCACCATGCCCAGCTAATTTTTGTATTTTTAGTAGAGGCGGGGTTTCACCATGTTGGCCAGGCTGTTCTCGAACTCTTGACCTCAGGTGATCTGCCCACCTCAGCCTCCCAAAGTACTGGGATTACAGGCATGACCATTATCCTTTCTATTGTTTGTTTTTTGTTTCATTAAGTTCTGATCTTATTTATTTTAGCTTTATCTTTATATGAAATCACACATACACATAAATTAAAGAGTTAAATTGGTCTATAAGACTTATTATGAAAAACAGCAGTCCCCTACTCCTTGCCTCACATTTCCCTTTCTTCAGAGGCAACCTTTTTCAGCTCATTGATTGATTGATTGAGATGGAGTTTTGCTATGTTGCCCAGGCTGGAGTGTAGTGGCTATTCACAGGCGTGATCATAGCTCCAGGCAGCCTAGAGCTCCTGGGCTCAAGTGATCCTCCCACCTCCTTTTTCAACTCTTTCAGCTAGTTTTTTTGGTGTTTACCTCTTTCTCTCTAAATAATATGCTTATATTCATTTTTCAACTATAGCTTTTACTTATGGTCTTCCCTCTATGGACAATAAAGCTTTGGCTCTCTTCCACCCCCTTCTCCACCACTACACATACACTATTTTGTCCCTTAATCCTTTCAATACTATAATTTTGATGAGATCAATATCAAATATTTATATTACTATGACTATTGTAACACTAGTCACAGCTGAGCCATATAGTATACTGTGATTATTTTTCCTTTTCTGCACAACCTTTTATTTTCCCTGGAGTTCATGATTGTCTTCCTTTTTCATTTGCTTCATTTTCTATATTCTTATTGCTAATTTAGTCCAAGTTATATAAACTTTTTTTTTTCTTTAATCACCCAGGCTGGAGTGTAGTGGCACGATTTTGGCTCACTGCAACCTCCGCCTCCCAGATTCAAGTGATTCTCCCATCTCAGCCTCCTGAGTAGCTGGGACTATAGGTGTGCACCACCACACCTGGCTAATTTTTGTATTTTTGGTAGAGATGGGGTTTCACCATGTCGCCCAGACTGGTCTTGAACTCCTGATCTCAGGTGATGTGCCCGCCTCAGCCTCTCAAAGTGCTGGGATTACAGGTGTGAGCCACCATGCCTGTCGATGTATAAACCTTCTTTCAGTGCATCCAAACATTAAGTAGTTTATCACTTGTTTTTCTTTTCTTTTCTTTTTTTTTTTTTTGAGACAGAGTCTCACTCTGTTGCCCAGGCTGGAGTGCAGTGGCATGGTCTCGGCTCACTGCAAACTCCGCCTCCTGGGTTCAAGTGATTCTCCTGCCTCAGCCTCCTGAGTAGCTGGGACTACAGGCGTGTGCCACCATGCCCAGCTAATTTTTGTATTTTTAGTAGAGACAGGGTTTCACCACGTTGGCCAGGCTGGTCTGGAACTCCTGACCTCAGGTGATCCACCCGCCTCCACCTCCCAAAGTGCTGGGATTACAGGCATGAGCCACCATGCCCGGCCAGTTTATCACTTTTATCTTCTTGAGGAAATCTTTCCTGGAGCATTCTGATCTGCTGCAATCTGGACTGGTTGCCTTCCACACTTATTCACAGCTCTTATCTTGGTGTCCCCTTTCATCATTGTCCCAGGGATTCCCTTCCTCTCTTTCCAGGTTTGGTTTTGTATTCCATAGCTTCCTCTTTTTGTTTTCTTATTTTTGGTAAAACACATCCTTCAGTCGCTTCCTGAGAGAAGGTACTAAGGAAATACTTCACAAAAATTATCTGTATATGTAAAAATATTTTTTCTCTATCTTTACATGTGATTGCAACTTTAAGTGTGAAATTTTATGTTAGAAATAATTTTTCCTTTAGAATTTAAAGGGCATTGCTTCATTACTTTCTAGATTCTATTTTTGCTTTTGAGTGGTCTGAATGAATTCTGATTCTTGATAACTGAGTATACAACTGTTTGTCCCCATCTCTGGATGCTTATAGGATCTTCTTTTTATCCCTAATGTTCTGAAATTTCATTATAATGTGCTTTGTCATGGATCCATTTTCATCCTTTGTGCTGTGCGCTAGGTGGGCTCTTTTGATTGACAAACATCTGTCCTTTTGTTCTGGGAACACTTTTTGAATTTTTTTTTTTTTTTTTTTTTTTTTTTTTGAGACAGAGTCTCCCTCTGTAGCCCAGGCTGGAGTGCAGTGGCACAATCTCGGCTCACTGCAAGCTCCACCTCCCGGGTTCACGCCATTCTCCTGCCTCAGCCTCCCGAGTAGCTGGGACTACAGGCGCCCGCCACCATGCCCGGCTAATTTTTTGTATTTTTAATAGAGACTGGGTTTCGCCGTGTTAGCCAGGATTGTCTCGATCTCCTGACCTTATGATCTCCCCACCTCGGCCTCCCAAAGTGCTGGGATTACAGGCATGAGCCACCATGCCCGGCCTTGAATTTTTTTTTTGCTGAATTCCTTCTCTCAGTTTTCCTCCAAGTTCTGTTTCTAGAACTCCTATTTGAATATTGGGCTTCCTGAACTTGTTCTCTAATACTGTGATCTTTTCTTCCTGTTTTACAACTCTTTATTTTTTGGGTCCATTTTATGTGGAAGGGTAGTATAGCTTCAAATACAGCCATTTGCTTTTATCAGTAAAGAACACAGAAACTACTCTAGGGCCAGGCACTGTGGCTCACGCCTGTAATCCCAGCACTTTGGGAGGCCGAGGCAGGTGGATCACGAGGTCAGGAGATTGAGACCATCCTGGCTAACACGGTGAAACCCCATCTCTACTAAAAATACAAAAAATTAGCCAGGCCTGGTGGCAGGCACCTGTAGTCCTAGCTACTCGGGAGGCTGAGACAGGAGAATGGTGTGAACGCAGGAGGCGGAGCTTGCAGTGAGCCAAGATCACGCCACTGCACTCCAGCCTGGGCGACAGAGCCAGACTCCGTCTCAAAAAAAAAAAAGAAAAAGAAAAAGAAAAAAGAAACTATTCTAGGTATTTCAAGCAGAAAGGGATCAAATATAGGGAATTGGGTGCTAACAAAAAGAAAATCAGGGGATGCATGTAACTTTCAGATTGACCACTGTAGCTATAGTCCAGAGAGTCTAGAAGTTGCTGTTATCATCTATTAATAGATGTCAGAGAACTGGAGGAAATCTCTGCTGGTATCACACTTATCCTGCATCCCTGGGGTCCATGGGTGGCAGGGGAATGGAGTCTAGCCAGACTCTACATAAACTATGTCTGACCGAGTCTAGACACCCACTGCCTCTGCTGGAGGAAGAAAATGACTCATCTCCAATCTCCCTTCCAAATCTCTGGTACAAAGTTTAGAAGAGGGTAGCAAGACGCTAATAGAAACAGAAACAAAAAATAAAAATAAATACACAAAGCTAGCTTCTCTACTGTCCTCTTCTAGATCTCTCTTAGGCTAGAGTCTCTTAATCTACTTATGTCTTGTCTTTCATATTTTTCCTTCTTTTCCTCTTTGTATTTCATTTTGGATAAATTTTTCCATACTATCCCCCATTTCATCATTTTTTCTCTGACTACACTCAGTCTAGAGTTTAACCTGAATATTGAGGCTTAAACAATTCAATGGCTATTTTTTGTGTCTAAGATTTCCAGTTTGTTCGTTTTCCTTGAGTTTTTTTTTTTTTTTTTTTGACAGAGTCTCACTCTGTCACCCAGGCTAGAGTGCAGTGGTGTGATCTCGGCTCACTGCAACCTCCACCTCCCAGGTTCAAGCAATTCTCCTGCCTCAGCCTCCTGAGTAGCTAGGATTACAGGCATGCGCCACCACGCCTGGCTAATTTTGTATTTTTAGAAGAGACAGTGTTTCACCATGTTAGCCAGGGTGGTCTCAAACTCCTGACCTCAGGTGATCCACCTGCCTTGGCCTCCCAAAGTGCTGGGATTACAGGCATGAGCCATCGTGCCCAGGCTTTTCCTAATCTTTTTTTTTTTTTTTTTTTTTTTTGAGACAGAGTTCACTCTTGTTGCCCAGGCTAGAGTGCAATGGCATGATCTCGGCTCACTGCAACCTCCACCTCCCAGGTTCAAGTGCTTCTCCTGCCTCAGCCTCCTGAGTAGCTGGGATTACAGGCATGTGCCACCATGCCTGGCTAATTTTGTATTTTTAGTAGAGACAGGGTTTCTCCATATTGGTCAGGCTGGTCTCGAACTCCCAACCTCAGGTGATCTGCCTGCCTTGGCCTCCCAAAGTGCTGGGATTACAGGTGTGAGCCACCGCGCCTGGCCTTCCTAATCTTTTTTATTCCCACTTCTTCTTGTTCCATTCCTATTTTCATCTAATATTTATTGCTTATTTTTAATATGTTTTTATGATTTCTTTGAGAAATGTAAATGTATATATACTTCAAAACCTATCCTCTATGAAACTGATAGATTTTAGTACTAGTCTATAAAATTGGTAGATTTTTATGACTTCTGCTCTATAAAACTGATGTCAACTGGAATGAATTAATGTTGTTTATTGATTTTACTGTCTTTCTTAGCATTAGACTTTTTCATTGTTAAAATGTGTTTTGGAATTTTGATTTGCAGATCCATTTCTAGTGGCAGTTTTCCCCCTTTGATTTGTTTTGTTTTTGTCTTTTTTTCTTCTCTTCCTGAATGCACAGTTTATAGTTTTGTGGTTGCCTCCACCCATTTTCCTAAGCCGCTGTTCCAGCGCCAGCTCTTACGTGTTATTTCATGGTTCCTTATTCTGTGCCAGAATGATGCCAATCCAGATGAGGAGCTGTGGGTGGCTTGGCATGGGTCCTCACTTTGAGGCTGTGCTCTATTTCCACCCCACTTTACCTCACCCTACCCTGGTCTCCAGCATCTAAAAGTAGGGTCTTCCTCTGGGCTTTCTCCCAGGACAAAGTTTTTCAAGTAAACATTTCTATTGAAATATAACAGATATACAGAAACGCACATGAATCGTAAAGGGGCACCTCAATGAGTTTTCACAAAGTGAATGCTCCTGTGTAATAAACCCCCAGAGCACAAAAAGAACATTCTTGGCCTCCAGAAGACCCCTGGTGTTCATCTTAGTCACTGCCCTTTCTAAGGTAACTGGGCTCCTGGCTTCTCTAAAACCCTTTGGGACTCAGAGCCCAGCAGCATGTCAGTCACAGCCCCATTTAGTGATTTTGGGCTCTGTTCTTGCTTCTGGTTCACAGAAAGCTTGCCTTGTTTTTCAGCCCAACTGTGTGTGTTGGGTTATATGCGAAAATGTTTTATTTACTGCTGGTTTGTGGTTGGAACAGAGAACTCACCGCTCCATCTTGACTGGAAGTCCAGCAGAACCTGTTTATGGGACAGTCACTAGTTCTGACCGGAGACCAGGGAAATGGTAGCAGATGCGCTGGGTTCAGCGGATGAAAAGCCTTTGTATGCTCACTAATAAATTCAGATGTTGTCCTCCAGTTAGTGAATGGATGATGAAAGACTGCATGCAGGAAAATGAGATGCTTTGGGATGTGTACATTTTAGAATTATTTCTCTGGCTAAACCAGGGAGGATGGAATGAAGGAGAGCCACACACAAACAGTTTTACCAGCTGGGAGGGAATTTCTGTAATTCGGGTGAGGCGTGCCCAGGGTCCATGAGGGCAGTGGTTGTGGGGGTGGCAAGATTATAAAAATGAATTTGCCGGGTGTAATGGCTCACACCTGTAGTCCCAGCACTTTGGGAGGCCAAGGTGGGTGGATCACCTCAGGTTGGGAATTCAAGACCAGCCTGACCAACATGGAGAAACCCCATCTCTACTAAAAATACAACATTAGCCAGGCGTAGTGGCGCATGCCTGTAATCCCAGCTACTCAGGAAAGCTGAGGCAGGAGAATGGCTTGAACCTGGGAGGCGGAGGTTGCAGGGAGCTGAGATCGTGCCATTGCACTTCAGCCTGGGCAACAAGAGTAAAAACTCTGTTTCAAAAAGAAAAAAGAATGAATTTGGGAGATAAATAGGAGGTGATTGATTGGACGGATGTCAAGGATGACTTTTAGTTTCTGAAAACTGGTAAAAGGTGGTGCAATTTATAGGACTTAAGGAATGCTGGGGATGGAGCAGGTTTCTGGGCATTTATTTCATTTGCCAGTTTTGTTAGTGGTTGGCTCTGCATGTCTTCTCCCAAGCTTCTGGTCCCATGACTCATCTGACAGATGGCGTTTGTTGAGTCCCTGCTGGTGAGGGCTGGAGCCTGGGGAGATAAGGATGTGGAGGGACATAACTAGGAGACAGGGCCACCTTCAGGCTGGGGCTCTTTGCAGTGGGCATTTATCAGCGTACAGGAAATGCCTGTGCTCAGATTTCCTGCCCACAAGGTGCGGGGGTGCGAGATGCATGTGAAGCTTGGGCCCCTTTGTGGAAATGAGGGAGAGGGAAGCAGAGAGTCAAGTGCATGAGAAGTAAATAGAGACCCTGAGAAAGAAAGGCAGACCTAGGGGAAAGGAACTCCAGTTTTTCCTTTCTTCTGGTTGGTCAGAGTTCAGTCCTTTGCCCCCACCCTAACACCTTCTGCTTCTAAAGGTCCTTCATTACTTGGGACCCAGCTTCCTACTGCAGCTCTTCCCCAACCACCTCTACAGAAGGGGTAGAGAATTCAGTGGCTCGATACAAATGTATCTTGGCATCTTGTAGTCAGGAGGACAAATTTTGCCTTCTCTGTGATCCTGCAGAAGGCATCCCAGGAGGTCTATGATGTTTCCGCCTTCTGATCCTTCTTTCTCTCCACGTACCCCTTAACCTCTTCCCATCATCAAGCCCTCTTTAGCTTGCCTGGGAGCCAGGCTGGGTGTTGCAATCCTCCTGGGCCAGGCTGTTAACTGAGTAGCAATCTGAGCAGGTTCTAGAAGCGCGTCCCTGGAGTCTAGGGTTTCCAAGGAGTCAGCTCAGAACCTAGAAGTTCACTCTATGGAGGGTCAAGGTACAGAAACCTGAGAATGAGGAATAAGCTGAAATCTATCACTGCATCTCCCTAGGCCTCAGAAACAGGTGGGTCCTGCTGCTGTGGTCTTCCTCACACTCATTCTTATTGCTGCTTATTTTAGGCAGAAACAATAGTAGGATGCTATGACCTGTGAAATCATAATCCAACCCTTACATTCCGTAGATGAGGCCCAGGGAGGTTAAACTGATTTTTCCACCTCAATCCAGGAACTTTCTACTTTGTTATTCCTTCCCCACCCCCACCCTTGGCTCCCAAAGGGCTTTAGGGTCAACTTAGTGAGCTCTAGGGTGCCATTGCCAATCCAGATATTGACGGTCGGCCCCATGGGCAGCGCAGGGTCCGAGTCTGGGGTTTGATCAGAGTCTTAAGTTCAGCGGGTCTCTCCCCTGCAGGCCCCTGCACCTGGGGTTGGGAGAATGAATAAGGACCTTGTCTGGTAGGAATTTCTTTCCTCTGCTGTTTGCTTTGGGTTTTTTCCCTCTCCATTCCTGGCGGCTAACCCAATATTTGGCTTTCTAAATTTCTAAATTTCTGTGAGCACTAAATATATTTCTTCATTTAACCCCGAGAATCATGGTTTCCTACCTGCTTCCCACGACCGGATCCACAGCCTGGAATGAAAACAGAACCCCGAGGGCATCGGCAGCTCAGGGCTGAGGGGGTGGTGGTTCCGGGGAGGGGGAGGAGCAGAGCCAGGGAGGGAGGGTGCACTCACCCACGCTGGGCATCTCAGACATCCTGAGAAAGCAGGAACAGAGGGAGGGGGGAGACGCTTTGGCTTCTCTCCCAACTCCCCGCAGCCGGGGCCCTGCTCCTCCCCTCCCTATCTAAAAGGGGGCCTGGTCCCCACCCACGGCGCCTCTGCACAGCCCCAACATCCCAGGTGCAGGCCGTGAGCTAGACCTGGGGCGTGGTGAAAGCAAGCAAAACCTGCGCCTGAAGCCCGCTCCGCCACACCTTGCCCCCTGCAGACCCTTCTAGCTGGGCCGCGGCCCTCTTGCACGGACTCTTAGAGGGCTCCTCCACCGCCCTGCGCTCCCCACTGTAAATAGTCAAGGCCGCGGTATAGCTGAGCTAAATTGTCCTGGTAAATTGAACGGGGCAGTGGAAAATTCCCCTCCGGAGCCTCCCGGGGAGGAGCTCTAAGCAGCTGCTACCGAACCCCAGGGCTTGTTAGGCACCTGCCTTTCAGGTTCTCCACCCACTCAGCCCCCAGCTGGGGAGGAGGTGGCTGTTTCCTTCTCCTTCGGAGCAGGAAGGGAGAGGCAAGAGACCCTGCTCCCCAGCCCTGACCTGAGCTAATGTCTGCTAAAACATCTCCTCTTAAATCAGACTTGGTTTTCCAGATTTGGGAGCCGGTGGCAGTACATTCTGTCTCCGTCTGGCTGAGCAGGAAAACAGGAGACAGAGCTTCCTACCACCTGATTTACAGCCTTGGCGTGGTTTTGAGACACAAATCACCCGAGAGAGCGGCTCAGTTGTAGTTCTGCAGATGCGATCCGGTAGGATCACCTGGCAAGATCGCTTCCCGCCGGTGGGGAGGTCCACAGGGCCTGGGAAAAGGCCTCCTCCCAGACTGAAACGCCGCCCACTGCCCGCCCCCCGAATGTGTCTGGGACCCCACTGGGCCATGTTGGAGCCTGGGGGATGGACGATGTGGGGGATAGTAGGGCAGGCGGCAGTGGGTCCACAAGTCCTGATGACCAGCAGGGCCATTCCGACCTTCCTCGGTCCCCTCATTCCCTTCCTTGCCTGTACCTGCCTTTGTTTCTTCAACCTGAATCTGTCAAGCACTCCCCAAGCACCAGGCACTGTCGTAGCTGCCCTAGAAGGACACAAGAATACTAAGTCTCTGGCCCTGCACTTAGTTCCAGAGGAAGAGGAGATAGGAATGTAAATGCTTGCAACAAAAGGCTGAATGCAGTTAGTGTCATGACACAGGTATAGATAAGGTGTCCTGGGACTGTGAAGATCTCTCTCAGAGTCAGGGGAGGCTTCCGTGAGGAGGTGACGCTAATGTTCATCAGAACAGAAGACAGGAGATGCCCTGGCGACAGGGCTGACTTGGTTTCATGGGGATTCTCTGTTTTATCTCCATCTCCAGGGCACTTTATCCTTTTAAAATACTTTTTTTTTTTTTTTTTTTTTTGAGATGGAGTCTCGCTCTGTTGTCCAGGCTGGAGTGCAATGGCGCGATCTCAGCTCACTGCAACCTCTGCCTCCCGGGTTCAAGCGATTCTCCTGCCTCAGCCTCCTGAGTAGCTGAGACTACAGGTGCCTGGCACCACGCCCGGCTAATTTTTGTATTTTTGGTAGAGATGTGGTTTTGTCATGTTGGCCAAGCTGGTCTCAAACTCTTGATCTTGTGATCCGCCTGCCTCGGCCTCCTAAAGTGTTGGAATTACAGGCATGAGCCACCGTGCCTGGCCCCTTTTTACTCTTAGATTAGCCATACCCAGGTCTGAGGGTCTTGTCTGTCCTCCCTATACTGTGCTTTTTTTTTTTTCTTTTTTACATGGGGTCCTGCTATATTGCCCAGGCTGGTCTCAAACTCCTGGACTCAGGCAGTCCTCCTGCCTCAGCCTCCTGAGTAGCTGAGATGACAGGCGAGAACCACCACACCTTGCTTGTTTGCCCCTGTGTCAGAAGCCATGTGGTTTCTTTGAGGTTGGCATCAGGCCGCCATCAGCCCCTTTGCCCTGCCCCCACTACCAATGCTTGGGCTCAGCTGTCCCATTAAAGCGAGGTATGCTGTGGGCCTCAGTTCAACTCCCAGCTCTTGTGAGAGGGCCACAGGGCTCTTTGGATTAGGCTGCCATGAATTTGGTTGATCCAAAAGATGAGGTTTGGGGGACCCCTTATCTGCTTCCTACTCCTAGCACTGTGTGCTCGTTCTCTGCTCAGGGTGGTCTGCCGTGTGATGGACGCCTTGTTTGCACCCACTCCTTCCATCCGGACCATAAGAAGAATTCTCCTCTGCTTTCCACGGGACACAGTGTGGGCATGGCTTCACTCCACTCCAGTAGAGGGCTGATACTCAGTACAGGGCTGATGACGCCCCAGCATGGATCTGGGTGCTGGGCACACTGTGATACAGTGGAGGATCTCCCTGTCCTCAGGTGCTCCCAGCCCACTGACACTTGTGAATTAGCTTTGCACTCACAATTGTCTTCCCTCCCCACAGGGCAAGGAGGTGGGTCAGTGAGGTGCTATTGCGATTCCCAGTATGGAGACAGGTGGCCCGAAGCTCAGCATCTTAGTGGTTTGCCCACATTCTTGCCATCATCTGGTGGGACTTAGGTTCAAGTCTTACTTTTGCCACCGTGACATTGGACAATTTTCTCCTCCATGAAAGACCAACCTCAGTGTGTTACTATCAGATCAACTGTGTAACATAGCATATGTCTGGCACATAGAGGGCATGGTACAAGGTCAGTTTTCCTTCCTTTCTTCTTCTTCTTCTTCTTCTTCTTCTTCTTCTTCTTCTTCTTCTTCTTCTTCTTCTTCTTCTTCTTCTTCTTCTCCTCCTCCTCCTCCTCCTCCTCCTCTTCCTCCTCTTCTTCTTCTTCTTCTTCTTCCTCTTCTTCTTCCTCTTCTTCTTCCTCTTCTTCTTCCTCTTCTTCTTCTTCCTCTTCCTCTTCCTCTTCCTCTTCCTCTTCCTCTTCCTCTTCTTCTTCTTCTTCTTCTTCTTCTTCATTTTTGAGACTGAGTCTTGCTGTGTTGCCCAGGCTGTAGTGCAGTGGCGCAATCTCAGCTCACGGCAATCTCCGCCTCCCAGGTTCAAGCAATTCTCCTGCCTCAGCCTCCCGAGTTGCTGGGCTTACAGGCGAGTGCCACCACACCTGGCTAATTTTTGTATTTTTAGTTGAGACGGAGTTTCACCATGTTGGCCAGGCTGGTCCTGAACTCCTGACCTCAGGTGATCCGCCTTCCTCGGCCTCCCGAAGTGCTGGGATTGCATCGTTCATTCATTCTAGAGACAGGGTCTCACTTGGTTGCCCAGGCTGGAATGCAGTGGCACAATCATAGCTCACCACAGCCTCCAACTTCTGGGCTCAATTGATCCTCCTGCCTTGGCCTCCTGAGTAGCTAGGACTGCAGGTATGTACCACCATGCCTAGCTAGTTTTTAATTTTTTTGTAGAGACGAGGTCTCACTCTGTTACCCATGCCGGTCTTGAACTCCTGGACTCAAGGGATTTTCCTGCCTTGCTGCCTTGGCCTCCCAAAATGCTGGGATTACAGGTGTGAGCCACTGCACCCAGCCTGGTTTTCCTTTGCTTGGGTATGGTAGCACATCCTATGTCTATGTAAATGTCCCCAAACATTGATTGAGGTGAAAATTTCTGCTTCCACCCCTCTCCTTTTGCCTTGATTATGAGGGTGAGAGGGGAGCGGTAGGGGTGGGGGAGGAAGAGGGTGCAGCCGCAGGGTAGGAGAAACATCTGGGGCTTTACTAACACAGGAACTCCGTCCTGGCTCATCCCAGTGGGCGGAGGTCAGGCAAGTTGGTATCCTGCCCCGCCTGCTGGCGGAGGCAGCTTATGGATTTGGTGACAGATTCCTCCCAAGAGATGAATGCAGCAATTGTATGCTTGGTGTAGAAAAGATTCCAGATAGAGGAGATGTTTTCAATGGCAATAACCCTGAGATAGAGTATTTTCACTGAGTCAACAAACAGAGGTATCAGCGCCGGCTCCCTTTGATGGTCCTGTGAGCGCTTGTAAGCCTCCAAAGCTGTTCTTGGCACAGAGGGACCATGTCTAAAAGCTTCCATTCTCCTCTTCATTGGAATCACCCCTCCTGCCTCCTGGAGGGATTCCTAACTCACATTCTTGGACAACAAAGGCAGTTAACGGAATCCTGGTGGGTAAGGTCCCAAAGCAGGGAGATAATTTTCACATAGCTCCACGGATGCCTCCCCCAGGCTCTGCAGTGGTTTTCAAAAACATCTGATGACCAGATTAAAAGGGGTCTCTGAGGAGTTTAAGGGGTTTCATAGGGAGAAAGGCCCTCCTCACCTGGTTGTCAGAGTTTAAGAGGATCGCTAAGCACTTTTGGTCTGCAGAGATGGACTTGCAAATGTTTGCTTGGTGGCTGTTGGAAGGCGGAGGCAGGGCGGGTCAGGGAGGGGGTGGAGGGCCCAGAGAAGTCTTGTCTAGGGTTGTTCACAATGATGGGTGGCCGCACGCCAAGGTTTTATTTGATGCTGTTGATCACTAAATGTGAACAAGCAGTAACCACTGGGCATTGTGGCTCACGCCTGTAATTCCAGCACTTTGGGAGGCCAAGGTGGGAGGATCACTAGAGCCCAGGAGTTCAAGACCAGGCTGGGAAACACAGGGAGACCCCATGTCTTCAAAACATAAAAAAATTAGCCAGGCATGGTGGTGCACACCTGTAGTCCCAAGCTACTCGGGAAGCTGAGGCAGGAGGACTGCTTGAGCCCAGCGGAGTTGAGCTGCAGTGAGCCAAAATGGTGTCACTCCAGCCTGGGTGACACAGCAAGACCCTGTCTCTAAAAAAGAAAAAGCAATGACTGTGAAGCAGTCTGGCCAGCCAGAATGTGATGGGGTGGGAGTTGAGGGTGAGATTTGGAAATTGGAAGCGGGGACGGTGCTGGCCTGGAAACATCTGGGGAGAAAATTACCCTGTCTTTTAGAAGCATCTTCCATCCTGCCTTAGAATTTTTTTTTTGGGGGGGGGTGCACAAAGTGAGTTTTATTTTTCATAATCATAGAAATAATTTTTAGAATATCCCAGGGCACACTGGAGAATTTGGCAGTCTGACTGGGGGGTCCCGTCAGACACCCACAGGCTGGTACATGGGTGCAGGGTACCTGGGTTCACGGTGTGGCTTGTGGCTCAGGCGCATCTTGTGGGTGGCTCTTCCTCCACATCAGCACTGCAGGCTCGAGGAGGACAGGGGGTACCTTCCAGGCTCTTAGGAAGTTTCACTCTACTTCCGCTCAGTGGTCTCTGGTCGGCCGAGTGTTCTCCTGAGTCTCTCTTTTCTTCAGCTTGACCTTACCAAAGCCAGCGATTTCCCCTATGTCCAGTTTGTCATTTTGTTTGTTTGTTTATTATTTATTTGAGGCAAAATCTTGCTCTGTCATCCACGCTGGAGTGCAGAGGTGTGATCATAGCTCACTGCAGTCTCCAATGCCTGGGCTCAAGTGACCCTCCTGCCTCAGCCTCCCAAGTAGCCGGGATTATAAGCATGCACCGCCATGCCTAGTTAATGTTTTAATTTTTGGTATTGACGGGGTCTTATTATGTTGCCCAGGCTGGTCTTGAACTCCTGACCTCAAGCAATCCTCCCGCCTCTGCTTCCCAAAGCATTGGGATTACAGGCATGAGCTACTGAGCTTGGCCTGCTATGTTCTCAAAACAATCCATGGAGCCCGCTCTGTGCCCTGGCTCTGGGTGCTCCCACTGGTTCGGCTGCAGTAGGAGACCGCCTTAGCGGGTAACCCAACCCTGGATTTTCTGGTACTATCAGAGCCGGCTCAGGGAACCCACCGTCAGCCCCCAGGCTCTCTCCGGCCTGTGGTTGGTGTCCCCAGGCCGGTGTCCCCAGGCCAGTGTCCTCTTGGTGACACCACAGTCAGGCAGGGCAACATGGCAGCTCCCAGGGGTAGGGGAGCGAGGTCAGAAACAGAAGCTGTAATTAAATCTTTTTTTACCCACCCTCATCCCCAGCAGGAAGTTATTCTTGGTGCTCAGCGAGGGGGAAGGAGGGGCGGGATGTGAGCAAAACGGCTGCTTTTGACCTCATGGCCTTCCTGGCGATTGGGTGGAGAGGTTTTTAAAGATCGAGGAAGAGATTTCCTTGAGCATCTTCTGAAAATAGAGACTGGGGCCTCTAGTTTGGCTCTTTCTGGACTCGACTTCTACTTTTTGGACAGAGAGAAGGCCAAAGCCCCAGCCTGGGCACTCGATGCCTAATCCCGTCGGCTGCAGCTTCCCTGGTGCCTTCCCTTGGACATGGGTTGGGCTTGGACGGGGACAGTGTACTGGGGAGACGAGTGGGGCAATTCCCCCTAGGTGGGTGGAGGCAGAGGTGGCTGTGGCCAGCGAGCAGCTTGCGTTTTCCAAATTGGTGGCTTTTGTTTGGGCAGAGCAGGCCTTGAAAACCCGCTCCAGCATCAGCACCTCCTCCTCCTCTTCCCCTGGGGTCAGACAAGGGCCCAGGACCCAGGCCTGCAGACGCTGAGTGGGAAGGCAGAGGCAGAGCATTAGCAGCATCACCAGCACTTCCTTCCGGGCTTTTCTTCCAGGGGCCCTTGGGAGGAGCCCCGTTCCTCCTCCCGCATCCCCCTGTGCATTCTCCGCTCTATCAATTCCTCAGCCCTCTCCTCTTCCCCCCAAAACTAGAGCCAGGGCCAAGGAAGTGTAGCCAAGAGGATGACTTGGTTTGGTCTCCTGTGGAAAAGATTCCAGCATCTCCCATTCAACAAAAGCCAAAGTCTACAAGAAATAGGACGTGAGGTTCCAGTTCTTGGAACAGGGACTGCAAACCCTTCACCTTCAAGAAGAAAAATTACCAGACATGAAGGGAGCTACCTCCAAGGCGAAGACTTAGGATCCCATTCTGCTCCAGCTACTCTTTGGGGCTGCATTCTCTTTCACTTGTATTTTTTAAAAAATAAAAATCCAGTCTCCATTTCATCAGGATCATCTGTCCCCTTCAGTTTCTTCGTTTTTAAGCTCCCACTCCCTACCACCTGTGGAGCCAGCTGGATACTGCAGCATTTCCCACACAAGTACCTGCAATTTCCTTCTCACAATTCGTAGGTGGTTCATAGGTGGTCACTCAGACTGTGGCAGTGCATTGTGACATCACTGGCACCTCAGAGGTGGATGAATGGCAGGGGGAGGGGAGGAGAGAAGAGAGTTCCGCAGGCCCTTCTCCTGGTGGATGGTGGCCATAGTGGATGGTGGCCTTCTTCTGGTGGATAGTGGCCTCCTCCTGGTGGATGGTGGCCTTCTTCTGGTGGATAGTGGCCTTCTCCTGGTGGATGGTGGCCACAGTGGATGGTAGCCTTCTCCTGGTGGATGGTGGCCACAGTGGATGGTGGCCTTCTACTGATGGATGGTGGCTGTGGCTGTCCAGGCCTGTTCTCACATCCATAGTGCCTCCCCTGTCACCCTCTATATCAATCACTCCCCAGCCCTGCTCTCTTATCCTCTTTAGTATCTTGCTTTGTCCTCTTCTGACCGTTGCCTGCCCCCACCACCTTTGCCAAGGCCACCCAGACACCTGCCATCACCTTCCCATTGCTCTTCCCACCTGCTCTCTTGCTCCTTCACTACACCCCACACCGAGGCCACAGTGATTTTTCTAAACTTCACTGTGGCTGTGCCATCCCCTGCTCGAAGCCCTCCAGCAGTTTCCGCAGCCTTCAGGACTATGTCCAAGAGGCTCAGGGGGACTCTACTGAGAGCTGCTAGAATTTGGTCCCAGCTCACGGCTCTTCATCTTCTGCTGCCTCCAATTCTTGCACTAGATTCCTGCTTTTCTCCATCAGAATGTGCTGTCAAACTTGCCTCTGGATCTCTGCACAGGACCCTCCTGTTGCCAGGACACCCCTCCTTACCAATGTGTGTGGTGTGAGTGCATGCACTAGTACACATGCATGGTATCATACACATCCTGTCTAAAGCCCATGTGTGCATACATGTGTCCTATCTAAAGCCTATGCATGGATACATATGTCCTGTCTAAAGCCTATGCATGCATACATGTGTCCTATCTAAAGCCTCTGCATGTATACACGCACACACCCACATTCTAACTAAAACCCATGCATGTATACACGTACACCCATGTGTCCTAGCTAAAGCCTATGCATGCATACATGTGCACACACACATCTTATCTGAAGTCCATGCATGGTTTGATGCTCTTCAACGATTGCCAGTTTTCCAGGAAGAATTTCCTCATAGATCTCCCCCATCCCACCTTACACACACATTCAATGTTGTTGTTCCTTGGCCTCTCTATAGTTTTTGCTGCTGTTGTCTACTTCCTCTTTCTTGAGAACTCTCACCTGTGTTATTTTGTATTGTGATTGCCTCCCTCATGCCCAGTATTTCTGTCTTTTGGTAATAAGGTAACTCCTGTACCCTGCTTTTACTTGAGGAATCTACCCCTCTGTCTATGTGCTTTGTGGAAAATCAACTCTATCCTAAGCTCCAAGTCTGGGGAAAATGGCTTTGGCATAAGCAATAAAAGCCATAGAAATTGGTTCAGAGGTGAAGATGTTACCAAATTCAAGACAATCAGTTTGGGAAAAAAATTTATTTGCAGTTTCTAGGTAAGATGTTTCTTTGATGTACTGAGAGGTCTCTGGGTATGATGGCCTGTTCCCCCTGGATTTGGAGGGGGAAGTAAGAAACCTGGGCGTTTTGGCCACTGACATTATAATAAAGCTAATCCTGCAGAAGGCAGAGCTGAAGGACAGAGAGAAACTGGATCCTTGATGCCATTGGTAGAGCGGTTGAATCAAATTGAACCTGAAGCCAGATCTGGCCCTGTGTTTCCAGTCACATGTCCCTGTAAATCACTTTTACTATTTAGGTCAGTTTGAATTGGCTTTGTTGTTACACGCGGAAAAGTCCTAATGCACTCCCTCTTTTTCTGCCCTGATTTTTTCTTCTCTCTCTTATTGTTCCTTTCCCCTTCCCTTTCTGTTATATGAGGGTGTGCCTCTGTGACTTATCCTCATTGTCATTTACAAACTGAATGACCTCATTTATGACTGCAGTTTGCCATTGTCTTCCAAATCTGTAATGTTCAAGGTCTAGGCAGGAATACCTAACAGTTTTTTTTTTCTTCTCTTCTCTTCTTTCTTTTCCTTTCTTTTCTTTTCTTTCTTTCTTTCTTTTTTTTTTTTTTTTTTTTAGACAGGGTCTCACTTTGTCACTCAGCCTGGAGTACAGTGTTGTGATCATGGTTCACTGCAGCCTCAATCTCCTGGCCCACTTAAGCCTTCTGAGTAGCTGGTACCACAGGCGTGGGCCATTATGTCTAGCTAATTTTTTATTTTTTGTATAAGTGGGGTTTCACCATGTTGCCCAGGGTGGTCTCAAACTCCTGGGCTCAAGCAATCCTCCCACCTCTGCCTCCCAAAGTACTGGGATTACAGGGGTGAACCACCATGCCCAGCCCTCTAACAGCTTTCTAGCATCTCTTATTCGTCCCACAAAAAACCCCAAGAAACTCAGCAAGTTCAAAATTGAACAGTTTTATTATTCCCCGGGAACCTGCTCCTTGTCTTCCCTTCTCTGCCTTTGTGAACAGCTCGGCTGTCCTTCCTGCTGCTGGAGCCAGGTGCTGGGCATCATCCTCCTTCTTGCATGCCTTCCACACTCAGTCACCCCATCCTGTTGATGCCCCTTCCTGAACCCATCAGATCGGCCCCTCTGTCCCATCCCCACCTTCACTGCTTTGGTTCAGGTGCCCATCACCTCTCACTAGACAACGGCAGGTCCTCCAACATGGTGTCCTCCAGTCGCCCCCCCTCACCGTGGCCAGGCATTTTCCAACACGTACATCTGACCACTCACGGCCCCTGCCTGAAGCCCTTTGGTGGGTTCCCCTTTTCTTTCTGAGCTCCAGCTTCCAGAATCATCGCTGTGCCAGTTCTTCTAATCTTCTGGAAGGTTCTAGGTGTTGCTTCCAGGCCTTTGCCTTGCTGTCTCTCCTGTGTTTAGCCTTGCCCTCCTCCTCCCCATTCCCCTTTCTCCAGGTGAGCTCTTCCTGTCTCGAGGCCGGGGTGCTCCTCCTGTGTCCAAGGAGACTTCCATGCCGACTCCTCTCCTGGTTTACCCTGTGTTAGGTTTTGAGGCTGTGAGCTTTTTGAGGGTAAGGACAGAGACCCCCAGCCTCCCCCACGATGTCCCACCCTCAAAGTGCCAACTCTACCGCCTGCCACTGCAGCTGTGAGCTCAGGGAGGATAATGTGGCCCTTACCTCTGTACCTCAGTCCACAGCTCAGCACTTGGCCCATAGGAAGTGCTCACTAGACAGTCAGCGAAGTGAATGAAAGGACAAATGAAGGAATGAGTGGACTGGAGCTCGGGCCTGGGTGCTTCCCCCGGGAGCCCACTCCCTGCAGTGGCGACCTTGTCTGTGAGGGCAGCAGCCGGAGCTGAGCCTCCCCTGTAGGGAGAACACTGTAAAGTATCTAAGGCCTTCCTGGGGTGCTCCCCCATGCCTAGGGTCACTGCAGGTGATGATTCCAAGGAGTGACTCTCCTCTCCAGGTTGAGACGGGAGGGAGCGGCAGTGAGGACCCTGGAGGTCACCCCGGTAGCAGCTGCAGGTGTGAAGAGGAACCAGGAGTTATTGTCCTCACTACCAGGTTCACTAGGGGGAATTCTGGGGCAGTGAAGACCACTTTGATCCCTAGAATTCCCAGGAAAATGCTTTTTGCTGCCTTTGGGGCAGATACAGGGAAACTTCTAGGCTATTAGGGGTGCCAGGAAGGGGAGTAGAGACAGGCGCTTTAGAAGGAAAGAAGCTCTGTTTGTCCTCTCTGCCCCTCCCCTATTCAAGGGCCTGGCGCCGCCTCCCTCATGAGGCCTTCCCTGACCACCAGCTGCCCCCCACCGGCCCCCCACCGGCCCCCACCGCCTCACCCCGCCACCGTCACTCCCTTTGGTTTGGGGGAGTGGGCCACTCCCTTTCTCTTTTAGGCGGGTCTGGAGGCCTGCGTGCTTGAGGCTTCCACATGCTTATGGGTTCAAAGCGGGAATGTAGGCGTGGGGGAGCCTGGCTCTGATCAGCTGATCCCAGGGCAGCCACGGCTGGCAAGAGGGCACCAGTTTTGAATTATGAGTTCTGAATGATGATGGAAACGACTGATAATAACAACCACATGATGGGGACCCACTGTGATGCCTTAATCCTCTCTCCAGCAGGCCATCTTAATGAGGTTGCGTTCTGTGGGGCAGGCGGGATTTTCAATGAGTGTCTGAGAGCCCCCACCTCCAGCTCCTCCTCCCACTCCTGCAGTCGGACGTGGCAGGAGACTTCTCAGCATGGCCTCAGCCTCAGCCTCAGCCTCAGCGGCAGGGTACTCAGAGGGCCTGGGGGAGGGGAGGCAGGAGGCAGAGCTCTGACACTCCGCAGTAGTACCACCCTTCCCTGTGCTCCCACCCATCGTGCAGGGGAGGCCTTGCTTTCTGGTCACCAGGGAAGCGAGGAGGCATCGGCCCAGGACAGTAGAGAGCTGGGGCAGGAAGGAGCCTGGGAGAAGCAGAAGTCAATAAGCAGCAGATCAGGAGCCATGTGGAGCAGCCTCCGTCTGCCCGGCAGCCCAGATGTGGCTTCAGTGACTGCCCAGGGCCTCTCTCCACTCCGGTGGCTGCTGTGCTCCTGCCCAGGGCCCACGGGTGCAGTAGCTGTGTGTCATCCCTGCCCTTCCTCCTCTCCCTCCCTGTCTCCCTCCTCCCTGCCTCCTTCCTGCCTTCACCATCTCTAAGCACCTACCTTTATCTCCAAGGAAGAAAGCTCATAGAATGACTATTTCCAGGGACATTTGAATTTTATGAGTGCTTCTCAAGCCCCAAAGGCAAAGGGAATGAAATCATATTCGTGGAATCTGACAGGCTGTTTTGGAGGGGACTAGAAGACAGGAGGGCCTCCTAGGCTCCATTCTGAATAGACACACCTAGATCATCCCTCCCTCCCTCCTTCCTCGTTTCTCTTCCAGGGGTTTCCCTGGGCTAGGCCCTGGGCTTGACACTGGGATGCAAAGGGACTGAGTCCTGGCCTGAAGGAAGGCCTCGCTCCTGCCAACCCTGCAGAAAGTGCTGCTTTTCCCAGAGGAGAGAGCAGGGCTCCTGCTGGAGATGGCGTTGGGAGTGAATTCTCTACTCTCTCATGGTCTGTCTGATGAGCTCCCTCTGGAGTCGGTTCAGCCCTGGTGAACCGGGGGTTCCCAGTCCCAGTTTCCTTAGAGTCAGCTTTGTCAGGGCTCTGGCGACTGTGGAAGGATTTGTGGCTAGAGGCTGAGCCCAGGGCCTGGTGGACTGACCGAACCAGGGCCTGGTTTAAGTGTGGTCAGGCTCCTGTGCACGCTCAGAGCTGGGGACAGGGGGACCTCTGATGTCCTCCCTAAGACACAGTGAGACCCAGAACCTCTCAGCTCTGTGCTCCCCTGGCTTTGGTGACTTGGAAAAGGCTGGTGAGGGGTAAAAAACAGAGAGTTTGGTCTGGCCCCAGGCAGGTTCCCTGAGCAGCTGCAGGCTGTGGCTTCTTGTTCTCTGTGGGCCTGAATGCAGCCGGTGAAGTGAGCCCTCAATCCCAGGACAGCTCTGCCAGCGCTCACCAGCCCCTGCACACAGTCCCACAAGGAGATTCTGCTCTGTCCTCATCCTGTCTCTGAAGACCCTTCCTCTCTGTGGCCCACAGGACTGGCTACATAATTTGCTAAGCCCAGTACAAAATGAAAATGCAAGATTCCTTCTTAAAAAATTAAGAATCTCAAGATAGCAACAGCAGAACATTAAACCAAGTGTGGGGCCCTTCTGAATGCCACAGAGCCAGCTCTGGCTGCCCAATATTTACTTCTCAAAGGGAGACTGTGGAAACATCATGGGAACAACTCTAAATGGGAATTCTCAGGCCCTGGTGACAGGCGGCAGAGGAGTTAGGCCCACCTGATACTCTCAAATTGCACCCTGGGGACTAGGGACCACCCACACCAATTCCCACCGTAAAAGGTAGCTTCTTTTGCTTTTCCTCTTTCCTGTATTCTGCTGTGGGTATTATTCCTGTATTTCATGTCAGGGGTACAAGGAAGGAGGGTGTGTGTGTGTGTGTGTGTGTGTGTGTGTGTGTGTGTGTGTGTGTGTTGGAGAGAGAGGAGCAGGTGGAGGAGGAAGGATGGGATGGAGTTTGGTTTTCTATTAACCTCTGTCCCACTGCTGTTCCTTCGGGGTGTGTTGTGTGCAGTTCTTGTTGTTCCGGTGACCCACGGCTCCAGGTACAGTCTCTTTCCTGCTTTCTCCTCTCCACAGTGGACCCTGCTCATCCTCCCAGCTGCTTGGAAGGGAAGATAAACACTGCAGAGTGCAGGAGCGCTCATGCTGAGAGCAGAGAGAGAGGTTTAATGGGCTTGTTATCAGGCACCTGCTGAGCAGTCCTTCTCCCAAGAAGACAGGACTCAGAGATAAATGACCTGGCCTGAGCAGCCTCCTGGTGAGAAGAGAAATGCCTGGAACAGGAAGTGGTGAATCCATAGACCAGGCAGGTCATAGGGGCAGGCAAAGATTTGCGGGGAGAAAAGCAGCCCTCCTTCTGTACAGTTGTCAACCATCCAAGGTACCAATCAATCTAGAAATATTTGCTGCAGGTCTTCTGGGCTCCCAGTGTTGTAGAGAATGCAGAGAGGTACCCATCTGGTCCCTGCCTCCAATGAGCTCACCATCTAGTTGGGAGACCCGACCAGCCTCACCTCCTTGAGGATTGGGGCTGCGAGCTGTTCACCTGGCAGGGCCTGGCCCATGGAGGAGACTGAAGAAAAACTATCAACTGAATGAATTAAACTGAAACACTGGTAGCAAGGAGTAGAAACAATGACCTCTTCAGAGTTCAGACAAGGAGATTCAGAATGACAAAAGAGAGCATTCAGCTGATTGAAGGTGGGACACTGCAAAAAAAAAAAAAAAAAGCCAGGCATGGTGGTGGGCGCCTATAATCCCAGCTACTTGGGAGGCTGAGGCATGAGAATTGCTTGAACCCCAGAGGTGGAGGTTGCAGTGAGCTGAGAGCCAAGATCATGCCATTGCACTCCGGCCTGGGAGACAGAGTGAGACCTTGTTTCAAAACAAACAAACAAAAAAGAGGCCAGGCATGGTGGCTAACACCTGTAATCCTAGCACTTTGGGAGGCCAAGGTGGGCAGATGACTTGAGGTCAGCAGTTCGAGACCATCCTAGCCAACATGGTGAAACTCTGTCTCTCCCAAAAAATACAACAAACAAACAAACAAACAAAAAACCTGGAGGTGGTGGCATGTGTCTGTAATCCCAGCTACTCAGGAGGCTGAGGCATGAGCATTGCTTGAACCTAGGAGCCAGAGGTTGCAGTGAGCCGAGATCGTGCCACTGCACCCCAGCCTGGGTGACAGAGTGAGACCTTGTCTCAAAAAACAAACAACAAAAAAAGAAGAAAGTTGGACACTATTAAAGAGATAGGTTTCGAGTTGCATCTTGAGGATTTGGATTGTGAGGAGCTGGAGAAAGTGGGGTGTCAGGCAATGCAGGGTAGAGATTGAACGCTGACATGTTGGTGTTAGGATGACATGGTTTAACATGATGGCTGAACTTGGAATAGCTGTGTGGCTAGGTGTAAGTCACTTAATCTTTTGAAACTCCATTTTTCCATATGTAAGATGGGGATGAATAGTACCTACTTCATAGGATTGTTGTAAGGTTTACCTAAAATATCCCCTGCAGGGAAAACACAGTTTTGCTGAAAATCCAACTCATAAAAGGCAGATTACCTGGAGAAAAGGCATACAAATTTATTGGATGTGTATACAGGGGAGCTTTCAGAATGAAGACCCAAGGATACAGGGCTAATTGTCCATTTTTATGCTCAGGTTCAATAAAGTATGGACAGTGGTGCAGAAATATGATGGACAAAAAAAGGCTGATCTAATGCTGATAGATTAGTTATTATGAGTGGGAAAACCCAACAAAGCCTGTCTAGATTCTTCTTGGCCTCTCTGAGCAGCTTCCTTTCCATCTGTGTATGGAGCAGGACTTTCTCTAAAATGAAGGTCTTATGACCTACAGTCAAACAAGGTAGGTCAGATAATTTCTTTATGGCCAGTTTTTACATGGAAAGGTGAAGGGAAAGTTGGATTAATGTTTTTAGGTTTTATGGCTGGTTTTGGGGAAAAGAGGTTCTAGTTTCTATGACCTGCTCTAGTTTCTATGGCTAAGTTTGGGGGTAGAATGGACTAAGTAAGAGACAGGAGAGCAGGAGAAGATCAGAGAAAAATGTTTGCTTTTTAGGTCTTTATTTTGGGGTATTGTTTTCTGAGTCCCAACACCTCCATAAAGCACTTAGCATGGTGCCTGGCATATAGTAGATGCTCAATAAAGGGTGACATCTTTTATTATTAACTACCAAGACATAAAGCAGGAAAGCTCAATAGGTTTGAGTGAAAGACAATGGTTTCTGCTTCACTAGAGAAAAATGGAGTTCAGGAAAAAGAAGGCTTTACATTTTATGATGGGGCTAGACTTGTCTTGAATGCCAGGTTTGGAAAATGAGGTTTTGTGGAAGAGGAGATAACAAGACTTAAGTGACTCTTGGGGATCTTGGAGGGTTATTCCTTTTCTTGTAACTAGTTCTGTCAAGTCATTCTCACATTGATATTAGAATATATATAGTGTCCCTTTGTGTGCACTGTACACTTTCTTCCAATTTTTTAAATTTTCAAATGTCATGAATGTCATCTAAATTTGTAAATAACCAGGAAATATTTGGGCTGCAAGAGCAAAGGGAGTATTAGAAATGAAAAAAAAAAAGAAAAAGGCTGAGTGCAGTGGCTCATACCTGCAATCCCAGCACTTTGGGCAGCTGAGGTGGGCAGTTCACCTGAGGTCAGGAGTTCGAGACCAGCTTGGCCAACATGGTGAAATCCCATCTCTACTAAAAATACAAAAATTAGCTGGGTGCGGTGGCGCTTCCTGTAATCCCAGCTACTCAGGAGACTGAGGCGGAGAATCACTTGAACCCAGGAGGCGGAGGTTGCACAGTGAGCCGAGATTGCACCACTGTACTCCAGCCTGGGCGACAGAGCAAGACTCTGTCTCAAAAAAAAAAAGACCCTAGAAATTTTAAAAAATTATGTTGATTCAAGAGTTTGCCTGGATTTTGCTTGCAGTAAGGGATAAGAAAGTATGAAAAGGTGTGCTGTTCCCAATTCTGCTTCCCAGTGGGGGCTGCCTGGGGAGCCAGGAGGAGCTCCTTGCCATTCTCTGAGCTCTTTAGAGTTGTAATACTCAAGAAAGGTATTTCTTTATACAGGACCTTCACAACAGGCCTCCTTTCTAGAAGGTGGCCTAGAAATAGACATTAAAATGTAAAATATGCAACTCCTTTGCCCAGGCATCTCTCTACTTCTGGGAATTTATCTTAAGAAAATAATCAAGAAGAATATCTGTTTTTGACTTGTTTAAAATAGCGAAGACATGAAAACAGCTTAAATATCCATTTACATGGTATTGATTTTTTAAAATGGAAGTTTTGGGCTGGGTGCGGCGTCTCACGCCTGTAATCCCAGCACTTTGGGAGGCCAAGGCAGGCAGATCACAAGGTCAGAAGTTTGAGACCAGCCTGACCAACATGGTGAAATGCTGTCTCTACTAAAAATACAAAAATTAGCCGGGTGTGGTGGGGGTGCGCCAGTAATCCTAGCCACCCAGGAGGCTGAGGCAGGAGAATAGCTTGAACCCGGGAGGCAGAGGTTGCAGTGTGCCAAGATTGCGCCATTGCATTCTAGCCTGGGTGACAGAGCAAGACTCCATCTCAAAAAAAAAATGGGACCGGGCGCAGTGGCTCATGCCTGTAATCCCAGCACTTTGGGAGGCCAAGGCAGGCAGATCACCTGAGGTCAGGAGTTTGAGTCTGGCCTGGCCAGCATGGAGAAACCCCATCTCTACTAAAAAAATTAGTTGGGCGTGGAGGCGCATGCCTGTAATCACAGCTACTTGGAAGGTTGAGGCAGGAGAATTGCTTGAACCCAGGCGGTGGAGGTTGCAGTGAGCCAAGATTGCGCCATTGCATTCCAGTCTGGGCAAGAAGAGTGAAACTCCATCTCAAAAAAAAAAAAAAGGAAATTTTATTCAATGAAATATTAAGTAAGCAGTTATTAAAAATTATGGCTTGAATCTATATGTATAACCATCAACAGTTATCCTGTGAGAGACTGTCAAAGAAAAATGAGTGTTTCAGGACAGTATATTTGAATGACCAAATTCACTTACATTTCATTTATATTTACATACACATTAAAATTCAGGAAGGCTATAAACCAGCCTATTATAGTGGTGATATTTGGGAAAGGGATTATGAGTAGATATTGGGTGTTTACTACAATATTTCTTTCTATATTATATGAATTTTTAAATAGATCTGATATTTCAGATTTGAAAAAAAAGTCCTTGCATCTATTTTGTGGGCTTGAAAAAAAAATTAGTAAATGGCTTGAAAAGTAGCTGATTTGAGAGTAAATAATGTGACAAGAGAGATACCAGAGAAGAGAAGGTGTCTGGATGTTTGGCATAATTAAAATGAAAATGGATTGTAAGAAAATAATTATATTCACTGTACAGTATTTTTGAAGATTGCTTCTATCAAACCTACAACTTGTGAGTAAAGCTAAATGTGTAATATTCACACAAATGTTATGAGGATGATTCATGTTGCTCCTCCCTCTGACTCCCTCTGGCTGCTTTAGGCTCGGGGGTCCCCTGTGAAGTCAGAGCTGAGCGGGATCTAGGACTCAGACGGTGCTCAGTGGCTCTGTCTGCCAGTGACACATTTCAAGAGGGCGGATCCCACAGCGAACTCAGGTGGCTGGTGGCTCATGAGAAATGTGCCACTCCAGTCCTTTGCCAGGTTCTTGTCTTGGCACCAGCAGACACCTTCAACCCATACCTCAACAAGCAGGTATTTAATTGGACACTTAGTACATGCCCTGCTGAGCTGAGGACATAGATCTGAAGGGAAAGAAGCATGGTTGGCCTCAAGGAGCCTGTAACTACCCACTTCTAGGGTGTGGGCAGAGCTGGCAATGTTAGAGCAGCAGTTCACATTGCAGGCTGCTGGCCAACCTGCCCATTACTGACTCAAGAGTGGCGAGGTGGGGGCAGCATTGGTGAGGATGATACCTATCCTAGAGATGACTAAGATGGGGCAGTATCTCACTCCTTGGTGGGGGCACCGTAGCTGTGATTTCTGAGGCAAAGATGTGGTCCCACTGGGAATTGGAATGTCTGAGGTCGTGTGAGGCAGCGTGTTGACTAAAAGCAGGGGTGATGGAGACTGACCAACTGGGGTTTGATTCCTGGCTCTGCTGTTTATGAACTGTGTGGTTTTGGGCAAGTGACATAAGCATTAAGCTCTAATTTCTTCACTTGTTGAAAAAAAAAGGAATAACAACAGTATGAGGTCATATAAGTGAAGCACTTTGCATCAAATTTAGTCTGTTTAATAACTTTTTCATGTCAGCATCATTGTGCCCATTTTACAGAAAGGGAAACTGAGGCTTACAAAAAAGATGATATCTAACTCCAAAGCTCAAGCTCTTGCTTCTACTTCTGTACTTCTACTTCAACCTCTATCCCAACTTCATTCTGACACCCACTTCTTCTCCTATCTAGACTCCTAAACGTGTCTCCTGTCCCACCCCTCTACACTCCGTGCATGACTGTATAAGGCTATGGTCTATACGACTACATCATCTTATTCACCCTGCTGTTACGTTGTGTGTGAAAGACAAGCTTGAACTCTGGTGCCCTTGAACAGGGCATAATTAGGAGACTAGAAAGAAGCATTGGGGGGAGTCCAAAAAGGAAAGTGAGAATAAAATGATGGCTTGGGAGAGATGGCTTCTAAAAAACAGAAGAACAATAGCATGTGTGGCACTGAAGATTCAGGAGAAATGTGGGAAAAGGCTGTGTTTTCTGAATGGAATGGGAGCCTGAAGGACTGGATTCTGAGGAGCCTCCCATATCCTCGGCTTGGGAGAGAACGGGTAGGTGTGAGGTGGACAAGGAAAACCAGGTGTCCTGGAGCACCGTGCAGGTAAGGTGTGCCCTGAGAAGGGGAGTGCTCAGCAGACCAAGGACAGGCAGAAGCACTGACAGAAAGGGGACAAGGCTGGAGTCTAGTGACGTCGCATCCCCAGCACTGGAATATCCCAAATTCTAAGGTCACACAGGGATATCTGCATGGGGAATAAGGTGTTATGAATGGATTATTTTTACATCTCAGACTTATCAGGATTTTATTTCAGAGCTCGATTCTTCCATTTTCTTCTGTTTCTTCTGTCATGTATTCATTTTCTCTGATGTCATGCAAGCAAGGACCTCTCTAGGAAAGGAATATACAAATTCGCTTCCTGTCCAGGGATCCATACATATATAGCTGTTATTTTTTAAAATAAGGATTGTTCAGAAAGTTTAAAAACACCTGCTCTTAAACTAGCCTGTGTGTGCTGTTGGTGACAGTTCCCTGATGAAGGAGTCGTGCCGAAGGGAAGGATGATGGTGCAGGAGAGAGGCCTCTCGAAAGTCAGTAGGCAGGGGATGGAGGTGAAAGGGTACAGCTTGGAGTCCTTGGCTTGACTGGAAGAGGGTTTTGCTGGGAAGGCAGGTATGGCTGTGGGGTTTATAGAGGCTTAGGATAGTGTTTGACTTCACCCCTTCTCACTATGTGCTGGCATGAGAGCCTCAGTTTCCTCTTTAAGTAGAGATCACAGTAACTTACACAAAGCAACTGACCCATGTTCGGGTGGAGACCAGCTACTCAACAAGAACAGGCTCTCGGCTGGGTGCTGTGACTCACAATTGTAATGCCAGCACTTTGGGAGGCCAAGATAGGAAGATCGCTCAATCCCTGGAGTTTGAGACCAGCCTGGGCAATATAGTGAGACCCTGTCTCTACAAAAAAAAAAGAAATTTAAAATTAGCCAGGTGTGGTGGCATGTGACTATAGTCCCAGTTACTTGGGAGGCTGGGGTGAGAAGATCACTTAAGCCTGGGTGGTGGAGGCTGCAGTGAGTCATGATTGTGTCACTAGACTCCAGACTAAGTGACAGAGTGAGACCCTGCCTCAAAAAAAAAAGAAAGAAAAGAAAAAAAAAAAGTACTGGCTTTCCTCCCCTTTAGGGGATTCTCTGAGGCCAGTGTATCTGTGTGGCAAAAATCTTGCCTCCTGAAATGCTTGAAAACCAGTGAATAGTCAGTCAAACTGCAACATTATTGCCAGCGTCCTCCCCTGCCGACTCCTGCTTTCTGGCAAGGCCTACCTGGCTGACTTCTTTCTGGGCAGGTGTGATGGCAGGCAGCAGATGGCCGAGGTATTTTTAGCAACCTGCAGAGGATGACGTATGTGACTCCCAAGGCCACATACCTGAACCTGTGCTTATCAGACATATGTGCACAGATTCAGGGTGCAGTGAAGAAGAAACTTCAGTAGGATGATGTCAGGAAAGCCCTCTTCCTGGGCCAGACAAAGCCTTGGCTGGACACAGAGGTTGAGGTCCCAGCCTTTGGAAGTTGGTTTCTGAAGGTGCCACATTCTCACATAGCTCTGTGGCTTCACACGTGCCGTCTCTCCCTACACTGCTTGTTCTTACGTCCTGATTTCCTACCAATCTTCCCAAACCTTTTCCTGACACCTTCAGGCAGAATTCAACACCTCATGTGGGCTGCCATATCACCTCTGTCACAGTTGTTAACATTGACTATTGCAGTCATCTGCTTTTTTTTTTTTTTGAGACGGGAGGCTTGCTGTGTTGCCCAGGCTGGAGTGCAGTTGCGGGATCTCAGCTCACTGCAAGCTCCACCTCCTGGGTTCACACCATTCTCCTGCCTCAGCCTCCCAAGTAGCTGGGACTACAGGCACCCACCACCACACCCACCTAATTTTTTCTATTTTTAGTAGAGACGGGGTTTCACCGTGTTAGCCAGGATGGTGTCGATCTCTTGACCTCGTGATCTGCCAGTTTCAGCCTCCCAAAGTGCTGGATTACAGGCGTGAACCACCGCACCAGGCCAATCATCTGCTTCTTAAACCAAACTGAGACTTTGCTGGGGCCGGGGCCGTGCCTCATTCGTGTGTGTAGTGCCAGGACGTTGCACAGTACTTGGCAGATGGTGGGTGTTGATGAATGAATACATTATATAAATTTGTCAGTTTTGTGACATCTTTTCCTTCCTCTTAGCCCCCACAAAGTGCTCTATGATTTTGCATTAATTTCTTTTTAAGTGAATTTGAATTGCTTTTGTTTCAAGAATTTCACAGCCACCCACTGAAGCCACTGGAGATCTGAGGAATCCCAAAGACAAGAATGGGAATCTCTCCCTTACCCTCAGGTTAGGAGATGATTGTCCCAGACTTCTGTGTTGTTAGCAGGATTGGGATAACCCAAGGTGGGTGTTGGGGCTCAGAAAACAATAGCCTCCAAAATGAAGGCCTCAGAAGCAAAAGTTTTCCTCTGGTCCTCTCCTGCCCTCCTGGCTCTGCCTCTCATTCTCCCCCGAGGCTGGCCAGGGAAACTAGAATCCCTCTTTTCCATGGTGGGTCATAGAAACCAGAACCCATTTTCCCCAAAGCCAGCCATAAAACCTAAAAATGTTACTCTAATGTTCCCTCTGCTTTTCTGTGTAAAAACTCGCCATGAAAAATTATCTGATTGACCTTGTTTGACAGTAGGGCAGAAGACCCCCTTTCCAGAGAGGGTCCTGCCCCACACCCAGAAGGAAGAAGTGGTGCTCAGAGAGGCCAAGAAGATTCTAGACAGATAGGCTTTGCTGGGTGTCCCCAGCCCCCAGCCAGTCCATCAGGATGGACTTTTTTTCCAATCATATTTCCACATGGCTGTCCATACTTTGTTGAACTTAAGCATAAAAGTGGACAATATCCCCTGTATCTTTGGGTCTTCATTCTGAAGGCTCCCTTGTATACACGTTAAATAAATTTACACGTCTTTTTTCCAATTGATCTCCCTTTTGTGCGTTGATTTTTCAGAGAACCTTCAGAAGGCCAAGGGTTTCCCTTGGCCCCTAGGTGGAGGTAACCCAAACAGCATGTGTCAGCTGAGCACTGGGCCTGACCTGCCCTGGACGGAAGTTCCTGCCTTGGATTGGCCACTGGACCTGCCCTGGAGGGAAGTGCCTGACCTGGATTGGCTGCTGTGGGCTAGCTGGGCTGGGGCTTCCACAGAAGAGCTGCCTTCTTGAAGGGTTAAAGCATCAGCTCCAGGAAATCAGGGTCAACCCGTGATCTCCCATTAGGGTTCAGGTGATGGTCTAACCTGCTGTGCCTCCTCCATCATGGGCTTGATGAACACTGACTGGATTTGAATGCCCAAAAGTCTGGGACTGGTATGAACCTCTTCTTCCCCCAGGGACCTCATGGGGAGGCCCTATCAGTGTCCAGCAGATCAAGGCAGAGTGGCTGGTGGTAGCCTTCAGCTACGCTTGGAGGCCTCCACTCTCGACTGGTGTGGCACTTCTGTTCTGGTTGCTGAGCTGGTCGGCCATCCTATGGACTCGAGAATAGATTGACTCGGTCTTCATTGCCTCTTGGGGAGAGGGGTGGTCAGGATTTTCTGGAGTTAGAGTTTTAAAGATGCCCCAGGGAGGATGCCTGGAGAAACGTTTGTCAGAGGGCGTGCAAACCAGAGCAACTCCATCTTGAATAGGAGCTGGGTAAAATGAGGCTGAGACCGACTGGGCTGGATTCCCAGACAGTTAAGGCATTTTAAGTCACAGGATGAGATAGAAGATCAGCACAAGATACAGGTCATAAAGACCTTGCCTATAAAACAGACTGCAGTAAGGAAGCCAGCCCAAACCCACCACAACCAAGATGGCGATGAGTGTGACCTCTGGTCGTCCTCACTGCTACACTCCCACCAGTGCCATGACAGTTTACAAATGCCATGGCAATGTCAGGTTACCGTATATGGTCTAAAAAGGGGAGGCATGAATAATCCACCCCTTGTTTAGCATATCATCAAGAAATAACCATAAAAATGGGCAACCCGCAGCCCTCAGGGCTACTCTGTCTATGGAGTAGCCATTCTTTTATTCTTCTGCTTTTTTTTTTTTTGAGACGGAGTTTTGCTCTTGTTTCCCAGGCTGGAGTGCAGTGGCACAATTTCGGCTCACTGCAACCTCCACCTCCTGAGTTCAAGCGATTCTCCTGCCTCAGCCTCCAGAGTAGCTGGGATTACAGGCATGTGTCACCACGCCCGGCTAATTTTTGTATTTTTAGTAGAGATGGGGTTTCTCCATGTTGGTCAGGCTGGTCTCGAACTCCCAACCCAGGTGATCCACCCACCTCGGCCTCCCAAAGTGTTGGGATTACAGGCATGAGCCACCGCACCTGGCCCTATTCTTCTACTTTCTTAATAAACCTGCTTTCACTTTACTCTATGGACTTGCCCTGAATTCTTTCTTGTGCAAGATCCAAGAACTCTCTCTTGGGGTCTGGATCAGGACCCCTTTCCTGTAACACAATGACCATTTTAAGGAGAGGGCGTACAGATTGCAAGCATGGGAAGAAAAATAAGAACTTAGCCCTAACCTAGACTCTGAAGGAGGCTCCTTGTGACAGTCTTGGAGCCTGATTTTGCAGAGCCTGGTTCTCACTAGGGCACTAGCACCTGGGGCATGAGGACGCGCCTGAAGTACTGTCCTTGGATTTTCCTCATTGCATCAACAAACTGAGATACCAGAAGCTCTGAGAACATGTTACTTCAGAGATTGAAATTATAGACTCGTAGCAGTCAAATCGGCTATTTGCAGTAATAACTATTCTAGCGTGGTTGGAAAAGCCTAGTAAATGTTGCCCTTGTTTGAAATCTTCCCCTGATCCCCACCCTGCCACCTCCCCAGTGCTGAACAGGTTGGGAGGCAGAGTGACTATTTTCTGTTTGTTTGTGTTTCAGAGTCAAGCTGTCTGGAACTACTGTCTGGAAGAGCCTCTTCCCCATCCCAGCAACTGTACCCATCAATCAGGAACTGTTGCTGAACCCAGGGCTGCCTGGATAAACATTTATAAGACCCAGAGGGATCATTAGTAGAGGGTAGAGGATGTCTTTGCTTGAACCCAAGTCCAAAACTGAACTCACCCTTTGCCCTTTAACTCATAGAAATTCAAATGAGGCAAAGGTGAGGAGAGAGAACAACTTAAATCAGTGGTTCTCAACCTTGTCTGCACCTTAGAATCTCTAAGGAGCTTTTAAGAATTCAGATGCGTACACTGTTCTCTAGAAGGATGGAATCAGAATCTCTGGGGGTGGAACCCAGGCATCTGTATTTTTCAAAGCTCCCCAGGTGATTCCAATGTGCAGCCAAGGTTGAGAATCATAGACTCAAATAGTGCTTGGAGTTCCTGCTGGTCATTCTACCCATGGCCGAAAACCCTGGGGTGAAGAAGTGGAAGACCTGATTCTTCTATTTCTGTGGAGTTCCTTGTGTTTTTCCTGTAATGAGCATCTCTCCATGCTGAGTGCGATTTTTGGGGTTTAAGATCTGTATTTCAGCTGAGAGCAGTGGCATGCACCTATAACCCCAGCTGCTTAGGAGGCTGAGGCAGGAGGATCGCTTGAGCCCAGGAATTCAAGGCTGCAGTGAGCTATAATTATGCCACTGTATTCCATCCTGGGTGACAGAGCAAGACCCTGACATAAAAAAAAAATCTGCATTTCACATATAACAAGGCCTTGGAACTTCATCTGATTCAACCAAAGCCATGATGATCTCTGCTGTACATTATGGGTAATTTAAGGGATTTTCAAGTGCAATGTTGGCCATATGAAATTTTGCTTTCATCCAAACTTTCAAAGCTAAGCCCTGCATGACATCCCTGCCTTCCTTTTTTCAGTGGACAGAGCCATTCCCCGTGGCCCTGCTGGCAATCCAGGCAATGGTTGTCACCCTCTTACATTCCCTCAGCCCCTACATTGGTCCTCAGATCTTCCCAATCTTCCTCTATACTCTCTGCACCTGCTTCAGGTGAGTCCTTCATCTCGAATCTATTACCATAACCTCCTAACTGGCGCCCCTGTCCCCAGCCTCATTCCCCTGCATTCCATCATCTGCCTGCCTTCTGGTGAACAAGGCAGATACGAATTGCCATGTAGTCCTCTGCTTACAATTCTTCAGAAGCTTGTGATTGCTTTCCTAAGGAAGTTGAAACTTCTTTTTTTTTTTTTTGAGACGGAGTTTCGCTCTTGTTGTCCAGGCTGGAGTGCAATGGCGTGATCTTGGCTCCCTACAACCTCTGCCTCCTGGGTTCAAGAGATTCTCCTGCCTCAGGCTCCCGAGTAGCTGGGATTATAGGCACCCGCCACCACGCCCAGCTACTTTTTGTATTTTTAGTAGAGATGGAGGTTTCACCATGTTGGCCAGGCTGGTCTCGAACTCCTGGCCTCAGGTGATCCGCCCGCCTCGGCCTCCCAAAGTGCTGGGATTACAGGCGTGAGCCGCTGCGCCCAGCCAGGAAGTTGAAACTTCTTGACATGACCTCCAGTACTCTGGTGGTCAAACACCTTTGCAGCCTCATCTCCCTTCACATCCGCTTAAGGACCTACATTCCTACCACATAGAAGGTGCTTTCCCCCAAGCCTTTGCTTATGTGCTCTCCTCCACTTGGTATGCCTTTCCTTTTCCTGGTGGGCTACTTCTTTTTTTAAAAAAATTTATTTATTTATTTTTAGAGCCAGGGTCTTGCTCTGTCACCCAGGCTGGAATGCAGTGGTGTGATCATGGCTCACTGCAGCTTCAAACTCCTGGGCTCAAGTGATCCTTCTGCCTTAGCCCCTGAATAGCTGGGACTCCAAGTGCATACCACCATGCTCAGCTGATTTTTTTTTTTTTTTTTAAGACAGGGTCTCTCTCTGTCACCTAGGCTGAAGTGCAGTAGCATGATCATGGCTCACTGCAGCCTTGACCTCCCCGGTTCAGGTGATCCTCCCACTCGGCCTTCCAAGTAGCTGGGACCACAGGTATGTGCCACCATACCAGGCTATTTTTTGTTATTTTTTTGTAGAGACAGAGTTTCACCATGTTGCCCACACTGGTCTTGAAGTTCTGGCCTCAAGTGATCCTCCTGCTTTGGCCTCCCAAGGTGCTGGAATCACAGGTGTAAGCCACCGTGCCTAGTCACTGGTTAGGCTACTTCTAACTTGTCTTTTTCTTTATAGCCAGTCTATGTGTCCCATCCTCCCCTTTCTCCAGGCTGCATCAGGTGCCTGCTGACCGTGCCCCTCCTCTGTGTGTGGCCAGAACATCCAAGGCCCTCAACCCGAATGATGAGTACTGATTCTCCCAACTACGTTGTGAACTCTACATTGAGGGCAGGAGCTGGGTCTTACCTTTCACTGCACCCTTGGTGCTTGCACAATTCCTAGACTAAAGGAAGCCTTTGTATCCAATGCCTGAACTTGCTCCAATATTCCCCAACCTTTTACCCCCTTTTGCTGATTGGAGACCTGGTTTTGACCTGCTTGGCTTGTGCAAAGCTCTGAGAGAGGAAAAGTTTGGCTTGGGCCCCCTCTCGACGGAATCTTTCCATTCCAAAGTTGTTTCTCCTCTCTTTGAGGCTCCTTTTAACCGTTCCCAATTCCCTCATTCCCAGGAACTCTTAAATTCTTTCTCCCCTTATCAAAATACTCTTTCAGAATAAGTACATTCACTCTGGAATACAACTGCTGTTTCCTTTCCCAGGCTTATATGTATTTTAGCAGAAAAAATTCAAAGGAATTAATTTCTAATTGTGGAAATTGCAGGCCATAGGAGGAGAAGGCAGAGAAAAAAATTTGAGGGTGAATCAGCCTTCTGCAGAGACTTTCTTCAAAGACTTTCATGCATCCTCTTTGATTAGAGGATTGGAAAAGGGCGAAGCTTACCCATCTTCTGCAGGCAGCTGGAAGAACAAAGAGAAGAGAGATTTTTCAAGCATGGTTTCTCTCTTGGCTCATCCCACACACATCCCTGTGGGGACTCTACATAGGGAAGGTGTGTCCCAGGGCTTGCCAAAGATGGAGGTCATGACAATGAGATCTGCCCACGGAATTATCACAGCAAAAGGCAAGGAATCAGAAATAAGAAAGCCAAGAGTATGGAATCAAAACATGAGACTGAGGAGGTAGCAGTCAGGTCCCCGCCGTAGGTGTGGGAGGGAGCAGAAGGGAGACAGTAGTCACCAGGGAGCAGAGAGAAGACAGGTGAGTCCTGGGAACATAGACCACCAACCCGGGCAGCCTAGAGTGTGCCTTTTAGGTGAGCTGTGGCAAGATGCCCCTGGCTGGGTGAGACCGTGTTTGGGGCAGAATTCAGGGCTCCCATTCTGCAGATGAGCAGAACAGACATCTGTTTCATACCATTTCTGGCTGAGATGTGACCCAGGCTCCCTAGGGGCTGTGATTCTTGGGACATGGCGACCACCAACAGTGGCTAGCCTAGTACCTTTCACAGCAGTGGGCTGAGTGCTTCCTGTGATATTAGCCACTGTGCAGCACTGGGCAGGGTTCATGTTATCACAGGTGCAGAAGTGCAAAAAGTATATGGGATTCACCTCCAGACTTCCAGCCAGTGTCCAGTGGCCTTTGAGTCAGGTCGTCAAGGAACTTATTCCTGCCACATGGCCCCTTCATCAGAAGTGTGTGCAGCCACTGGGCTGTGTCCAGTTTTGGTCACTCATGAAGGAGCTCTCAGTCCTGCTTGGTACCTACTCTCTCCTTCAACCACAGCAGTTGCAGTTTCCTCCACCCCATTCAGACGTAGGAGACTTAACGTGGCAAATAGGCAGGGCAGCTTCAAAGGGTTCCACAGAGATCCCTCACTTTCCTTTCCCCTATATTCTCTCTCTCTCTGTCTCGCTCTCTTTTTTTTTTTTTTTTTTCTTAGAGAGAGGGTCTCACTCTGTCTCCCAAGCTGGAGTGCAGTGGCACAATCATGGCTCACTGCAATCTCCAACTCCTGGGCTCATGTGATCCTCCCACCTCAGCCTCCCAAGTAGCTGGGATTACAGGTGCGTGCCACCATGCCCGACTAAATTTTTCTATCTGTTTTTTTTTGTTGTTGTTGTTTTTTTTTTTTTTTTTTGTAGAGACAGGGTCTTGCTATGTTGCCCAGGCTGGTCTTGAACTCCTGGGCTTAAGTGATCCTTACAACTTGGCTTCCCAAAGTGCTGGGATTACAGGTGTGAGCCACCAAGCCCAGCCTTCTCTATATTCTCTTACATTTGCTTAAACCCCCTAATTCCTTATTAGGATTTCATCCCTTTGTCTCAAGACGCTGTCTCTTGTGAGGATGCAAATATCCTAACATCCTCCTCAGTCTTTTTGCTGGTGTATGCTTGCCAGATGCTAATTGGGGCAGGTTTTCACCAGAAAGGGGCAGAGGGAGGGTGGAGTCGGCTGGGCAGCAGGTGGGAACAGGTGGCTGAAAGGGTATGTGGGGAGCATGAAGGCCGAATACATGTACTTTCCCATCATCCTCTAGCAGTGATCCTAGTTTCTGAAACCCAGCCAGGAGATCTGGGCTGATGGAAGATTTTTGTACCGATTCCAAATGTGAGGGGCCATTTTTGAAATTGTAGCTTGGATGCTGAAATGTTATAATTTCCAGGCCATTTGGATGATTTATGGGGTCAATATATCATTTGAAATGGAAACTATTCCAGAACATCCAGGCTGCTTGGTGGCCAGTCCTGTGGTAGTGAATGACAGAGGGTCCCTCTGATAGTGGCCGTCTGCTGACCTGTCTAATCCTTTATTCTGTAAGCATTTAGTGGATGGGGGGCATGTGGCCACCAGCAGTCCTGTCCTGGTCAGTGTGACCCTCCTCCCAGCTCAGACCATGGCTCAGCCCTAACAGGAACCATTGCTCCCCTAAGAGTTCAGCAAAATGGGTGAGAATCCAGGAGCTTCTCTGCTGTCCTTGTCTTGTGGTCTCATTATGAGTTTTTCTTTTGTGGGAAGGAAAAGAAGAAAAGAGGGAGCGAATAAAGTACTAGGTGGGGCAAGAAACCAGCAAAACACAAACAGAGAAGGGACACACTAACCAGAACCCCTTTTGAACTTCTTGGAAGAGACCTCCAATGTCTGGTTTTCTGCAAACAGCCTGGGACCAGCCTGAAGTCTATTTTGCATTTCTTAGGGGAAAGGCAGGGGTTCTCCAGTTTTCTAGTAGAGAGGGATAGAATATAAGACATTATGAAACATTATGAAATGTCCCACGTTTCTATCTAAGTGTCTCCTACACTTGGAGGCCTGAGGAAGGTCTGTATACCCCCTTACACCCTTGCTGACAGATTCCATCTCTCCATAAAGAGAGTAGTACAAAGCCACTCTGTGCACACACGCACAAGCCAGTCTTGCCTCCTGAGCTCGTCTCGCACTTGCTGGCAGGATCAGGGTCTATCCCTCTTCATTCTCCCCTGTGGTGCCTAACAGGCTGTGCATGTAGCAGATGCTCAGTAAACTTGGCCATGGCCATATTAGCTTTGTGGCAGCTGCAGAGGCTTTGATTTTGAAGGTAGGAGGGACCTCCCATCACGTGATCTATGCTTTCTTCAGAGCAGGGAAGCTGTGTGATTGTAATCAGGCGGGAGCCGTGCTATCGAATCCACCTGTGTTTCCGTGTGACCTTGGTAGAGGTACATTGTTTTTTTGCCATGTCCCTTCCTGACCCCGCAGCCTCTGCCGCACACCCGGGCTCTCCCATCTGTATACAAAACGCTCCAGATTCTGGGATGAAACACAGTCCTGTCCAGGTGCAAATGATTGCTCCTTTATTACTGCAGACATCCTCCCTTTTTCCTTTTAAGTAGTCTTTGAAATTAAACTAAAAAGGAAATATTTGCACAGAGATTTCCCCAAGGCCATTTTCAATACACCTGGTAATCAGCACCGACTTTCAAAAACATGGTTATTATTGCCTTAAAATTATTGCGTCATTTGACCAAAACCCTCTTGTGAATGTTTCTGATGAAAATTTTTTATTGAAAATGTTTTTTAATGAGGCAATTTTCCTCCCTTCTCATCGGAGGGGCAGAGCTACCTCACTGTGGCTGTTTATTTAAATGGTGGAAGACTTCCTTGACTACATCACACACTTTTCTTCTGAGGGCCTTCAGATGGTCTCTGTTTGCATCTAGGGTGAAATTGAGGCACTGAGGATGGGGTGGAAGTTGCTGTTAAGGTCTTCACCTCCAATCCTACAGTGACCAGTCCTGGAATAAGGCAAGGACCTAGGTGTCCTGAATCACCCTTTGCTTTTTAGGTAAGTACCTTTGGAAAAATTATGATAGAGGAGAGATCTATCTTTACCAACCTCAGCCTGCGTCATCCTTAGAAAGGGTGTTTCATAACTATGGTAGACCTTGTTAACTTTTGACTGTGTAGTATTTTTCATTTCATTTTTTTTTTCAAGTAGCATTGCAATATCCTTTTGGGGAATTTCCTGTTTTCTACTGGATACTGGGTCAGTCGTGATCATTAATCAGATGCCTGCTGTTCTGTAGGCAAAAAGCAGGCACTTGAGTTTAGTGAGGCTGTTGGGCTGCCTGTACTTATTGTTCATATTTTCACAGAACTCTCATTAAACTGGATTATTTGATGTCAGCTTAGCATTATCAAATTTAGCAAATAAAAATGCAGCACCCCAGTTAAATTTGAATTTCAAATGAACAACTAATAATTTTTAATTTTTACTTTTATTTTTAATTTTTAGAGACAAGGTCTTGCTCTGTTGCCCAGGCTGGAGTGCAGTGGCATGATCGTAACTCACTGCAGCCTCGATCTCCTGGGCTCAAGCAATCCTCCTGCCTCAGCCTCCTGAGTAGCTGTGCAAATGCAAGACACCACACCCAGCTAATTTTTTCATTTTTTGGAGAGATGGGGTCTTGCTATGTTGCCCAGGCTGGTCTCAAACTCCTGGGCTCAAGCAATCCTCCTGCCTTGGCCTCCAAAAGTGCTAGGATTACCATTGCAAGCCACTGTGCCTGGCCCAACTAATAATTTTTAAGTGTAAGTATATCCCCCAAATTGCACAGGCTATGCTTATGCTACAAATGTATTTATTGTTTATCTGAAATTCAAATTTAACTGGGCATCATGCATCTCATCTGCCTACCCTATCTTTATGCTGAGATGCACTCACTCTTGGGAAATGTTTAGTTGTTGTTGCAGCAGCGAAACGAAGCCCAAGCAAGCCAATGTTGCTACCACAGTTGTCTTACATGCAGACGTTGGGTGGGAACGGTGTCTATGCGGTCCTATGGCCCTTCTGAAAGACTAAAGGGGCAAACTCAAAACAAAACCATGTCCCTTTTAGTAAAGGAGAAGCAGGCCAAGGACTCTGTGGATTTGGTCAAGTTCCACAACCAGACGTGGAAATGATATAGAGGTTTAGAGCTGTGCTCCAGGATATGAGGAAGGGATTTTTAGGAGCAAAAGACCCATTAGATGCCTATTAAAATATTGGTCAATGAACCAGAATATTATGAATTTTCAGTTTTAGGGCAGCAGTGAGTGAAGCTGGGAGAATTCAGCTGGAGCTTAGGAAGCGAGAAGGCTGAGAGAGGCCTCTGGTTGGTAGACGGTGCTGGGCAGGCCAGTCTGGGCTCTGGGAGAAACCAGAGATGAAGCCCAACTGACGCTGGAGCCTCAGCCAGGGTCCCCAGAGCTAGGCCCCTCCAGCGAGTCCTGTCACAGATGGGAGGGGTGGCCACTGGGCCAGATAGGGGGTGCTCAGCTTTGGATTGTGGGTGTCCTCTGCAGATGGGTCTCCAGCTACCCAAAAGGCAGGGAAGACTTTCCTCCCACAACCCTCAGATGACAGACTGCCATGCCATCACATGGCGGGACACACTGAATTCACAGGAGTCTTTTCATTTTTTAATTTATAATTAAAAAATAGAGATGAGGTCTCACTATGTTGCCCAGGCTGGTCTTGAACTCCTGGCCCAAGCAACCCTCCTGCCTTAGCCTCCCGAAGTGCTGGGATTACAGGCGTGAGCCACCATGCCTGACCAGGAGTTTCAATCTGAAGGGGTCGGTGCCCCAACCCCATTTGTTGTTCAAGGGTCAACTGTACATTCCCAGTATATTTATTTGGGGGGTTAAATGTGTGATTGCTTAATGTAAACATTTATTATAAACCCTTCTTTTGGAGATATGCTCAAAACCTGGAAGTGGCCTTGACCTACCATGACTTGAGGGGCCTACCATTTAGGGGAGAGCCCCCGGGGACTTATCCCAGCAATCCCACCTCCACTAAGTTGCTGAAAAACAGTTGAGAACCTAAGTCAGGTATATGTTTGTGGCCAGCTAAGACCTGGTATGGTCTAGGCCCTCCCCAGTGACTCCCCCAAATTTCTCTGCTTGCCGATGCCTGAAATGAAATTCTTCGACAAGGGAACACTTCTCTTTCAAGGTGGGGATGGTAAGGAAAGGGTGGAGGACTTCAGGCACCTGAAAATTGGATCCCAACTAGGGGGTACATATTTCAGCAGAAAAAGGAGGCTGGATCCAGAACACAGATTTCAGAGTCTGTGTAAGTTACCCCAGGCTGTGCGGTGCCGTGGGGAATGCATAGACCTGAGGGCTCCACTCCCGGGCTTGGTCCTGGCTCTCTCATGTTCTAGCTGTGTGACTTCAGTCTAGTTACCTGACCTCTCTGTGCCCCAGTTTTCTTAGTGAAAATGAGGATAATAACAAAATCTTCTTTATAGGTTTGTTATGAGGAACTAAATAATACATACATAAATGTATTTAATATATATGTTAAGTATTTATGACACAGCCTGGCACAGAATAAGAGTTATGTTAGAGCCAGCTGTTAATATTTGACCCCAACTGTTTCTTTGTATTTGACCCCGACTGTTTCTTTGAAGCTGTCTGCTTTGGTACTTCAGTCTGCAACTCTAAGGCCACCAGCTGAGTCTCATGTGATTTAGGAAGATTTGGGAGAGTTAGTTTTATTCTTCTTCTTCTTTTTTTTTTTTTAACATGCTGACTCTCAATGAGGGAATACCATTCCCAGAAGATTTTTAATTAATTATCTCTGTAAAACTATGGCAAAATGCCTTCTGGGGCACTTGCATATTGCTAGATCAAGAAACCCTGGGTTTCAGAATCAAATGCTGGGAAACTTTAGGCATCGTTTCATTGGTAACATCCCAAGTGCCCTTTGGGTACTGGAGTGATGGCTGGGGCTGTGATAGCTTAGGAGACAGAGTTAGGATTCTGCGGGGCTGGGTTACACTAAAGGTTCTCGCAGAGGGGAGAGCTGCGCCTAGTTCTAGAGCAGTGGCTCCCAAAGCCTGGTCCGAGACCAGCAGCATCCATCTCACCTGGGAACTTGTTAGAGCTGCAAATTCTTGGGCCCATCCCAGACTGACTTAATTAGAAACTGTGGGCTGAGCACGGTGTCTCATGCCTATAATCCCAGCACTTTCAGAGGTTGAGGTGGAAGGATAACTTGAGGCCATGAGTTTGAGACCAGCGTGGGCCACATAGTGAGACCACATTTCTACAACAAATTTTTAAAAATTAGCCAGGCATGGTGGTACGTGCCTGTAGTCCCAGCTTCTTGGGAGGCTGAGGTGGAAAGATTGCCTGAGCCTGGGAGGTCCAGCCTGCAGTAAGCTTTGATCACACCACTGCCCTCCAGCCTAGGTAAAAGAATGAGACCCAGTCTCAAAAAAGAAAAAACAAAAACAAAAACAAACCTCTGGGGATGAGCAGCTTCAGCTTTAATAAGTCCTGTAGGTGATTCCGATGCTAGCTCAAGTTTGAAAACCTCTCTGGTCTATAGGATAAGTCAAGCCAAGGTTCAAATAACCAAGGTGAAGTCAGAGCCAGGAGATTGGAGGAAGCTAAGATAGAATCTGAGCCAAATCAGAGAATGGAGGTTCTGGGAAATTGCTCTGCACACTGGTGGCTATTTTCAGCTACCCTTCATCTTCTGCAGGTGCAGCTTGGGAGTGGGTTGGGCTAATTTCCAGGGCCAGAAGCAAGAAGACAGGTAGGGAAGTATTTGCAGGCTTTTCTGCAGGTCATTCTGACCCCTTTGAAATTACAGCTTGTGGTCTGTTACTCCTCTGCATTCAAAAGGATTCATCTTTGTCAGTGCCTTTCTGGGAGAGTGGGCCTGGCTTGGAGATGTCACTGTGGATCCAGGATTTTGCCACTGGGTGAGTCTAGTCCCCTTACCCAATGCAGCAATCAACTCTGCAGCATTCTCAATAGCAGGTCAGGGATCCCCGTTCAACACTAGAATTCAACGGAATGCATTCTATTTGTTGGCAAGTACTTCCTTTGGATGGCCCAAAGTGCCTATCACCTTGCAGATAGTAAGTGCTCGCACATATTCATTGAAACAGTAAGTGGCTTGTATTGAACAGACATCTGATCCTTTCAACTGTCTCCCTTCTGGTTCTAACAGCGGTGGCTGCAGCAGCACAGGACCTGTCCACCCTAGCTTTCATTTGAAGGTCCCATTTTGCTTCCCATAGTCTCTTCTCTAAGAGAAATGTATCCTTCATTTCTTCCAAAGTTCCTAGTATGAATTGCAGACCCAGAAGACTGCAAGTGAAATGACTAACAAGCAGAGAGATGAGAAAGGGGCCCAGAAAATTAAATTGTGCATAAAATTAAGGAGGCTATGTTGGGGTACAGAAGAGAATGGGCAGCGGTAGAGCTAAACATGAGGCTGATGAGACAGGTAAGTTAGGATTGAAGCTCACAGAGGCAGGGCGATCATGGACAGCTCTTTTTCTGTGGGCCCTATGTGTTTCACCAGGGCCCGGAGGATTTGGGTAGGAGTTGAGCAGGACTAGTCAGGGTCAGGTTGAAATGACCGTCACTAAAAGTCCCAGATTCTTGGTCCATGAGTTGCAGCCGAGTCAGGACACAACAATCCTGTGCTTCACCATTGGAATTTTGGACATAACTTTAGGGCTTTCCCTCATCCTCATTAAATTAAATCTTGTTGATTGTAATCAGCCAAAACCATTTGAACCTCATTTCTGGAGAGTGTTATCTATCCCTTTCAACTTTCTGTCATGCATCAAATGTATAAAGTGACTTTTTTTTCTTTTTCATTTAAAATTTTTTTTAGAGACAAAGTCTTACTCTGTTACCCAGGCTAGAGCACAGTCATGCAATCATAGCTCACTGCAGCCTTGAACTCCCGGGCTCAAGAGATCCTCCTGCCTTAGCCTCCCAAGTAGCTGGGCCTATAGGCACAGGCCACCACACTTGGCTAATTTATTTTTTGTACAGATGGGGTCTTGCTGTGTTGCTCAGGCCAGTCTTGAACTACAGGGCTCAAGCAATTCTTCCACCTCAGCCTCTCAAAGTGCTGGGATTACAGATGTGAGCCACTGTACCCAACCTATAATCTGACTTTGATCTCTACATCTAAATAATTGACAAAATGTGACCAAGCAGCTCATTAGTGACTGCTTTTCAAACTGAAACCTGTACAAACCATCACAATTGACTATGGGCTATTCAACTCGCTGTTTGTTTATTTATTCATTTGTTCATGGGTAAAATGCTGTGCTGTTCAGGGGATGGTGGTATCTTGCCCTGATGGTGCTTGGGAGGAGGACTGTCTCTGGGAGTGCCTTCTGTGTCCACAGGCCTTTCTAAGGAAATGGTCCTGATGGAGGCACCATTAGCCACAGTGTTTCGCACCGTGAGACTCATTCTTCCTCCAGCTGCACTTGATTGAACCTGACTCAAAAGCAGCCAACTCATGGGCTGCCCATGGCCTGTGGGAGTCTTGGGGTGAGGAGCTCTGCCTAGATGGGGTGAGCTAGTCCAACCAAGTACATATTCCCAGGGATTTGAATTTAAAAAATGGAGAGGCCCAGTGTTTTAACAGAAAGAAACTGAGGCTGACATGTTGCCCAGAGAGGCAATAAACTTATTAATATGAGGTCATGAAGTGCCTGAACAAACAATGAGGAAGCTTATTCATTTATTTATTTATTCATTCATTCTAGACAGGGTTTCACTCTTTCTCTCAGGCTGGACTGCAGTGACATGATCAGAGCTCACTGCAGCCCGACCTCCTGGGCTCAAGGGATCCTCTCACCTCAGCCTCCTGAGCAGTTGGGACTACAGGCACACACCACCATGCCAAGCTAATTCTCTTTTTTTCTTTTTCTTTTTTTTTGTAAACACAGGGTCTTGTTATGTTGCCCAAGTTGGTCTCAAACTCCTGGCTTCAAGCAATCCTCCTGCCTCAGCCTTTAATTTGCTGGAGGATCAGACGTTAATTTGTCAATATGGTGAACTAATATAATTTGGGAATTCTTCTGATACAAACAACTGGAAATCCTAAATATGATATAACAAATATCCCTTTAAACATATAACTGAACATGTAAAAAAACTAAAAGAAATTCCCACGTTCAAAATTAAAGAGTAAACTGAAAAACAGACTGATAAATATGTGGTCAGAGACTGTGGCAGCCCTGGTAGGAGCACGGCTTGTTTTCAGACCTGGTGATGGCCAAGGGTTGGGTCTGAACCTTCTCAGGGACACAGCCTTGGGCCTGCTTCAGGCAGAGGGGTTGGAACCAAGGCTCTTGCTTAAAGTCAGAATCATTTGTCAGCCTCATGCACAGTAAACTAATGGACTAAAATACATTCATTCACCAGCAGAAGGAGACAGCAAGGAGGCCTATCTGCTATGACTTGGGTCTGAATGGGAAGAAGGACCCCCTGAGAATTTGTAGTCACAGCCTGTACCTTGGCTGAGTTTGGTTCTAATTTATACTATCTGGGTGGCCAGGAATCCTCCAGCTAAGACTTTAATGTTAAAATGTCCTAAGGCTGACACTACTGACGGCCTGGAGAGATGGGCAGCAGCAAACACAAAATCCCACTGGAAGGACACACCCTGATCCCTGGCTTTAAAGGATTTCCACAGATGGGATTCTGCTGGATGTGGCTCAAAATTTAAAACTCACTGGGAAACAATCCATCATTAGTGTGTATCAGTGGCCATGACTAGTAACTTCTGAAAATGGAACTACTAGATAGAAATTCATAAAAGTATATGCTCAAAAAGATTGAAGACATAAATGAAAGTAATGAAAAATGTAAGAAAAGAGAAAAATATGATGAAAAAATGACAGGCACATGAAATAAAAAATATAGGCACCAAAATTAAAATATAATGTTGTATAAAACAGCACATTTATACAAAACAGAACATAAATAAACTTAAATCTAGAATTAAAGAAATTGTCCATAATTCATTGCAAAGGTTTGAAAATATATAAAATGTAAAAAAGATGTTAAGAGACATGAAGGATGGACTAAAAAGGTTCGCTATGTATCTAACAGAAGTTCCAGAAAGAAAAATAAAAACAATGAGGCAAAGACAATATTTTAGAGGAAATGGTTGATAATTTTCCAGAGTTGATGAGAGACATGAATCATAGATTCAGAAATCACAGGGGTCACAGGCAGAATAAATCAAATGAAATAATAACCAGACACATTATGGTCAAAATGCAGAACCTCAGAGACCAAAAGGAAGTCTTAAAAGGAACCAGGGCACTCTACAAGGGGAGAACAATTAGACTATCATCAGATTTCTGAATAGTCATAATAGAAGCCTGAAAATCATGTATCAAAATGCTCAGAATCCTAGTAAAAAAAAAATTTTTTTTATACCTCGCTAAACTATCACTTAAGAGTGAGTGCAGGCCAGGTGCAGTGGCTCATGCCTGTAATCCCAGCATTTTGGGAGGCTGAGGCAGGTGGATCACTTGAGGCCAGGAGTTTGAGACCAGCCTGGCCAACATGGTGATGCCCTGTCTCTACTAAAAACACAAAAATTAGCAGGGCATGGTGGCATGCACCTGTAATCCCAGCTACTTGGGAGGCTGAGGCTGGAAAATTGCTTGAACCCAGAAGGTGGAGGTTGCAGTGGGCTGAGATCGCTCCACTGCACTCCAGCCTGGGTGACAGAGTGAGACTCCATCTCAAAAAAAAAAAAAAAAAAAAAGTGAGTGCAAAATAAAAACATTTTCAGAACAAAGTCTGAGAAACACTAACACATTTGCTGAAAGAGGATATACTTCAGGAAGAATAAAATTGAAAGCAGAAGGAAGAATTAAAATGCAAGAAGAAATGATGAACAAAGAAATCAGTAAACATATGGTCAGCCCTTTGTATCTGAGGATTCTGCATTTGTGGATTTGACCAATTGTGGATCAAAAAAATGCAAAAAATACAACAATAAAATATAATTATGGTCAGATCATGGTGGATGGCAGGCAGGACTAGATTGCAGCTCCAACTTGGACAGACAGAGCAGCACGCAGAGGCTTGCATTGCGAATTTCTGCTCCAGTACAACTGCAGGAATAAATCAGGAAACCTGAGAGGACCCACAGACCCCCTGAAGGAAGTGGATTGCTTCTGCAGGCCCCAGGAGACACCCTAAATACTGTGAGGGCCCAAACTGTGGACGTGGGGAAGGGAGATCGTCCACCCCCAAACACACACCCCCGACTGGGGAAACTGAAGGCCTAGATTACAAGAGAAGATTTTGACCTTACCTGAAGCTGAGTTAATTTAGAGAGCCGAGCAAAATACAGGGTAGAGGAAGCAGCGAGAAGAGTCCTGGGAGCTTGATGGGTCCCCTAGGGTTTTTGCCTGGCCTCACAGGAGTGCTTCGGGATGGTGGCCAGAAGTGCTGGGAAAAGGCCACAGGGAGAAGAAAATCTCCAGCTGAACTTTGTAACAATTTGAACTGATGGAGAAGCCTTCTGGCCAGAACCTGGGGGGAGGGCGTGAATCTGGTGTGCAGACTCCACAGGCAGGGGAAGAAGGAAAGCCTATTTGCTTTTGCAGCTGGGAGGCCGGTAGCCTGGGGCAAGTTCTCAGCCCTGCTTGCCCACTCCCTGGAAACAGACTTGGTGCTGTTAGGAGGTGCACAGTGGGAGTGAGACTGGCCCTTCAAGTTGCATGGGAGCTGGGTGAGGCCTGTGACTGCCAGCTTTCCCCCACTTCCATGACAGCCTGCCTGACACAGTAAAGACAGTCATAATCATCCTAGGAACATAACTCCATTGACCTGGGAACCTCATCCCATCTCCCACAGCAGCCAAAGCAAGACTCGCCCAAGGAGAGTGTGAGCTCAGACATGCCTAGTTCTGCCCCCACCCAGTGGTCCTTCCCTACCCACCCTGGTAGCTGAAGACAAAGGGCATATATACTCTGGGGAGTTCTAGGGCCCCACCCACTGCCTGTTCCTCCCCATATTGCCACCTCTGATGCTCTCTGGAAAGTGCCACCTCCTGGCAGAGGGCCAACCAGCACAAAAATAGTGCATTAAACCACCAAAGCTAAGAACCCTCACAGAGTCCATTTCACCCCCCTGCCACCTCCACCGTTACAGGTGCTGGTATCCATGGCTGAGAGACCCACAGATGGTTCACATCATAGGACTCTGTGCAGATAACCCTCAGTACCAGCCTGGAGCCGGGTAGACTTGCTGGGTGGCTAGATCCAGAAGAGAGATAACAATCACTATAGCTTGGCTCTTAGGAAGGCACATCCATAGGAAAAAGGGGAGAGTACTACATCAAGGGAACACTCCCACGGGACAAAGGAATCTGAACAACAGCCTTCAGCCCTGGACCTTCCCTCTGACAGAGCCTACCCAAGTAAGAAGGAACCAGAAAACCAACTCTGGTAATATGACAAAACAAGATTCTTTAACACCCCCCAAAAATTACACTAGCTCACAGCAATGGACCCAAACCAAGAAGAAATCCCTGATTTACCTTAAAAAGAATTCAGGAGGTTAGTTATTAAGCTAATCAGGGAGGTACCAGAGAATGGTGAAGCCCAATGTAAGGAAATCCAAAAAATGATACAAGAAGTGAAGGGAGAAATATTCAAGGAAATAGGTAGCATAAATAAAAAACAATCAAATCTTCAGGAAACAATGGACACACTTATAGAAATGCAAAATGCTCTGGAAAGCCTCAGCAATAGAATCGAAAAAGCAGAAGAAAGAAATTCAGAGCTTGAAGACAAGGTCTTTGAATTAACCCAATCCAACAAAGGCAAAGAAAAATAATAAGAATATATGAACAAAGCCTCCAGGAAGTCTGGGATTATGTTAAATGACCAAACTAAAAATAATCAGTGTTCCTGAGGAAGAAGAGAAATCTAAAAGTTTGGAAAACATATTTTGGGGAATAATCAAGGAAAACTTCCCCGACCTTGTTAGACACCTAGACATCAAAATACAAGAAGCACAGAGAGGGCCGGGCGCGGTGGCTCATACCTGTAATCCCAGCACTTTGGGAGGCCGAGGCAGGTGGATCACGAGGTGAGGAGATTGAGACCATCCTGGCTAACATGGTGAAATCCCGTCTCTACTAAAAAATACAAAAAATTAGCCGGGCGTGGCAGCGGGCGCCTGTAGTCCCAGCTACTCGGGAGGTTGAGGCAGGAGAATGGCATGAACCCGGGAGGTGGAGCTTGCAGTGAGCCGAGATTGCACCACTGCACTCCAGCCTGAGCGACAGGGCGACACTCCGTCGCAACAACAACAACAACAACAAAAAGAAGCACAGAGAACACCTGGGAAATTCACCGCAAAAAGACCATTGCCTAGGCACATTGTCATCAGGTTATCTAAAGATAAGATGAAAGAAAGAATCTTAAGAGCTGTGAGACAAAAGCACCAGGTAACCAATACAGGAAAACTTATCAGATTAACAGCAGATTTCTCAGCAGAGAAATTTGTCTGACAAACGACAAATATCCAGAATCTACAATGATCTCAAACAAATCAACAAGAAAAAAAACAAACAATCCCATCAAAAAGTGGGCTAAGCCGGGCGCGGTGGCGGGCGCCTGTAGTCCCAGCTACTCGGGAGGCTGAGGCAGGAGAATGGCGTGAACCCGGGAAGCGGAGCTTGCAGTGAGCCGAGATTGTGCCACTGCAGTCCGCAGTCCGGCCTGGGCGACAGAGCGAGACTCCGTCTCAAAAAAAAAAAAAAAAAAAGTGGGCTAAGGACATGAGTAGACAGCTCTCAAAGGAAGATATACAAATGGCCAACAAACATATGAAATAATGCTCAACATCACTAATGATCAGGGTGATGCAAATCAAAACCACAATGCCATACCACTTTACTCCTGCAAGGATGGCCATAATCAAAAAATCAAAAGACAGTAGATGTTGGCATGAATGTGGTGAACGGGGAACACATCTACACTGCTGGTAGGAACATAAACTAGTACAACCACTATGGAAAACAGTGTGGAGATTCCTTAAAGAACTAAAAGTGGAACTACCATTTGATCCAGCAATCCCACTAATGGGCTACCCAGAGGAAAAGAAGTCATTATATAAAGAAGATACTTGCGCACGCATGTTTATAGCAGCACAATTTGCAATTGCAAAAACATGGAACCAACCCAAATGCCCATCAATCAACGAGTGGATAAAGAAACTGTGATATATATATATACACACACATATATATATATGATAGAATACTACTCAGCCATAAAAAGGAGTGAATTAATGGCATTCACAGTGACCTTGGGTGAGACTGGGGACTATTATTCTAAGTGAAGTAACTCAGGAATGGAAAACCAAACATCGTATATTCTCACTCATACGTGGGAGCTAAGCTATGATGATGCAAAGGCATAAGAATGACACAATGGACTTTGGGGACTTAGGGGGAAAGGGTAGACAGGGTGTGAAGGATAAAAGACTACCAATAGGGTGCAATAGATACTGCTTGGGTGATGGGTGCACCAAAATCTCACAATTCACCACTAAAGAAATTACTCATGTGACCAAATACCACCTGTACCCCAATAACCTATGGAAATAAAAGTAAAAAATATAAAATAATAATTATGTTTAAGGAAGTGACACCTGTTATTTATCCTTGCTTGCCTAAGGCCTTGAAGCAAAGTATTAAGTAGACCACAATCATGAATGATTTCTGGAAGAACAGCTCCCTATTAAATATTTAGCCCTAACCCCAGCTTATTATGTAGAAATAGTGTGTCATGTACAAGTGGGATAGCTGTCTCAGTGCAAATTCATCCACAGCCCTCGCTCGGGAAAAAATCCAGAGAGAAATGCCTTACTCAGTAGTGCCATGGTAGTTTTATTTTGAGAAACTTTATTACCTATAACTGCAACTTTCAAAAAATATTTTTTAAAATGTTTATAATTGTAATGTTTCTTTATTTGTATAAGTAACATTATTTAAAAAATAATTCAGTATAACAACTATTTACATAGCATTTACATTGTATTAGCTATTATAACTAATTTAGAGATGCTATAAAGTATACAAGAGGTTGTGTGTAGGTTATATGCAAATACTATGCCATTTTATATCAGGGACTTGAGCATCTGAAGATTTTGGTATCCAGAGGAGCCCCGGAATCAGTTCCCTGTGGATACTTAGGGAGGATTGTATATGAAAATATGAACATGCATTGACTGAATAAAACAATGATGATTAACTCTGGGGGTGTGACAAGAGGTGGGATTAGATACTGAGCACCTACACTGAATATGGGCAGAAACGATAAGTTATAATGCTAAATTCAAGTATTATTTAGGAAGGGGATAAAAATGCTGATGTAGGCAAATATGCATGTTATAGCAGACATAGAAATGTACTGCTTAACTCTCTCTTCAAGAAAGAACTTGAAGCTGGGCACTGTGGCTTACACCTATAATCCCAGCACTTTGGGAGGCCAAGTGGGAGGATTGCTTGAGCCCAAGAGTTTGAGACCAGCCTAGGCAACATAGTGAGACCCCACCTCTACAAAAAAAGTATACACACACACACACACACACACACACACACACACATATATAATTTTGCTTTTATGTGTGTGTGTGTGTGTATATATATTTATTATTATTATTATTTTTGAGACAGGGTCTCACTCTGTTGCCCAGACTGGAGTGCAGTGGCATGATCTTGGCTCACCGCAACCTCTGCCTCCCAGGCTCAAGTGATTCTCCCACTGCAGCCTCCCAAGTACCTGGGATTACAAGCATGCACCACCACTGCCTGGCTAATTTTTGTATGTTTAGTAGAGACAGGGTTTCACCATGTGGGCCAGGCTGGTCTTGAACTCCTGACCTCAAATGATCCACCTGCCTCAGCCTCCCAAAGTGCTGGGATTACAGGTGTAAGCCACTGCAATGGTTACATATATATATATATAATTTTGCTTATACATATGTATAAGCAAAAATGGACAGACTTTTAAGAAGAAATTGGTAATTAATAATCACACTGGTAGATTTTTACATTTCTCTTGGTAATTAATAGATCAATCAGATCAAAAAATTAGCATATAGAAGATTTGAATAATACAATTAGTAAGCTTGATATAACAGATATATAAAGATCCCTGTGCTCACTCTGTTCACTCCCTCTTCACCCATCAATTATAATAGTCATTTAGCGGAAAGAAATTGTATGACACAAAATCCAGACGACATAAAAGAAACAAAATTGATACATTTGATTACATAAAGACTAACACTTTCTCCACGGCTGAAAATACTACCAACCAAGTCAAAATCCAAACAACAAACAGTAGGATATTTACCACATAAACAGCAGACAGAGGACTCCTTTCTTCAATCTATATGGAACTTCTACAAACTAATAAAGACCCCAATGCAATAAAAATAAAGGACATGCACAGAATTCACAGCAAAGGACATCCAAGTGGCTCTTAAATTACATGAGGCAGGGCCTGGTGGCTTATGCCTGTAATCCCAGCACTTTGGGAGGCCGAGGTGGGCAGATCACCTGAGGTCAGGAGTTCGAGACCAGCCTATCCAACATGGCAAAACTACGTCTCTACTAAAAATACAAAAATTAGCCAGGCATGGTGGCAGGCAACTGTAATACCAGCTACTCAGGAGGCTAAGGCAGGGAGAATTGCTTGAACCCAGGAGGCGGAGGTTGCAGTGAGCTGAGATTGCACCACTGCACTCCAGCCTGGTGACAGCAAAACTCTGTCTCAAAAAAAATAAATAAATAATAAAATAATAATAATAATATGAGAAGATACTCAGTGGCACTCAGAAAAGAAATGCAAATTTATTTTATTTTATTTTCAGATAGGGTCTCACTCTGTTGCCCAGGCTGGAGTGCAGTGGCTCAGTCATGGCTCACTGCAGCCTCAACCTCCTGGGCTCAAGTGATTCTCCCACCTCAGCCTCCTGAGTAGCTGGGACTGCAGGTGGGTGCTACCACACCAGGCTAATTAAAAGAAAACTTTTTTTTTTGTAGAGACAGAGTCTTGCCATGTTGCCCAGGTTGGTCTCAAACTCCTGGGCTCAAGCGATCTTCCTATCTCGGCTTCCCAAAGTGCTGGGATTACAGGTGTGAGCCACTGGGCCTGGCCGGTACTACATGTAAAATTTGTGTAACTACCACTCTAATTAAGTATAGAACAGTTCTATCATCCCCAAAGCTCCCTTGTGCTATTCCTTTTTATTTCTTTCCTCCTTCCAATCCTAACCCCTGGCAACTACTGATTTCTTCTTCATCACTATAGCTTTGCCTTTCTTAGTTTGACCCTTGTTGTTGTTTTGGATTCTAAAAAATCATGCACATGTATTATCAATTAAAAACTAAATATATTTTGTTATTCATTGCCTAAATACTACCTCTTCCCTGAAGCATTTCCTGATTCCCTCAACTGGATAATTTCTCCTTCTCTAGGAAATCCCATGCCCTTCATTTGTATCTTTTATGCCACATATTATATTCTGTCTTGTGTTATGCTTGTGGACATGTTCTAGGTCCTTCCTCCTGAATTTTTAGCTTGAGAGCAGAAACTCTGTGTTGACCATGTTTCCTTGCCATCTGGGACCCAGGAAGCACTGCCCCATCCAGGGTTAACTAATTCCTAGAGATAACACACAACTCTCCTGCAAGCTCATTTATAAAAAGTGTTGAATTTTTTTATTTCCACAGGTTTTTGGGGAACAGCTGGTATTTGTTTACCTGAGCAAGTTCTTTAGTGGGGATTTGTGAGATTTTGATGCACCCATCACCTAAGCAGTGTACACGGAACCCAATTTGTAGTCTAACTTCTCACCCCCCTCCCACCCTTTCCCCTGAGTCCCCAAAGTCCACTGTATCATTCTTATTCTTTGCATCCTCATAGCTTAGCTCCCATTTATGAGTGAGAACATACAATGTTTGGTTTTCCATTCCTGAGTTACTTCACTTAGAACAATAGACTCCAATTCCATCCAGGTTGCTGTGAATACCATTAATTCATTCCTTTTTATGGCTGAGTAATATTCCAATATATATCACAGTTTCTTTATCCACTCATTAATTGATGGGCATTTGGGCTGGTTCCATATTTCCTGCAAGCTCATTTTTGATATGCAAACCAACCAATTCCAAGTCCATAGCCCCACCAGATCCCAAGGCCAGGACACTAATCCCCTGCCCTAATTGCCTGAGGGCCAGATACTGGACAACCACCTCTAAAGCCCAGAGCCTGCCAAAATTATTCAAATTTTTCATTCCTAGACCTGTTGGGCTGCTTACCCTTCCCTGCCTATTCCTTTCCAAGATAACCACACACAGGCTGTTACCTGTGTTTCTTCTTGACAGACCCTGGTGCTTCCCACGGGACCCTGGGTGGTAAGTGCACTTCCTCTGCTTGGGAACAGTTTGAATGGCAGTTGTCTCCTGATCTGCTGGTCTCATCATGCCTAAATAAATCCCAGGTACATTTTATTTTGTTATTATTATTATTTTTGAGATGGAGTCTTGCTCTGTCACCCAGGCTGGAGTGCAATGGCGCGATCTTGGCTCACTGCAACTTCTGCCTCCCGGGTTCAAGCGATTCTTCTGCCTTAGCCTCCGGAGTAGTTGGAATTACAGGTGCCCCCACCACGCCCACATAATGTTTGTATTTTTAGTAGAGATGGGGTTTCACCATGTTGGTCAGGCTGGTCTCGAACTCCTGACCTCAGGTGATCCACCCGCCTTGGCCTCCCAAAGTGCTGGGATTACAGGGGTGAGCCACCTCACCCAGCCAATCCCAGGTACATTTTAAAACAGACCCTGCCCTACTGATCTTTCTATTCCTAACTGTGCCTAATACTATTTCGTGCATGCAATGGGGTTTCCGTAAATATTTGGTGAATTGATTCTAATTGAGTTGTTTGAGCCCCATATGCCAGCAAATTTTATTTTGCTTTATTGATTTTTTTTTTATTTCACCTTTTTTATTGAATTTGTATTAAAGGAGGTAGTGAGGGGGAGGAAGCACTTAAGAGTCAGAATCCATATTAGACTCTGGGGAGTGAAAAATTAAATTAAATCAATAAGATGGGGAGTGGGGGAAGAGTCAGAGGGAACTTTGCCCACCTTTCAAGATCAAATCAAGAAATCAGGGAAAGCAAAGACTTAGGAGAGGAGAAAGACATTCTCTCAATCCATCCTCCTTCCCCAGGGCAGAGAATTAAACAACGTTACTGAGTGAGCCTCTGAGCAGAAGGCTCTCCCATCTATGCACAGACTTCACTCCTCCTCCCCAGGCCTTCCTGGAGAATGTCCAAGGCTGGCCTTAGCCAACAGAAATAGAGGGGTCAAGGGGGTCCAGGAGTACGGAAGGGTCAGCAGGGACCCTCAATACTGATTCTCCTCTGGCTGGAGGTGGGCGGGAAGCAGACATAGCTCAAATACTGAGCAGCCAAAAAAAGAAGAAGATGGCGAGAAACAGGAAGAGGGAATCCTGTCAGCTGGAGGCCGGGTGACCCTGTCCCAGATCCACACCTGTACCCCGGCGGAAAGGCTCATGGGCATTGAAGACGATGGTGAAAAAGCCAAAGGGAAAAGCACCAACACCAAATGAGAAGTGGAAGCCCCCGGTATCACCAAATGGCTGGAATCCCCCTCTGCTCTCTGGAGCTGGTCTCTGGCCCTGGGGGCGGGGTGGAGTTTTCAATCTGGGATCCTGGGGCTTCTGGCTCCCTCGCCCATAAAGCGGGACAACCTTCTCTCTGCTGATCCCAGCTTTACATACTGGACACTCTTGCCGTTCTGGCCGTGCCAGCCACTGATGAAGACATGGCCAACAGTACAGGTGGCCACACACACTGACCACAGCTTCCCGAGCAGTCTCCAAACATATATTACATTCGAAGGTCGCGCCCGCCCCGCCCCGCTCGCGATTTGGCCCCTCGGGGCCCCCGTCCTCCTCCTCCGCTGCTGCCATGGCCGGTTTTGTTTCGCCCCACGTACCCTTCAGTCCCCCCAAATACACATACACACGCCCCAACCTGCTTTATTATTACCAAGACGCTCCCACTCCTTCTCCCAACAGATTTCCATGGTGCAGCATCTTCCACAATGCTTTCTTCACACCTTGCCCTAGAGCAGTAACAAGCTCAAGAATTTGAGTGCCCATAGCATTTTTCTCCCTGGTCTGTGTCACTCCAAAAAGCCTCATTCTGTGAAATATATGGTGGAGCTGGCTTCTTGGTAGCCTGGCAGCCCTTACTCAGCCTTGCTTCCTTGGAGAAAGTTTCCTGATGTCTGACACTTGCAACCTGAGGGGAGGGATATTGAGATTGTCTGAGGATGGATGCCAACAAAGACCTCTTTGTGCTGCAGCCCATGTAGTTCTGTGTCTGGCTTTGGAGTGACGAGGGCTGGGACCTGTTCTCACCTGGGCATGTCACTGCTGCAGGAAGACGGCTGTCTGAGCTTGGGTCCCAAGCGCCGGATGAAGGGCACAGCCTAGCTGGTGGAGGCAGCAGCCTGCATGTGACACTTTTACAAATCAGGTTCAGAGAAACTCATTATAACTGGTTAGATGGAGGAGTCTGAACTGTTGAAGTGTGAGCTTGCAATGGTATGATTTATTTTCCCCAATTGCTGCTTTCATTTATACAGTGTAGGCCCTCTGTCCCGCTGCTTCACATCCCCTAATGCTTCCTTGGATGGGTGCCATGCCTCCCCTGTCACTTTTGGACATTCACACAGTCTCATTCCAGCAGTTAAGGCTTGGGCCTGTTCACATTTCCAAACTTCAGTCTTAAGCACAATGCAACACTCTGTCCTCCCTCCTCCTGGGCTGGTGAGAGCATTGGCTCCCAGCAACCCGGAGAACAGGAGGATGGTGTAGTCTGCCTCTGCAACCCTCCCTCCTTTTCTCTCTCTTCGATGGGGCTAGAGGGCAGGAAGGAGGGGTAGAGGCAGAGCTTTCCCTACCTGACCAGTCCCTGCCAGTGTGGGGAGACTTCCGGGCCTGGCTTTCTTGGGGGCAGTGTTCAGCTTCACCTCGGTTTCCTCCAAAATAAGGAACCCCCTCCAGGGTGGGCGGCAGTCTCCCTTTGGGTGCTTGTCCCCTCTGGTTTAGGTGTCCTACTACCCAGCTCTGTGGCTGTCCTGGAACTCCTGGTTCTTTTTTTTTTTTTTTTTCGAGACGGTGGTCTCACTCTGTTGTACCGGCTGGAGTGTACTGGCACAATCATAGCTCACTCCAGCCCCTCTTGGGCTCAAGTGATCCTCCCACTTCAGCCTCCTGAGTATGTGCACCACCACACGGTAGAGAAGAGGTTGCCCACGCTGCTATTGAACTCCTGGCATCAAGTGATCCTCCTGCCTCGGCCTCCCAAAGTGCTGAAATTGCAGGTGTGAGCCACCACGCCCAGCCACCACAGGCTTCTTCCTGCACAACTGCAGGAATCCCTGAGGTCCTCTTTATAGAGAACTGGAGCAGGGTGGGAGTGGCCCCATCTTCTTTCTAAGTGGTCTATGCTACAGTCCCTTCAGATCCACCGGCCACTCCAGTGAGCCTCTCACTTTCAGAAACCTTTAGTTCAGAAACAGGCATCAGTATGTGTTATGGGATGTGTTCCCCAAAAAGATATGTGGAAGTCCTAACTCTCAGTACCTTATGCCTTACCTTATTTGGAACTGGGTTGTTGCAGATATAATGAGTTCAGATGAGGTCATCCTGGAGTAGGGTGGGGCCTTAATCCAACATGACTGTTGTCCTTGTAAAAAAGGAGAAGAGACAAAGAGACAGAGTCACACAGGGACAAAATGGCTGTGTGATGATGGAGGCAGAGGTTGGAATATTGCAACTGCAAGCCAAGGAATGCCGAACCACATTCCTGCAAACCATGAGGAGCTAGGAAGAGGCAAGGAAGGATTCCTATAGGTTCCAGAGGGAACATGGCTCCACCACACCTTGATTTTAGACTTTCAGCCTCCAGAACTATGTGACAAGGAATCTCTGCTGTTTAAGTCACCTGTGTGTGACACTTTGCTACGGCATTCCTAGGAAACTAATGCAGCATCTCTGCTCGCCAGTTTCAAAAGTTCAAGGAACATGTGCCAAGCACTCTCCTTTTGGCCCCCATAGGTGGAAGAGGGGAACTAAAATGCCATGCACCATGGTCCTTTTTCCAGAATGTTCTCTGAAGAGTTTTTCAGCACCTCCACTCCAATAGGCGCTGTAGCTCAGTCATTATCTGGTGGGGATGAGAGGTCAGTGCTTCCTTCTTTCAGGCCTTGCCAACATTTCCTAGTGGTTCCCCTGGAGTTCCCCTCACTCCTCTTCTGGGCGGGGAAAGCCTTCATGCCCACTGCAGTGTTCCAAAGACCAGGGGCCTTCCTTCCTGTCCTCGAGCCTCCTCCTTTGGGCTGTGTTGGTGTTGAGCAGGCTGGGTCTGACTCCTCTTAGCTTGCCCCATGTGACCTGGTTGGCAGCCCTCTGGATGTAGGATATGAGGTCTTAATTGTGGTTTTTCTTTCTTGCCCTTACCCTGGATCCTGGCCATAATTCTGGGTAACCAGAAGAGCCCTGTTCAACATCTTGTCCCTTCATTGAGGGTACACCCTAAATGTGCTTCACCAAAGCAGCCCCAAGGGGCTGTGCCCTGAGGTTGCCCTAGGAAGAAGCTCATCAAGCCTTTGGCTCCCTCCAGGGAGGGCTGGGTCTCAGACAATCCCTGAGAGTCAAGAGACTGGAAGTGGAAACCTGATTATGTTTTTTTCCCTGAGTCAGTATTGGAGGGGGGAATCTTACTCTTGTCTCTTGTGAGCGTCTAGAGCAGAACTGAAAATGGAAGAGAAGATTCTGCGAGAGGCCTGAGGTGGGTGAGGAGATGAGGAGAGTCACCCTTGAGCCTCACCTTGGTTCTAGTGAAAAGGAAGGGAAATGTCCTCCCAGGAATCACAGCTTCCCGCCCTTGCCGTCCACAGATTCCTGTCTGAGGGGCTGCCTATTTTTCACAGAGCAGGGCTCAAAGTTTGAGGCCCCTAGATAGCTCTGTTGTCCAGGCCCACCATGAAGACCATGGAGACAAACATCGGATGTCCTGTGGGGGCTTGAGCAGGCCACATTGGCCGCATGGGAATAAAGAAAAATCTTGAGTTTCTTCAAGGGAAATTCCAGGCACCTAGCTGGCCTAGAGAGTAGATGAGCAATTTGATAAGCAAGAAGGTAATAGTAGCCTAAAACAATAGCCAAGAAATGAGAAGCAGGAGATGTTTTGTCCCTTACAGAAACTAAAGATAACATCTAAGCATATGTCCCTGAGCTGTTTTTCAGAAACCTGGACCCCTACTGAGTGGATCTGCTGGCACATAGACCTCAGATAAGGGGGAGCGGAGGACTGAACTTTGACTGCTGATCTTTGTCCTAAAGTTCTTCCTGAGGGGCCTGGAGGAGGTCATGCCCCTGGGCCAGAGCTAACATTCTTGTCTGCTGACCCCAAAGTTTTAGACAAAGCTTTTCCTCCTTGACAAAAGACTTCTTGCACATTCTGAGAAATGCGTCTTTAGGCGGTTTGATAGTTATGTGAACATCATAGAGTGCACTTATGTAAACCTAGATAGTAGAGCCTGCTACACACATAAGCTATTTCATATAGCCAATCAGAATTTCTTTAAATCCACCTATGATCTATGCCCCCCCACCCACCCACTTCAAGATGTCCCACCTTTGAAGCTCAAATCAATGTATAGCTTCCAAGACTTGATTGATGACTGTACTTGTAACCTCTGCCTGTTCGCTTTTAAAAACCCTTACGTCTAAGCTGGCCAGGTGCGGTGGCTCACACCTGTAATCCCAGCACTTTGGAGGCTGAGGCAGGCAGATCACTTGAAGTCAGGAGTTCGAGACCAGCTTGGCTAACATGGTGAAACCTCGTCTCTACTAAAAATACAAAAATTAGCTGGGTGTGGTGGTGTGCGCCTGTAATCCCAGCTACTCAAGAGGCTGAGGCAGGAGAATTGCTTGAACCTGGGAGGCGGAGGTTGCAGTGGGCCAAGATGGTGCCATTGCACTCCAGCCTGGGCAACAGAGCAAGACACCATCTCAAAAAAACAAAAACACAAACAAACAAACACCGTTACCTCTAAGCTATTGGGGAGTTTGGGTCTTAAGCCTGAGCTGCCCAATTCTTCTTGCTTGGCTCCCTGCAATAAATGCCTCACTCTCTCTTGCTGCAGACCCATGTCAGTGTTTGGCTTTGCTGCACAGAGCAGTTGGGCCCAAGTTTGGTTTGGTAACAATATCTAGAGACTTTCTCTGGGCACAATCAATGTCTTTGCTTGCCTCTGTCATTGGCAAAGAACCAGTGCTTTCCCAGACCACCTGGAGCAAGGGACCATGTGGTGCCTGAGCCCTGGAATCAGAGAGCTGCTAGTCATGAGGGGGCTCTGGGAACTGGCTTCCTGCCCCGAGCTCTCTGGGGCCATGTGGCGTCCCGGTCCTGGCAGGCTGGCTTCTCCTCTTCTGGTGTGTCTCATTTCTGACCAGCTTCCCAACCTTCTCTTTTTGTCTATGCCAAATGTGGAGGAAGCTCGTCAGATGGGCAGAATTCTTCATTCCAGGCCTGCTCGAGGGTTGCCAGCCAGCCTGTGGGTGGGATGCCCTTGGTCACATGGTCAACTCTGGTCCGATTATAGACCACCCTGGGCAAAGAGCAGCAATCCTTGGCCCCTCCCTGAGCTGAGGCCATGGGCAGGCAGGATGAGCTCAGCAGCTTCACAGCGGACGCGTCCAGTTTAAGGGTTTGTTTTGCAGTGATTTCTCCATCCCTCCTAACTTCTCCTTTTCTTTCTAAATCAGCCCTGGGTGGGCTAAGGCTATAATTTTCCTCAGTGTAAATTGCTCTGGGACTGGGACAAGAGGCATTAGGAGGGCAATGAGCACTGCAGAAGTAGATGGAGGGGGTGGAAGTTGGGAAAAAGGGCAAGTGACTAACCCAGCTCTTTTTGTCCTGCCTGGAGAGGTGAGACCATGGGCACTTTCATGATGACAAAGTCCCAGGAATCCCTCTCCTGCCCATGCCCAATGAGGGGAGTGACTTAATGTCTGCCAAAGGTGGCGTGTGGAGGCCAGCATTCAGGTCACCTCCTTGGCTTGGCTCCAGGGCTCCCAGGCTCTTCTCCCACCCTTCTGAAAAGAGGTACAATTTCAACAAATCCAGCAGTGCTGTCTCTGACAGTAAGCCTACCTGTAGACCTGGACACAAGAGAAGCAACGACTCTCCCCGGCTTGCATCAACCCGGGTATGAAAGTGCCGGCATGTGTCTAACTCCAATATTTAGGAGAGACACAAAATCTGTCCCTAAGGAGCTTCCAACAGAATTGAGATATCAGTCATCTCTAAAGTACTGTCATATGTTGCTTAATGATGGGGCTACATTCGGAGAAGTGCATCTTTAGGAGATTTCATTGTTATGTGAACATCATAGAGCACACTTACACAAACCTAGATAGCAGAGCCTACTAAACATATAAGCTATTTGATATAGCCTATTACTCCTAGGCCACAATCCTGTATAGCATGGGTACAGAATACGGTAAGCAATTATAATACAACAGTATTTGTGATCTAAACACAGCTAAACATAGAAAAGGCACAGTAAAAATACCGTATTACAATCTTATGGATCACCGTTGTATACGTGGGCTGGTGTTGACTGAAACGTCATTACGTGGTGTGCATGACTGTGCTGAAGAATGCAGGCAGTTACAAATCAGTCCTGAATGATCTGCATTGGACACTATATGCTACTGGCGACCCCAGGATATTACAGTGCAGGCTTCCTAGAAGGAGGGCTTCCTAGAAGTCAGTGAACAGACAATTCTCACTAGGGATGAGAGAGGAGGTAGGATTAGTATTGGAAATACTTCGAGCTTGTAACAATTACAAATGTTTCAGTCTCTTCCCCTGAGATTCTGACAGTTCCTCCAAGGGGACAGGAGAATTTATTTTGAAAAGGTTCTCCAGGGGATTCTAATTCTCTCGCCTACTCCACACAGATCTCTCTGAGAGCTGCTGCTCTACGCTTGTGGTCTCTAAGCTTTTTTGATGAGGCACTCCATGGATAAAATGTTTAGGGTATGTGCCTTCAATATTTGGGTATTTATTTATTTTAAAAATAACACCCAGCAGGACGTGGTGGCTCACACCTGTAATCCCAACACTTTGAGAGGCAGAGGTGGATGGATCGCTTGAGCCCAGGAATTTGAGACCAGCCTGGGCAACGTAGCGAGATGCTGTCTCTATAAATAAATAAATAAAAATAAAATTAGCTGGTATGGTGATGTGCACCTACAATCCAGCTACTTAGGAGGCTGAGACGGGAGGATCACTTGAGCCCAGGTTGTCAAGGACCATGATTGCGTCACTGCACTCCAGCCTGGGCAACAGAGCAAGACCCTGTTTCAAAACAAAACAAACAAAACCAAAACCAAAAAACCCTCTCATATACTTCTGTATTCATATATTAGTCATCATAAAGGAAGCACAAACATATAGTTCAACAGGGGCAGGCTTAAAAATAAATAGAAATGGAACTTATAATGTTTTCTTATTGACTTCTAACAGATCACCTGGCTCCCTCCCTAAGGCATACACCCCCTTTGGGAATCACTGCTCTCGGTTAATATATGTATCCCTCATGCCTAGCTCAGTGTCTGGCAGGCAGTAAGTGTTCAATAAATAATTCTGTGGAATGGATGAATAACGAATGCATTAGGGCAAGATCTCCAAGAATATGAATATTTTGAAAATATCCAAGTGGGGAGATGGAATGAGCTGAGATTCTCCTTTATAGTTTACCATTATGATGCATTGACTTTTCTTAACAGTAACATGAAGATTAGATCTTGCAGGAGGACATTAAGTCTGAGTAATGATGGATCGTTTAGTTAATTAAATTGAATGTATTTATTTATCACTCATTTCCATTAGCATGGCAGCCCCATATTCCCACATTCTGACTACTTGACCATCTCCCAGCCAGGCTGATCCGAGCCTCGAGATTCCATCAGCCAGACAGGGACATGCTCTGGGAGATGGGATTCGGTGAGGAGTCTCTCAGGAGAAAGAAACCCCAAATCTCAGCTCTTAGTTAATTAGGTGCTCTGTAAAACAGGCTGGACAGGCTGAGTGAAAGGGATTATTACAGGCTTCTAATGGCTGGGAACTGATTTATTAATGTGGCACAACATTTGCATGTGAGGTGGAAAGCTGGTGATAGTGCAGAGGGGAGTTTTGCAGGCTGTGGGATGGAGGGTTCAGGGCTGCTGGGGTACTCTCTCCAGGGAGTTTTCTTTTTCTTTTGACAGGGTTTTGCTTTGTTGCCCAGGCTGAAGGGCAGTGGCACGATCTTGGCTCACTGCAACCTCTGCCTCCCGGGTTCAAGCCATTCTCCTGCCTTAGCCTCCCAAGTAGCTGGGATTACAGGCACACCACCATGCCCAGCTAATTTTTGCATTTTCAGTAGGGACAGGGTTTCACCATGTTGGCTAGGCTGGTCTCGAACTGTTGACCTCAGGTGATCCACCCGCCTCTCTCTCCCAAAGTGCTGGGATTATAGGCGTGAGCTACTGTGCCTAGCCATCCAGGGATTTTAAAAAACATTTCTCTTCCTACCCACTCCAGGAGCCTTCCTTTGGGGAGGAATGAGACACTCTCCTTCCAAGCAAGAGGCCACTCTCAAAGACAGCCTCCCGACTTTGTCAGTAGAATACCAGGACAGTCCAGGCTCCCGCCCTAATTTTGTAGATAACAATACAGGCTGAGCATCCCAAATCTGAAATTTTGAAATCTAAAATGCTTCAAAATTCAAACTTTTTGAGAGCCAACACAATGCTCAAAGGAAATGCTCATTGGAGCTGTATTAGTCCATTTTCACACTGCTGATGAAGACATACCTGAGACTGGGTAATTTATATGTGTGTGTGTGTGTATACATATATATGCACACACACACACACATACACATATATATACACACATATATGTATATACATATATACATATGTAAGTTACCATATATACATATATATTTATGTATATATGTATATACGTGTGTGTGTGTATATCTATATATGCGTGTATATATATATAGTTTTTGAGAGGGAGTCTTTTTCTTCCACCCAAGCTGGAGTGCAGTGGTGCAGTCTCGGCTCGCTGCAACCTCTACCTCCTGAGTTCAAGGGATTATCCTGCCTCAGCCTCCTGAGTAGCTGAGATTACAGGCACCCGCCACCATGCCTGGCTAATTTTTGTATTTTAATAGAGATGGGGTTTCACCCTGTTGGTCAGGCTGGTCTTGAACTCCTGACTTCAAATGATCTGCCCGCCTCAGCCTCCCAAAGTGCTGGGATTACAGGTGTGAGCCACCATGCCTGGGTAATTTATAAAGAAAAAGAGGTTTAATTGACTCACCATTCCATGTGACTGGGGAGGCCTCACAATCATGGTGGAAGGCAAAAGGCACATTTTACATGGAGGCAGGGAAGGGAGAATGAGAACCAAGCAAAAGGGTTTTCCTCTTCTAAAACCGTCCAATCTCGTGAAACTTACTCACTACCACGAGAACAGTATGGGGGAAACTGCCCCCAAGATTTAATTATCTCCCACCAGGTCCCTCCCACAACACATGGGAATGATGGGAGCTACAATTCAAGATGAGATTTGGGTGGGGACACAGCCAAACCATATCAGGAACATTTCAAATTTTTGGATTTGGGAGGCTGAATTAGTATAATGCAGCTATCCTGAAATCTGAAAAAAAAAAAAAAAAAAAAAAAAACCAAAGGACTTTTGTTCTTAAGCATTTCAGATAATGGATACTCAACCTGTAGTGACACTTCTGTGATGTTTACTTATAGCACAGTTGCCAGTCTCTGTTCTTAAACTGCTTCACACATATGTTGACATATTGAATCCTTTACAGCAACATTGGGGGAAGGTGCTAAGAGTTTCTTTCTTTTACTGCTGGGGACACTGAGACACACAATGACTAAGTAACTTGCCAAAGCTAGTTAGTGGCTAGTTAGTGGCAGTTCTAGGATTCAAACCCCAGCAATCTGGCCCCAACAACCTGCCTTTAACCAAGATATCATTGATGAGTGAGCAGAACTTCCCCTGACTTAAAAGACCGCGGTTACCTTTGACTCAGTTCAGAGCCCAGTTTCTGCTGATCTTCTCATTTCCCTTCTCCTCAGAACTCTGGTATCCTAGGCGCCCCCACTCCTAATTCTCTAAATTAATTTGTTCTTAGCTCCCTAATTCACACTAAAGTGTAAATGACTATGAACCCCTTAAAGGGCTAGCCTCTCTGAGAAAACAGGTAAGCAGCATCCAGAAAGTTAAAGCAAGGGATGAAGTTTCTTCAAAGATGGAATCTGAAGCAGCTTCTGGGGGGTCTGCTGTGGGGTGGGTGTTTGGAGGCTCAGGGTCAGAGTACACCCGCTGGCAGGCAGGCAAGCACTTTTTCCTCTGGGGGTGCAGCCTCCCAGATGCTGGAGTGGAATGCAGCCCTGGCCTTCCCCCTCTCTCTTTGGTGGTCTCCGCTGGAACCCTGGGGGGATCATGGAACAGAGCAGCTGCCAGCCACCGGCGACGCCATCGTTAGAAAACTGGGCACAAAGTTTATAGCACATTTCACAGTTTTAAAAGTATTTGTTTGATATAAATCTTCTCAAACTAGTCACCCTTGTGGGGTAGGTTGGTTTGTCCTCATGCCAATGCCGCAGCCATCTTGGACACGTGGATGTTTGAATGGCAGTCCCTGCAGCTGGGATTCAGGGGTAGGGGTGGGGGCGCCCTGGTGACAACCACGGCCTCTTGGAAGGCTAGGGAGAAAACAGAAACCCCACTGAGTGGACACAATCAGTCTGGATCCTTATCAGGTGTCGTTACACATGTGGCCTGCAGAGTAGGGGTTTTGATGGGGTTCCGGGGAGCCCAGGGTGGAAGGCAGGGATCATAGAGACTTCTGAGGCTCCGTCCACAAGGGATGCTGGCCTCGCCTGGGCTCTGTGACTCGTGTGTGGCCTTTATGAGCCGTGACCAATGGCTCAAGGCCTGGGCTGGCAGCCGCGAGCCTTCATCCTAGGCAGGAATTCTAATTAAACTGGGGCTCCTGGGTCTCACTTACAAAGAGCTCAGCCCCAGACCCTGCTTTTCGGGGCCCCACCCACCTGGACATACTCTTTCACGCAACCTGCAGTGATATGCAGCTCAGGGAATCCCTGCTTCATGCTGCTGCGGGCTGCGGAGGGCCGGGGCCTATGCTGATGCTTGGGGTGGGCCCTGAGCTTTGACTCAAACAGATGTTTAGAGAAAACTCTCGCTGGGCTCTGGGATCATCCAGGGACTTGGCTTGCAGATGCTGTCCCTGTTCTCTGTGCTGTTATTTTCTATCTATGGTCATCTATTTTCCTCACAGTGAATGTGGTTGGTTTAGGTGTTCAGGGATCCAGGGAAATTTGGGGTGGTGGAATCCTCTCATCCAAGCTTCGCCAAGGGACCAACGGAAGGGGTTTCATTCAGCAGTGTCCAACCGAGTACCAGGTGGACTGTGAGCTTTGAGCAGCCCGGTCCCCGACTCATGAGAGTTGGATGAGGAACAGGGTGCTTTCCAGAGAGCTGACCTGAGGGATGGGTAGAATTTGCATAGGCAGAGAGGAAGCCTGAGCGACAAGGACATAGCCGCTTTACACATATTCAATAATATTGGAGGGCTGGGTGAGGTAGCTTATGTCTGTAATCCCAGAGCTCTGGGAGGCTGAGGCAGGAGGATTGCTTGAGGCCAGGAGTTCAAGACCATCCTGGGAAACATAGGAAGACCCCCCATCTCTACAAAAACAAACAAACAAACAAACAAACAAACAAACAAACAAACGTGGACATGGTGGTGCTGCCTTTAGTCCTAGCTACTGGGAAGCTGAGGTGGGAGGATTGCTTGAGCCCAGGAGGTGGAGGCTGCAGTGAGCTGCGATTATACCACTGTACTCCAGCCTGGGCGATAGAGCAAGACTCCAATTCTAAAATAAATAAATAATAAATAAATAAATAAATAAATTAGGAGGTTTATCTGCACATCAGACATCCTTAATTCTCAAATGTATCTGATTCTGCTAATTCCCAAAGCAAAGAACTGAAACAACTCTGCTCCCCTTCCTCATTCAGCAATCAGGTTATCCTGTGGCTACTTATTTTCCTCTTTAAATCATGTCCATTTCAGTCTAATTTCAGCAGCATAAAATGAGGACGTGTGTGGATGTGGCCGATGGAGGCTGTGACAGGGGCTTTGACTGAAGTTGTGTTGACAAATGTATGACTGTAGTTGCTCTGTCCCTGCCTTCTCTCCAGGGCCTCCTGTTCTTGCCACAGCCTCCCACCACCCCAACTCAGTCCAGGCCTGGGTCCTCTTTGACAGGCTGTCCCCTGAGTACTGTTCATTGGTGAACAAAGAGTTCAGTGAAAAGAAGGCAGAAGGCCTGGGGTGAGAGAAAATCTCCGAGGGGGACCTGATGCAGCCTTGGGGGAATAGAAGCTGCCTAGCTTCTTGGGGTCTGCACAAGCTAAGGCCTGGGCTCCTGGCAGACTTTCCTGCTAGCCCAGAAGACACCCACACACCCAAACCACTGGGAACGTGGCTTGCTGACCTTGGCAGGAAGAAGGGCTGAGTCGGCCTTTTGCGTAACATAAATACTCAGCACAGCTGCCTGCGACCTGCCCACTTCTTGTCAAATCCAAGAAGGAAGGGACCTGCTGGCCAAACCCTTTTTTCCCACTGGACCTCAGACCCCAAGGAACTTGGAGTCTGCTCAAGTGAGTGAGTTGGGGCTCTTCGCCCTCCCAGAACTGGCTGTTGATGGAAGAAACCCCTGCGTAGGAAGGATGGTAAGAAAATCCAAGGAGCTGCCTGTTCTATTGGGAAAATAAAAGGTCTGCTGTGAACCAGCATTCTTGGGAAGCTCCCTGTAAACTCTTATAGGGAAGCTCTGAGCCTTTTCACCTAAGCTGATCCAGGAGGGAGGAGGGAAGAAGAAAGCATAAAATAACTTGGCAAAAGAAGTTGTATTTCCCAGCGCTTTGCTCACCCATCTCCACACAGATGCTGGAGCCTTCAGCACCCTCCCAGCCCTATACTCGGGGTCGATCCTGACTCAATCCTTTGTTCATAATGTGCTGTCATCACCCCCAGCCCTTGTCACCATTTGCAAAGTTTCCCTTCCTTCCCTCTCTTTGTCTAGGTCCCACACATCCTTTTAGATCTGATTCAAATCCCACGACTTCCATGAAGATGTGTTCCACTTACTCTGATTTCTCTCTTCTTGGAACTCCTGTCACCCTGGATTCATGGTTAGCACTTAATTTTTGTCTAACAGTTTTGTGAAAATTAGCACTGTCCTATCAGCCCCTTGTCACTATGTAGCTAGCACAGCCCAGATGGATACTGGGATGGGCTCAGTAAGTACAGATTGACAATGACTTCCCAAAAAGATGGCAAGTTCTTCCAGCAGCTGGGGATGGGCCACTGTACCTGTTTTCTGGGGCCTACCAGACCACGGGACACGTTGGAAGGAGGGTCTTTGGTCTTGAAGTTTGGAGGTGAGGCCCCAGCAGGAAGGAGAACTAAGGTGACAGATGTATGCCTTTTGGATGGGGCCTGGTTTGGGGGCATTTCATAGTCCCATGCCAATCCCAAGGCACCACTGGTAGCCCCTTTGTGAGGATCTGTCAGGGAGAGAGTGAACAAGATGTTGCCTCAGCATTTTAGGACCACAGTTTCCTCATCTGTATGAGTGGTTTCAGTAGGTGACCTCAATTTTGGGGAGACTGAATTGTGTCTTCCCAGAATTCATATGTTGAAGCCCTGACCCTCAATGGGGCTGTATTTGGAGATAGGGCTTTTAGGAGATAATTAAGATTAATTGAGATCATAAAAATGGGGTCCTATCCAATAGGATTGGTGGCCTTATAAGAAATCTCTCTTGCTGGGCGTGGTGGCTTACGCCTGTAATCCCAGCACTTTTGGAGGCCGAGGTGGGTGGATCACGAGGTCAGGAGTTTGAGACCAGCCTGGCCAATATGGTGACACCCCATCTCTACGAAAAATACAAAAAAAAGAAAAAATTAGCTGGATGTGGTGGCTTGCTCCTGTAGTCCCAGCTACTTGGAAGGCTGAGACAGAAGAATCGCTTGAACCCAGGAGGCGGAGGTTGCAGTGAGCTGAGATGGTGCCACTGAACTCCAGCCTGGGTGACAGAGCAAGACTCCATCTCAAAAAAAGAAAGAAAAAAAAAAAAAAAGAAAGAAATCTCTCTCTCTGAGTGCATTCATGGAGGAAAGGGCACAAGAGTACACAGTGAGAAGGTGGCCATCTGCAAGCCAGGAAAAGAACCCTCACCCAAAGCCAAACCCTGCTAGACCTTGATCTTGTGCTTTATAGCTTCCAGAACTGTGAGAAAATAAAAGTGTGTTGTTTAAACCACCCAATCTATGGTTTTTTGTTATGGCAGCCTAAGCTGACTAATACAAGAGTGCTCACTGTGTGCCAGGAACTCATACCTGTTCCGAGGTTGTAGCAGTGAACAAATAGATAACAGGCCCTTCCCTCATGAAGCTTACACATTTTAATAGGGGAAGACAGAGTTTAAAAAATGAAGTAAAATAATAATATGTCAGATGGTGATAAGTGCTACAGAGAAAAATAAAGCTGAGAAGGAGACAGGGAGTGCTAGAGAGGTGTGTTGAGGCAAGGCCAGGGTTCCTGGTGGGCTTGTCTAGAAAACCTTGCCAAAAGACATTTATGCAAAGACCTGAAGGAGATGAGCAGGTCATCCACAGGAATATCTGAGATTTTAAAAATTACACTAAAAATATCCATTGTACAAGTAAAAGGTATGGAAACTGAAGTCTAACATTGGTTCGTAATTTAGGGATTTAGTTGACTGCAAGTTCACCAAGAGTCCTGGGTGTTCTGTGGCCACTCAGAAAGTTAATGATACATGAACAGAAGTATAGTGGCCAGACTGGGTGGTGATATTCCAACTGTATCCAGACTTTTGTATAGACTCAGAGGATGTTGCATAGATACCTCCTCTATCCAGACTGTTGCATATCTAGACAGTTCTGGACACTGCATAAGACCACTCCAGACCACAACAGCAAGGCTGAGATTTGGAAACCACGTCTTTGGGGAACAGTTGAGGGAACTGGCAATATCTAGTCTAGAGAAGAAAAGATGGCCAGGCATGGTGGTTCATACCTATAATTCCAGCCATTTGGGAGGCCAAGGTGGAATAATTGTTTGGGGCCAAGAGTTTAAGACCAGCCTGAGCAACATAGTGAGAACCTTTCTCTACAATAATTAAAAAACTAACTGGGCAGGGTGGCATGCCTATGTACCAGCTACTCAGGAGGCTGAGGTGGGAGGATTGCTTGAGCCCAGATGGGCAAGGTTGCAGTGAGCTGTGATCATGCCACTGCAATCCAGCCTGGGCAACAGAGCAAGACGCTGTCTCCCCTCGACCCCCACAAAAAGAAAGATTTGTACGGCTGTGCAAGGGGATCTTTTCCACTAGATGGAGGATTGCTAGAAGGGCTTATCGTGTGGAGACACTGAATGCAGAAAAAGAACTGATGGGCAATAATCCCAAACCCAGCAAGTCAGTGCCAACAATGGGACAGAAGTCAGGCAGGTATACTTGATAATTACACTTTCCCCTAGGATTGGTGGAGGATGATTGCTCAGGGGTTGGAGGAGGATGACACACATGGTCACACATCAAACATACTGGGGAAGAGATGCCAGCACCGGGGAAAAGGAAGGACTGATGGTTTTTTGGTTCAGTCAGCTCTGAGAGGTCAATCAGAATGTGCATAGAATACCATGGCATAATGGGAAGTTATTGAACTGGAAGATGGGATCCTCCTATCCATCAATTAACCTCTCTGGGGTCCAATTGTCTCCTGTGAAAAATGTGGATAACAACACCTGCACAGTTCAAGGGCAAGGGCAAACCACACAATTGTTTGAGAGTCTTTCCAGCTTAAAGATCCACTAATCTAAGTTACGGGGAGAAAATTTCTAACCCTAAGTGCCACCGGACATGAAAGGGGTATCTCGCCAATGGATTTGTTTCCTTAGGAGCTGGAAGGCATCCAGTGAGACACACTAGAGGAGAGATGGTCTCTGAGGTTGTTTCCAGCACTAAGGGTCTTCGGTAAGATGATGACTCATGTGTCTATGCTCCTTGCTCTGTCTTCAGCTACACATTAGCCACTTATAGTCAAATGTGACCCCATATTATACCCTAGTATGAAAATCAGAACACAGTGTACAGCAAAGTCAAACTGTAAGATTCTCCAGTTTCCCAACTTGATAGCTATTACCATTTGCCTCTTGAGTGGTGGAGTGGTTTTTGTCTCAGGACCTGGGTCTTCCAGTCATGGAAGCTGAAATAGGGTAAGATATATCCTGCAAACACAGCTAGTGAGATGGGGGCTTGTAGAGGTAAGAATATATGATGGATACAGAGCAAACAGCTACTCAATTGGAGGACAATTTCTGAAAGTGACAAGGGCTTACTGCCCCTCCTGGGTTCTTGCAGAGCAGCCTAAGCTTCTCTCATCTCTTCATCAACTGCCCACCTGTCTTCTTCCAGACCTCTCTGTGTTCCATTCTAATGGGCATCCTTATGGATCGACAGAATCCTAACATTTCTGATCTGGAAGGATTTTTTGAGAATATGTAGTTCAATGTTTCCCCAAATGTCAGTCTTTCACAGTTTTGTCATATACATATGCCAACTGTTCTATTATTTACTCATGGTTTTATTTAAATTGAGACTTTTCAAAACCTTGTGTGTTTTTATATTACCAACATAAATTGAAAACCAGCCTTACCAGACATTTAAGATAGCCATGATTAATATAAACATGAAAATTTAAAAATGTTTGCCCATTTACCCATGTAAAAGCATCTTAAGTGCCTTATCATAGTACACCCATACCATACTTTGGAAACATGGATCCACTGCAACGCTCCTCCTGAACAGATTTGAAAACAATGACCCAGAAAGGTGAAGTGACTTGCTCAAGTTCCACAGTGGTGAGTGTCCTAAACTCTTGACTCCCAACCAAAATCTGTCAGCTTATTCTATCTTATAACTCTTTAGATGAAGCTGATGAGGATTAAAGATATCTACCATCTGAATTAGGGTTCCTAGGGCTGCAGTCGCAATGCATCGCAAACTGGGTGACTTAACACAACAGAAATGTTTTGTCTCACAGTACTGAAGGCTCTAGTCCAAACTCAAGGTATTGACAGGACCATGTTCCCTCTGAAGCCTCTAGGGGAAGATGCTTCCTTTCCTCCTCCATCTTCTGGTTGCCATAGATGTCCCTTGGCTTGTGGTGGCATAACTCCAATCTCTGCTTCTGGCTTTACGTGACGTTTTCCCTGTGTATTTCTGTCTCATGGCCATTTTGTTACAAGAACACTATCTTCTTACAAGGACACCAGTCATATTGGATTAAGGCCCCACCCTACTCCTGTATGACTTTATCTTAACTTACCTAATTACACCTGCAATGACTCTATTTCCAAATAAGTTCACGTAACATATCTTTTTAGGGGGATAAAACTCAACCCATAACACCATCTGAAAGGGACTTGAATCTAATAGGGGACAGAGAAAGACTCCAGATATATCATGAATAAAAGTAAAATGATGGGACTACATACATCAATAAAATATTAACTTGCATTGGCATTGTACACTGTGGTATGCAAGCACTGTCTCATTGGTTCCTCACTATAGCTCTGTGAAGCAAACAGGTATGGTAGATTGTTGCAGTAACAGTCCCCAGTGAATCATTCTCCCTGTGTCTATGCCTTTATGTAGCCCTTTTGACAATGATTCTGGGCCTGACCGTGTGGCTTGCTTTGGTCAGTGTGATATTAGCAAATGTGATGCAAGTATAGGCTTGAAAGCCCTTGTGTATTGGTGTTTTGCCTTCTCTTGCTACCAGGAACTCTCCTGCTATCATGTGAAGCAGCATGGACTAGCCTACAGAGGATGAGGCCTCATGGAGCAGACAAGCTGTCTCAGTTGAGGCCCTCAAAACCAATCAAGCTCCAGCTGAACTGCCAGGTGACTGTAGCTGCATGAGTGACCCCAGGCAAGATGAGCAGAAGAGGCCCCAACTGAGCCCAACCCAAATAGCTGACTCATGGAATCATGAGCAAATAAAATGGTTGTTTTAAGCCACTAAGTTTTTAGATGGTTTGTTACCCAGCAATACATAATTGGTTTATCAGATATCACAGCTATTTTATAGATGAAGAAACTGACTCTCCAAGAATTTGATTGACTTGCACATCAGGACAAGGACTGGGATGGAAAGAGAAAGCCATGTCCTTCTTTGGTTTAAGAACCTAACAGACAAGTACAGTGTAATGGACATTTCTGACACTGGAAAGTTAGTAATATATGATGGGGTTTGAAAAATTCTAGAAGACAGAAATAAAGTATTCTAGGGGCTGAAGTCTGGCCAAATATAAAGAGACTGCAGAGATGTCGTCCAGTTGGACTGGGAAAGTCAAATGTGAGTTGGCAGAAGTGAAGGCTGCAGAAACATGTTGGATACAGACTTGGCTCCCAAGGCTGAGAATTACAAAACTGGGGAGCAGGGTGAAGACTCCAAGCTCAAAAGAGGCAATTTTAGGACAAATTTTTTAATTTTAATTTTTATAGATTTAGGGGATACAAGTGAAGTTTTGTACATGAATACATGGTGTAGTGGTGAAGTCTGGGCTTTTCACGTAGCCATCACCCAAATAGTTTACATTGTACACAGTAGGTAATTTCTCATCCCATCCCATCTCATCCCACCCCCCCCCATCTTCCACCTTTTGGAATCTCTATTGTCTATTATTAATTTTAGGATGAATTTTTAAAAAAGACAACTTTTCACAGTGGGCATTAAATTAATGGAACTCCTTACTTTCAAAAGCAGTTAGGTTAAAAATATAAATAGTTTTGTCTATGTATTAATATATTATATCATATTTACTGAGAGCTTATTATATGCTAGGCACCATGTTTGGAGATGGAGATTCAGAAATTAGTAGAACATGATCAGTTCCCTCATATTCCAGAAAGAGAGACAGACATACTGACTAATCCATCTACATGTGGTTATCGAGTCCTGTGTGCAGATCCTGTGCTGTTTCCTGTGCTAGTTCTGCAGATTGAGGAGTGAGCAAAATAAACTTGCTTCCGCTCTCCTTGAGCTCACAGTTTGTTGGAGAAGGCAGATATTAGATAAATAACTAACTAATCATAATACATGATTGATTATTCATAGTGTTGTAAGAGAGAGGTACAAGGAGCTTTAGAAATAGATATAAAAGGGAGTCATTTTCTAATCTGGGGAGCCATAAAAGACTTCCTTGAAGATTTTAGGCTTAAGCTGACAAAAGGAGGCTGAAGATGGGTGAGGTTGGCACATACAGGGGAAAAATATTCATAGAAGAATCATCACGCAGCAAAGGGATGAAGAGAACTATTTGAGGAACTGAAAGACATCCAGTATGCCTGTGTTGGAAGGAACAAGAGGGCAAAACCAGGCTGGAGAAGGTCCTACTCTGTCTTGCTGTGCACCCCAGGAGGGTGATCACTGAGACTATGCCTCCTGGGCTCCCTTGCCCTCTGGCTTCCAGTTGGGTCTGGGCGATGGGAGGCATGAGTAGGAGATAAGAGAACAGAGGGAAGAGAAGCCATGACATTTCCCCTCCTGCTTTCTCCCTGCCTGGGTGCTGAGTTTCTGGTGGTGCCTGTATTCTACAACAGCAGTTCCTGTTGGGTGGCCCCGTTCCCATGGTTCCAACTTTGCTGGTTCTTGTAGCACCTTTTTCCCTCTGCCCATTCAGGCCTAGGAGTCACAATGGCTTCCCACATTTGCTAATCCTGGAATGCCTTAACTTCTCTTTTTATTTCTTTTAACCTTTGTATATAGTCTCTTTATCAAACTATCCTTGAAATCCTGGTTGAGGGTGCTGTGATGGTTAATTTTATGTGTCATCTTGACTGGGCCAAGGAGTGCCCAGACAGCTGGTGAAACATTGCTTCTGGGTGTATTTGTGAGGGTGCTTTTGGAAGAGATTAGCCTTTGAATTGGTGGACTGAGTAAAGTACTTGGCCCTCCCCTGTGTGAGTGGGCATCATCTAGTCTGTTGAGGGCCTGAATAGAAGAAAAGGTGGAGGAAGTGTGAATACATTTTCTGCCTGATTGCTTGAGCTGGGATACCAGCTCATGATACCTGCCCTCAGTGCTCATGTTCTTAGGGCTTCAGGCTCAGACTGGAACCTGCACCACTGGCTCTCTGACTCTCAGGACTTTGAAATATACCGCTGGCTTTCCTGGGTCTCCAGCTTGCAGATGGTAGATTGTGGGAGTTCTCAGATTCCATAATCATGTGACCCAATACCTTATAATAAATTTATTTATAGATATATCTTATTGGTTCTATTTCTTTGGAGAGTCAAATGTAAGTTGGCAGAAGAGACAGGGTTTTTCCATGTTGGCCAGGCTGGTCTGGAACTCCTGACCTCAGGTGATCCACCCTCCTGGCCTCCCAAAGTGCTGGGATTACAGGCACGAGCCGCTGCACCCAGCCACAGTATCTTATAAAGCGAAATATATACTTACCCTATGACCCAGCTATCCCACTCCCAGAAATTTACCCAAGAGAAATGAAAATATATGTCCTCACAAAGTCTTGTATGTGAATGTTCACAGCAGCTTCATTCAAAATAGGTCAAAACTGGAAAGAACCCAAACTTCACTGCTGAGTGGATAATCAGATTGGGTATACTCATACACTACTCAGCAATAAAAGTGAATGAAATTATTAATACATGCAACATAAATGAATCTCAAAAATACCATACTAAGTGGAAGAAGTGAAAAACAAAAAGACAGCACGCTGTCTGATTCCATTTATATGAAATCTTAGAAAAGGCAAAACAGAGCAATCGTAGTTGCCTGGGTAGGGGTAGGGAGAAGATATGGACAGCAATGGTTGCATTAATAAAGTTTTTATGGTAATGGAAACATCTATATCTTGATTGTGCTCATGCTTACAAGACTGTGTAAAGTTACTAACATTTCATCAAACTACCCAATTAAAATAGGTGAATTTTGTGTATAAAACTATACCTGGCTGCGGTGTGCCGAACAGAATGGAAGTGCGCATGAATGGACGGAGGGAGGCCAGTTGGAAGGTCTCTCCTCCCCACCACCCCTCATTACAGCATTCCCTTCCCAATAGCTTTGCAGCTTGGGAGTCTGCCCTAACAGAGTTGGGGGAACCTGGTTCTTTTCCAACTGACTGTCATACAAAGGACCAAATCACCACTCTCATCTCCATCTCCGTCTCCCTGGCTGGTTCCCAAGGATGTTATTAGGATAACTGAGATCTTGTCTACAAAGAAATCCCAGTTCCATGGAGACAAATATTCACTAAGCCCAAGGAGGTTAAGCAGCTTATCCATTGCAACTTTATTTCTTTAGCCCCTCTGTGTTCCTGTCTGCAAAAGGAAGGGCTGAACTACACAGCCTCGAAGGATCCTTTGAGCCCTAACAGCTTGTGATTTTAAGTCCAATGCAGGTTTGATTTGAGTTATTATTTATAGTCTTCATGTGTATGCTCCTCTGCAGGAATGCCCTCTCTTCCTCAGCACCCGGTTGCATTTACTCAGCTTCCAAGGGCCAGCTGAAGTTCCCTTCACACTCCATGAAGCCCCTTCTTACTATTCTCAAGTTCCACTGATCTGGACTCCTCTTGCAGTGACAGCCTGTACTGAATCATCCAGCACTTCCATATGATAGAATGCAAACTGCTTTGGGCTGTTATTATGTATATAATAATGATATTTTCTCCTCAACCAGTTTGCAAGAGCCTTGAAAGGCTTCTATTTCTTATGTTCTCCCATTCCCCAACCTCCCTGCCCCAGCAAACACACACACACACACACACACACACACACGACTGTGAGTTTTGAGCATTAAGTACGTTGTCAATCCAGTCTTGTTAGATTCTTGTTGCTCTTCTTCTGCGTCTACAACTTGCTTCTCTTTAATTCTGTTTAACTCTCACCTTCTCATCTGGCTGCCCTTGTGCAGGAATCAAGGAGTTCAGCAGCAAGTTCTCAGAAATCAGTAGGAAGCAGAAATCTTACCCACAGCCCTGATACCTCCCACCGTCCTCATGGTCCCTGATTTCACTAGAAGTTGGCAGTGTGCACACAGAAATCTTCCCACCAAACAGATGTGTGGCCGGGCAGTGAGGAGGAGGAGATCCACACGTGAGAACTTTCTCCATATTCTCTCAGAGAACTTCACTGGCTCTAAAGCATGATTTGTTTAGACACAGATGAATTTCTATTTGGCCTTAAGCACACGAGTCCTATACACGTGTGGATCAGGGCTTATTTCCAGGGTTTTATAGAAATAAAATGAATTTGCCATATGTTAAAATGTGTGGTCCTGGAAGTCAGCTAGACCTAGGGTGGAGCCCCGGATCTGCCATCTACACACTATGTGACATTGGTCTAATGGCAGAGCTTCTCCTTTTCCCAGTTTCTATGTCTTTAGAATAAGGTTTATTAGAGACATGAAGGAAATGACACAGGCACTGTGCTCTGCACAGGGGCAGACAATTAATTGCTCAACAAATGGTATTTGTTATTAGGCTTTTCCTGTCATGCATAAAATGTAGGGTGCAAGGCAAAACAGTTCTCCTTTTCCAGCGGGGAGACCTTGGCGGGGTGTGCACTGGATGGGTGGCTGGTTCCATCCTGCTCTATCCACGGGATATGTTCTCTGATTCCCATCCCGAGGGATTCTCGAGGGCCCTGTCAGGAAGCGAGAAAGGCTGCAGCTGGAGACTGTGGGATTCTGGGCGGGTCTGTGCAGGCTTCAAAGACTCAGTGTTTTCTTTTTGAAGAGGAGTCTTTGCAGCTCATTAGCTCTGTGGCAGAGGCCACCAACCAAATCAAATAGGGGTCTGACTTAGCCTCTGCGAGTTCCCCTAAAGACCTCTGTATGGGGATTTTGGAGAAGAGAAGCTTGTTTGCACTCCACTTTTAGACTAAAGCTCACTGCGAGGAGAGGCTGGGCGCAGAGCACGATTGTATGAGTATCTAATAAGCAACAGCTCTTGGTGCTGATGAGAAAGCTTCCAACACAGCACAAGGACCCACCTTCACTGCCCCGTCACAGTGTCATGCACATCTGGACACTTGGAAGAAAATATCATTTGATGATGATGTTGCTGATAACATGCCTCTCCTCCCCAGCCCCCGACCCACCAAAGAACTCTCTGTTGAGATGCACGTTAAATTCCAAGACAAATGTGCCCCTGCGGTACTCACCACACACCCATCAATGGCGTGGTTTTGATCTGTGCCCTTGAGTGAAAGGGTGGGGCTTCTTATTTTTTTCCAGCATGGGTAGAAACCATGGGTTGGGACCATAGAGAATCCCACAATCACGGGGTTCCTGGAAGATCTAGCCCAGGATTCTGTGTCCAGTCAGGAATGTGTCTAGGTTAATCTAGTACACTGAGTTCTGTCTCCAGACCCTTGGGAGGTGAGGGAGGGAGTGAGATTTCACAAGTCCCCTTGTTCTCCATTGGTGGTATTTCTTAGCCCTTTCTCTACCCTGGAAGTGAGGACAAGAAGCTTCTTAATGTGGTTTCACGGGTTGGGGATGGAAGCTGTCTTCAGAGAGAATTGCATGTGTAGCTGCATATATAAGTCTATTCTGAGAAAATGCAAAGATCACTTTGCCCCCCGTAAACACCTTTCCCCAAGCGGGTGCTGCCTGAAGTAATGTTAAAGTCTTTAATCCCACAATTAGGGAAGATTAAAAGGCAAATATCTCTACATTGACCTAACATGGGGTTTTAAATTCACACATACATAAAAATGACTGAGCTTGGGAGACTTTTCTTCTGGGGTGGAGAGGGTTAGGTTTTACAAACCTGGTGGGAGTGGGGCTATGAAGGAGCAGAAATGGTGTCAGAGGCGATTGAACCACAGCATCTGCGTCTTGAGTAGGGGCTGGGTACAATGAGGCTGAGACCTACTGTGCTGCATTCCCAGATGGTTAAGGCATTGTAAACCACAGGGTGAGATAGGAGGTCAGCACAAGATACAGATCATAAAGACCTTGCTAATAAAACAGGTTGCAGTAAGGAAGCCAGCTAAAACCCACCAAAATCAATATGGTAATAAGAGTGACCTCTGGTCTTCCTCACTGCTACACTCCCACCAGCACCATGACAGTTTACAAATGTCGTGGCAACGTCAGGAAGTTACCCTATATGGTCTAAAAAGGGGAGGCACTGGCTGGGCGTGGTGGCACATGCCTGTAATCCCAGCACTTTGGGAGGCCAAAGTGGGCAGGTCATTTGAGTTCAGGAGTTCGAGACCAGCCTGGCCAACATGGTGAAACCCCGTCTCTACTAAAAATACAAAAATTAGCTGGGCATGATGGTATGTGCCTGTCATCTCAGCTACTCGGGAGGCTGAGGCAGGAGAATTGCTTGAGCCCAGGAGACGAAGGTTGCAGTGAGCTGAGATCATGCCACCACACTCCAGCCTGGGCGAGAGAGTGAGACTCTGTCTCAAAAAAATAAAAAAAGGAAAGGCATGAATAATCCACCCCTTGTTTAGCATATCATCAAGAAATAACCATAAAAACTGGCAACCAGCAGCCCTTGGGGCTGCTCTGTCTATGGAGTAGCCATTCTTTTATTCCTTTACTTTCTTAATAAACTTGCTTTTGCTTCGCACTGTGGACCCACCCTAAATTTTTTCTTGTGTGAGATCCAAGAATCCTGTCTTGGGGTCTGGACTGAGACTCCTTTCCTGTAATAATGGTATTCATGGAAGAGTTCTGCCTGAGGCCTTTACTTGGGATCATGGATTAAAGGCCTGTGTGGACCAGAATGGCCTTTCTTTATTAGAAATGAGCAGGGTTGGACGTGGACCCATTGGTGAGTATGGACCATGCCAAGTGGTGGGTGTTTGCTACTGATTTCAGATATACTCCTGCCCTCAACAGGTTGACATTCTGATGACCTTCTGTCTTCTCTATGTATTTAAGATGCGTAGATGTCCCCAAGGACGTGAGAATGCCAGCATTCTACCTCATTTAACCAGAGGAGACTCACGGGGCAGGAGGAGAAGAAGGGCAATGGAGAGAGACAGACACCTTGCAGAGAAGTGGGTGGGAAGGAAAATGGATTCAGGCACTTTCGAGTGTCAGAGAAGTGGGGCTGGGGTGGAATTTGAGATGGGCAGGGAATTGGGGGTGAAGAATGAAGGAAGGAGGGAAAAGGAAGCAAGAGAGTGTTTTTATTTATTTACATTTTAAATGGAAACAAGTGCATGGAGAAAAAGAGAAGGAAAGAAGGGAAAGAGATGAGGGCAATGTCACACAGAGAATCTTCAGACACTTTAAAATGGACCTTTACTTCCCTGCAGCAAGGAATCAAGACAGCTTTTTTGCGAACATGTTTTCTCGTGCAGCTGTGCAGGGTAGATGCCACATGTCACTTCCAGATCCTGGTTCTTCTGAGAATATTTTTTGAGGCTTTTTCTTGCCTTCCTAAGGCTGCCTGGCTAGCCAGCTAATGGTAAAGGCTCTCACTTCTTCTCCCCTCCCCACCACCCCATCCCCAGCTCCCTCTCCCTTTCCTCCGCCCCACTGAACTCCCTCTCCTCCTCTCCTGGGCAAGCCCAGGCTCCTCCTGCAGGAAAGGGCAGCCAGGATTGTGCCAAGCAGCCCACAGCTCTGGCAGAAAGTGCTGGAGAAACTTTAATGAATTCAAGACCTGCTGGGCTGTCCCAGAGAAAGAACTGGGCTTCAGCCTTGCAGGAAGAAGCAGAAAACTGCCCCCTTGTCAGGAAGATTTACGCCCTGGAGGCCCAGCAGGCCCTATTGCATCAGGCAAGCAATTACTTGGAAAACTACATTTTGTTGAAACAAAGAACACACAAAAAACCATCGAATTCCTTGCTGCTACCTCCCCCACTGCCACTGTACTTCCCCAAGTCGCAAAGAACTGGGATTTGGCTGCTTTGAAATCAAATGAGTGAGCTGCAAGGCTGGACCCAGAGGAGAAGCTGCCCTCTCTAGGGAGATGAATGTGGAGGCAGTGAACTGCCTCCAGCCCAGGAATTACCTCTTGTTGGAACCGTTTACCCTTCTAGTGCAAGCATCTTGGAATTCCCTCATGCTGGGGTGGGGCACTGTGGGCTTCCAACTCCAGAGGCAGTTTCCAGCCCTGCAGCCCTGCTACAAGATTAGCGGCAACTAGGCTCTGCCTAGCTCCGAAATCCAACTGGTTAGGAGCAGCCACAAAATGTAGGTCCCCAAAGGCGGCCACAAGTCTCTAGAGAGTTTTCTGTGGGACTTGATTACTGTTTTCAAATACTTAAAAGGCTGTCATTTGGTGAGGGATAGATTTATTCAGTGTGGAGCCAGAGGATAAAATTAAGACCAAAGGTGGACGCTGTAAGAAAGCAGATTCAGGGCTCAAGAAAAAGAACAGTTTTGCTGCTAATGTTATCGGGCAGGGTAATGTACGGCCTTGGTAGGTAGTGAGTTCCCCAGCACTGGAGGTGTTCAAATAGAATTTGGAGAAAGTCTTTTCAGTGTTTGCTGTCTCCCACATGTACTTCTAGGGGATAGGTACTCAGCTTTTCATGTCTGTATGCCGTGCCTGGCACAAACATAGCAAGGACTGGATGGCTGTTGAATGAATTAATGATTCAGTGGGTTACATTAAATGACATTTAAGATCTGTTTCAACAATGATGTGCTGGGGGTTCTGAGTGTTTTCTCACTCTTCAGAGGCCAGGAATGAGACAAAGTTTTGCTGGGAGAGAGCTGGGTCCACATATCGAGCTCACGGGAGGCCAGCATGGGGATAGGGGCAAAGCTGTGGGGCTCCTTTCCTGTGGCTCAAAAGACCAGGCTCGTTTCCAGCAGGATCCAGCCCGCACACAAGGGTTTGGGGCAGAGATCTCTTTCCCTCTCATCTTTGAATAGAACTGCTTACAGCTCTCTGAGAGAACCCCAGGGCTCTGTGAGCCTTCTCAAATGGGGAGTGACAGGGTTGGGGTGGGAGCAGATGGAGTGGGACTTTGGTTCTGTACTCCCTAGTTTGAACAGAGCCACTTTACTTTCATCTGTCTTATATTTTTGGATTCCTTACCATATTTTTTGAAGAAATAATTATACACTAAAAAGTTGAATGTCACAGGCTTGCAGGATTCATTCATTTATTTTTTTTTTTTTGAGACAGAGTCTCACTCTGTCATCTAGTCTGGAGTGCAGTGGTGCGATCTCGGCTCACTGCAACCTCCACCTTCTGGGTTCAAGCTATTCTCCTGCCTCAGCCTCCTGAGTAGCTGGGGCTACAGGCACCCACCACCATGCCTGGCTAATTTTTTGTATTTTAGTAGAGACGGGGTTTCAGCGTGTTGCCCAGGGTGGTCTCGAACTCCTGAGCTCAGGCAATCCGTCCACCTCAGCCTCCCAAAGTGCTAGGATTACAGGCATGAGCCACCGTGCTCAGCCTCATTCATTTATTGAGTACTTACTATGTACTAGACAGTGCTCTAGGCACTGGGGATACAGCAGTGGATCAAACTGACAAAAATCCCTGCTCTCATAAGCTTGTATTCTACTGGGGGAGACAAACAAACAAGAAAGTAAAGTACAGCACATTAGAAAATGATCAGTGATATGTAGAAAAATAAAGCTGGGGGAAGAAATGAGGGTGGTTAGCCAGGTGTGGTGGCTCATGCCTGTAATCCCAGCACTTTGGGAGGCTGAGGTGGGTAGATCACCTGAGGTGAGGAGTTTGAGACCAGCCAGGCCAACATGGCAAAACCTCGTCTCTACTAAAAATATAAAAATTAGCTGGGCATGGTGGTGGGCACCTGTAATCCCAGCTACTCGGGAGGCTGAGGCAGGAGAATTGCTTGAACCCGGGAGGCGGCAGCTGCAGTGAGCCGAGATCGGGCCATTGCACTCCAGCCTGGGTGACACAGCGAGATTCCATCTCAAAAAAACACAAAAACAGAGAAAGAAATGAGGGTAGGGGAAAGGCTGTTGAAATTTTAAGTAAGGTGGTCAGATATAGCCTCACTGCTGTGGGAAGAGCATTCCAAATGGAGGACCAGCTGTGGCAAAGGGCCCAGGATACGAACATGCCCCACTCGTTCAAGGAACAAGGAGGTCTGTGCAGGTGAAGAAGTGGGGTGTGGTAGGCAGCGTCTATAATAGCCCCCAGTGAGCCCTGCCTCCAGAATCCCTGCTATTGTGTAGTCCCTGTTGTTGAGTAAGGGCTGGACCTGGGGATTTGCTTTAAACCAGTAGAATATGCCAAAAATGCTGGGTGCCATTTCTGAGAACCAGTTACTGAAAGACTCTGGCTTCTGTCTTGCTTGCCTTCTCTTGTTGTGTAACTTGCTTGCTCTGCTGCAGGAGGAAGCCACCTGCTGCATCGTGAGCTGCCCCATGGAGACACCCCCATGACAGGGCACTGAGGGAGGCCTGTGGTCGACAGCTAGTGAGCAACTGAGGCCCTTGGTCCAATGGAACTGAGGAACTGAGTCCTGTCAACAACCAGGTAAGGAAGCTTGGAAGTAGATTCAACCTTCAGTTGAGAGGACCACAGTTCCAGCAGACACTTTGACTGCAGCCTTGTGAGAGACTGAGTTGGAGGACCTAGCTAAACCACACCCCACCTCCTACCTGGAAATGGTGAGATAATAAATGTTGTTTTAAGCCATCAAGTGTTGGGGTAATTTGCTATGCAGTCAAAGATAACACCGACACAAGGGGAGACTAGTAAGAGATGAGCTCACAGAGCAAATGGGAGCCAGATCACGTAGGATCTGTTGATTATTAAAGCCCTTTGACATTTCCCTGTTGGAGGTGGGAAGCCCTTGGAGGGCTTAAAGGAGAGAAGGGAGATAGGTCATCCAACTTAAAAACCTATTGCCATAAGCCAGGTGAGAAAAGATGATGGGTTGGACCATGAGCATAATAGTCGAGGGATGGAAGTGGCCCAAATCTGAACATATTTTGAAGTAGAGTCAGTGGGATTTCCTGCTGGATTGGATGTGAGGTGTAACAGAAAGGAGTCAAGAATGACTCCAGGTGTTTCAATGGAGCAGGTAGAAGGATGGAGTCATCATCAAATGAGATAGAGAAGCCTGGGGGAAGATCAGGTTTAGGGGAAAAACTGACATGCTTATATGCTAAGTGAAATATGCCAGTCACAAAAACACACATTCTGTATGAGCCCACTTATATGAGGTCCCTAGTGTAGTTATATTTATAGAAATAGGAAGTAGAATGGTGGTTGCCAGGGGTTTGGGCAAAGGAGGAATGGAGGGGGCTTGTTTATTGGGTAAAGGGTTTGAGCTTTGCAAGATTAAAAGAGTTTTGGACATCTGTTTCACAACAATGCCAATGTACTTGATACTACTGATCTGTACTCTTAAAAATGATCAAGCTGGTAAATTTTATGTTGTATACATTTTTTCCATATTTAAAAAAATTGGCCGGGCGTGGTGGCTCATGCCTATAATTCCAGCACCTTGGGGGCCGAGGCGGGCAGATCACTTGAGGTCAGGGCTTTCAGATCAGCCTGGCCAACATGGAGAAACCTTGTCTCTACTAAAACTACAAAAATTAGCTGGACATGGTGGCGGGCACCTGTAATCCCAGCTACTCGAGAGGCCGAGCAGGAAAATCACTTGAACCCGGGAGGTGGAGATTGCAGTGTTGTGAGATCACGGCACTGCACTCCTGTCTAGGTGACAGAGTGAGAATCCATCTCAAAAAAAAAAAAATTAAGACAAAAGAAAAAGTAAGCAAACACTGGCTTTAAAATAAAATGAAGGCTGGGAGTAGTGGCTTAGGCCTGTAATCCCAGCACTTTGGGAGGCCGAGGCAGGCGGATCACGAGGTCAGGAGATCAAGACCATCCTGGCTAACACAGTGAAACCCTGTCTCCACTAAAAATACAAAAAATTAGCCGGGTGTGGTAGCAGGTGCCTGTAGTCCCAGCTACTCGGGAGGCTGAGGCAGGAGAATGGCGTGAACCCGGGAGGTGGAGCTTGCAGTGAGCCAAGATCGCACCACTGCACTCCAGCCTGGGCAACAGAGCGAGACTCCATCTCAAAAAAAAAAAAAAAAGAAGAAGAAATCCAAGCCAGAGCCCTGGGGTACTCAAGTGGGAAGAGGTCAGGGAGATGGGGAGGAACCAGAAAAGACTGATCATAGGGAGCATCTCATGAGGTAGGGGGAAAACTGGGACAGTATGCTATCTGGAAACCAAGTGAAGAAAGCATTTCAAGGTGACAGTGTTGATCAACTACGACAAATGCTCTCGAGGGGTCCAGAAAGGTAAACATTGGCTTGAACAATGTGGAGGTCATTGGTGACCTTGAGAAGTACAAGCTGAGCATCTCAAATCTGAAAATCTGAAATTCAAAGTTCTCCAAGATCAACAATTTTTGGAGTGCCCACATGATGCTCAAAAAAAAATGCTCATGGGAGAATTTTGAAATTTGCATTTTCAGATTTGGCCTGCTCAACCGGTAAGTAAATTGCAAATATTCAAAAATCAGAAAAAAAATCCAAAATTCGAAACACTTCTGGTCCCAAGCATTTGGGATAAGAGATACTCAGGCTGTATAATCTCAGCAGAATGGTAAGTGTGGCAGCCTGAAAGGGTGGGCTGTGAGAGGTTAGGAGAAGGAAAATTGGAGACAGTGAGTGTAGCTAACTTCCTAGGAGCTTTGTTCTAAAGGTGAGCAGAGGCGTGGAGTCAAGGAGGCTTTTGGTTTTGTTTTGAGATAGGTAAAATAATAGCATATTTGGACGTTGACAGGAATGATACAGGAGGGGAGAAACAGGAATGCTGCAGGAGAGAAAGAGGAAAATTGCTGGAGGGATGTCCTTGAATAGGCAAGAGGGGACGTGATCTAGTGCACACACGCAAGAGAGTACACTCCAACCTCAAAATCCCAAAGGTTCCAGTAATCCCCAACTGCGTAGCCAGATTCTCCCCCTACTCTGTATTTTTGCTCATGGTGCTTCCTCCCCTAGAAACATCCTTCTCTCACTGTGGCACACTGAACTCCTGACCTCAAAAGCCCTGCTAAGTTCTATCTTCCCCTCAAAGTCTTCCCTCATCACCCCACGGAGAAGAAGTTTCTCCCTTACCCCCACTGCCCAGAGTTCTTCATCCATGCCCTCTTGATTTTATTTTCTCCCTTGAATTGCAGTTTCATCTCCATCCTAAATGGAAAGCTACCCAAGTGAATGAGTGGGACCTCATCATCATGGTCATCATCATCATCATCACAGTTGTGCAGAGCTTACTATCTGCCAGCACCATGCGAAGTGCCCTATGCCATTTAATGAAATTGAAGCTTAATTTTACAAAGGAGCAAACAGAAGCTTGGAATAACTTGTCTGAGTCACAGAGACAGAAAGTGATTCATAGAGAGGTCTGTGTAACTCTGGCTGGTGCTAACAGTAGCTTGTTCCTACCTCTGTACTCCCTGCTGTATCTCCCGCTGCTCTGGGCCCGGCACACAGCGATGCTCAAAGTACAGAGAGATCTAGAGAAATACAGCCTGCCCCAGGAGGAACGGCTCCATACATGTGACTGACTCTGCCTGTTATCTGAACCCGTTTTTTGAAGCAGGGAAACAACTAGACACCACAGCCTGGCTTGCTGTGGAGACCGTGGGCCCCAGGGCTCTGCTGTGTGCCAGGTGTGTGCTCCACAGAGGCAGCGAGGAGATGCAGGGACCATCTCTAGGAGAGACCTAGAGACTCCTGGCACCAGCTCCAAGAACTCTCCATGATGAGGAACCACAGCCAGAGAAACACTCTCTGCAGAAAAGGAGGAGAAGCAGGAGGAAAAGGAGGGGGAGGAGGAGAGAGAGAAGACTTGGGAGGGCACAGGAAAGGAAGAAAAGGCGAATGAAGAAAGAAAGAGGAGGGGAAGAAGAAGGACAGGAGAAGAGGGGTGAAAGGAGACCAGGAAAATGAAGAAAAGGGGGAAATGAGTTGGGGAAAGAGCAGGAAAGCAGGGAACAAAGTGGGGGAAAGAGGAAAGGCAATTCCTTGGGACATTTGATTGTGTGCTGCAGGTTGACTATGTCTGTGAACCAGTGGGCTGCTTGAGCTATGCCACGGCTCTATTCTAAAGAGAAGGGGTGCCTGTAATCCCAGCACTTTGGGAGGCTGAGGCAGGTGGATCACTTGAGGTCAGGAGTTCCAGACCAGCCTGACCAACATGGTGAAACCCCATCTCTACTGAAAATACAAAAATTAGCTGGGCGTGTTGGCGCACGTGTATAGTCCTAGCTACTCTGGAGGCTGAGGCAGAAGAATCCCTTGAGCCCAGGAAGCGCAGGTTGCAGTGAGCTGGGATTGCACCACTGCACTCCAGCCTGGGCAACAGAGTGAGACTCTATCTCAAGAAAAAAAAAAAAAAAGAGGTGGGTGACTTTTCTTGGGAAGCAGAAAGGGGCCTTCTCCATTCTGTTCACTCAGTCACACTGCTCAGGCCAACAAGTCAAGAGGAGTCAGGTGCAGAGCCTGGGCCTCTGGCCTATGGAGAGCAAGCTCCTAGTAGGGCTAGCCTTGCACAAACCTTTCTCTACCTCTTGCAGCCCTACTTCATCCAGTATGTGTTCAGCATGGTCTTAACAGCCACTGAGTCAAAATAGTTACCTTTAAAAGTTGTGACAAGGAGGCTGGGCATGGTGGCTCATGCCTGTAATCTCAGTACTTTGGGAGGCTGAGGTGGGAGGATCACTTGAGCCCAGGAATTCAAGACCAGCCTGGGCAACATAGCAAGACCCCATCTCTACAAAAAAACAAAAACAATTAGCCAGATGTGGTGGCACACACCTGTCATCCCAGCTACTTGGGAGTCTGAAGCGGGAGGATGGCTTAAGCCCAGAGTTCGAGGCTGCAGTAAGCCATGATCATGCCACTGCACTTTAGCCTGGGTGACAGAGCAAGACCCTGTCTCAAAAAAAAAAAAAAAAAAAAAAAAAGCCGTGACAAGGTACTATTTTGAAAAACGTGCTCATATGGAACCATCATTTCTCCCTAGGACCTCACTCCAAAAAGCAATGTTTCTTTTGATAAAACTATGTGAGTTTCTCAGGTTCTCCCTTGAGAGCAGCTTTTGGCTGGGGAAACGGCTGCTGGGGCATCAAATTGTGGGGAATGAAAGAATAGCACGGAGGGTGATGCAGAAGGAGCTGGAGTTGTGCCCAGACCACAACTCAGCTCCAAAACCTAACCATTTTGAAGGCCTCCAAGGCCCAAAGGTCAGCTCGGATATGCTCTGTGGACTCCATCAGCACTCCATCAGCACACTCCAGGGCCCAGGTGAGAGGCCTTGGTCTTTGTTCCCGTCCAGTGGTCCCAGAATATGCTGGGACTTCCTGGAACTGAGCGAGCCTCCTGAGCCCCTCCTTAGGACCCTGCCTTCTGAGGCTGTGGGGAGGTGAGATGGGTAAAGCTTGAACCTTGGGCCCATGACTTGGGGCAGTGTAAGGGGCAGGGAACGTCCTAGAGCAGAGCCACTGCCTTCTGCACAGAGGATTTGACTTCAGGCCTGAGTCATTAAGGGACTGCCATGGCTATAAAAAGAAGTTTGGCAGGTTTTTAAAGAGCTAAAATAATTGCCTATGCATGCCAACAGCTCATTAGCTCAAGCCAGATGCTTCAGTGCGGACAGGAAGCCTCGCACCCTGGGCAGGGGGTGCCCTGCGATCTTCTGCCAGCTGGGAAGGGGTGCTACAGCTTGGCCTGCCTGGGCAGCCAGCTCCCCGTCCAGCCAAGAGACGAAGTAGACAGGCGTTTATCAGACAACAGGCACCTCGGCATTGAAATACCTCCAGTTTTCACACTTTCAGCTTCCAACTACCCAGTGGAAAAGCAGAAGAAATACAGACAGGAAGAACCCTGGCTGGAAGTTTTGGTTCTGTTCCCTTAGACAAGAACAAGAGCCTTAGAAAATGGCTTTGTTCGTAGCTGAGGACCATCTCCACGGCGCCCAGGGAGTCTTGTGATTTGCAGACATGCTCACCTTCCTGCCATCCCACCTTTCCATTGTACAGAACTCAGCATTTTTTTTTTAATTAAAAAAATTTTGATTTTAGACTCAGGGTGTGCACATGCATGTTTGTTGTATGGGTATATTGTGTGACGCTGGGGTTTGGGCTTCTAATAATCCTATCATCCCAGTAGGGAATATAGTACCCAATAGATAGTTTTTTCAACCTTTGTCCCACTCTCTCCCTCCTTCCTTTTGGGGTCCAGTGTTTACTATTCCCATCTTTGTGCCTGTGTGTACCCCATGCTTAGCTCCCACTTATAAATGAGAACATGCGATATTTGGTTTTCTGTTCCTGTATTAATTCACTTAGGCCAAGGGCCTCCAGCTGCATCCATGTTGCTGCAAAGGACATGATTTTGTTCTTTTTTATGGTTGTGTAGTATTCCATGGGGCATATGTGCCATATTTTCTTCATCCAATCCACCATTGATGGGCATTTGGGTTGATTTCCATGTCTTTGCTATTGTGAATGGTGCTGCAATAAACATTTGAGTGCAGATGTCTTTTTGGTAGAATGATTTATTTTCCTACAACTAGTAATGGGATTGCTGGGTTGAACTGTAATTCTGTTTTTAGTTCTTTAAGAAATCTCTAAAATGCTTTCCACAGTGGCTGAACTAATTTGCATTCCCACCAACAGTGTATAAGGGTTCCCTTTTCTCTGCAGCCTTGCCAACATCGGTTATTTTTTGACTTTTTAATAATAGCCATTCCTGAGTGGTGTGAGATGATATCTTGTTGTGGTTTTGATTTGCATCACTTTGATGATTAGCAGTGCTGAGCATTTTTTCGTATGTTTGTTGGCCACCTGTATATCTTCTTTTGAGAAGTGTCTGTTCATGTCCTTTGCCCACTTTTCAGTGGGGTTGTTTTTTACTTGTTGAGTTGTTTGGGTTCCTTATAGATTCTAGATAATAGTCCTTTGTCATATGCATAGTGTTTGTAAATATTTTTTCCCATTCTGTAGACTGTCTGTTTACTCTGTTGATAGCTTCTTTTGCTATGCAGAAGCTCTTTAATTAGGTCCCAATTTTCAATATTTTTTGTTGCATTTGCTTTCGAGGACTTAGTCATAAATTCTTTGCTTAGGCCAATGTCTAGAAGGGTATTTCCTAGGTTTTCTCCTAGGATTTTTTATCATTTTAGGGCTTACATTTAAATCTTTAATCCATCCTGAGTTAATTTTTGTATATATTAAGAGATAGGTGTCCACTTTCATTCTTCTGCATATGGTCAGCCAGTTTTCTCAGAACAATTTATTGAATAAAGCGTCCTTTCTCTATTGTTTATTTTTGTTGACTTTGTCAAAGATCACTTGGTTATAGATGTGTGAGTTTATTTTCAGGGTCTCTATTCTGTTCCATTGGTGTATGTGTCTATTTTTGTACCAATAGCATTCTGTTTTGGTTACTGTAGCCTTGTAGTTTAGTTTGAAGTCGGGTGATGTGATGCCTCTGGCTTTTCTTTGCTTATGATTGCCTTGGCTATTTGGGCTCTTTTTGGTTCCATATGAATTTTAGAATAGCATTTTTCTAATTCTGTGAAAAATGACATTGGTAATTTGACAGGAATAGTGTTGAATCAGTAGATTGCTTTGGGCAGTATGGACATTTAACGATATTGATTCTTCCAATCCATGAGTATGTGATGCTTTACCATTTGTATGTGTCAGCTATGATTTCTTTTTTTTTCTTTTTCTTTTTCTTTCTTTTCTTTTTTTTTTTTTTGAGATGATGTTTCACTCTTGTTGCCCAGGTTGGAGTGCAGTGGCATGATCTTGGCTCACTGCAACCTCCGCCCCCTGGGATAAAGTGATTCTCCTGAGTAGCTGGGATTACAGGCACCCACCATCTTGCCTGGATAATTTTTTGTATTTTTAGTAGAGATGGGGTTTCATCATGTTGGCCAGGCTGGTCTCTAACTCCTGACCTCAGGTGATCCACTCACCTCGGCCTCCCAAAGTGCTGGAATTACAGGCATGAGCCACTGCGCCAAGCCCTGTGATTTCTTTCATCAGTGTTTCATAGTTCTCCTTGTAGAGATATTTCACCTCCTTGGTTAGATGTATTCCCAGGTATTTTATTTGTGTGTATGTGTGGCTATTGTAAATGGGATTAGATTCTTAATTTGGTTCTCAGATTGAATGGTATTGATGTATAGAAATGCTTTCAATTTTTGTATGTTGACTTTGTATCTCAAGGCTTTGCTAAAGTTGTTTATCAGATCTAGGAGAATTTTGGCAGAGTCTTTAGGTATAAAATCATATCGTCAGCAAAGAGAGATAATTTGACTTTCTCTTTTCCCATTTGGATGCCTTTTATTTTGTTCTCTTCCCTGATTGCTCAGGCTAGGACTTCCAGTACTATGTTGAATAAGAGCGGTGAAAGTGGACATACTTGTCTTGTTCCAGTTCTCAAGGAAAATGCTTCCAGCCTTTTCTCATTCAGTATGATGCTGGCAGTGGGTCTGTCATAGATGGCTCTTATTATTTTGAGGTATGTTCCTTCAATGCTTAGCTTGTTGAGAGTTTTTATCATGAAGAGATGTTGTATTTTTCGAGGGGAGGGGAGATGGTGTTTCTCTCTGTCATCCAGGCTGAAGTGCAGTGGCACAATCATGGCTCACTGAAGCCTTGACCTCCTGGGTTCAAGCAATCCTCCCACTTCAGCATCCTGAGTAGCTGGGACCATGGGTGTATGCCACCATGCCCGGCTAATTTTTAAATTTTTGGTAGAGATGGGGTCTCACCAGGTGGCCCAGGCTGATCTTGAACTCCCGGGCTCAAGTGATCCTCTCACCTTGGTCTCTCAAAGTGTTGGGATTATAGGAATGAGCCACCACACCTGCCTGGATGTTGGATTTTATCAAAAACTTTTTCTGTGTTTATTGAGATAATCATATGGTTTTTAATTCTGTTTATGTGATGATCCACATTTATTGGTTTGCTTACATTGAACCATCCTTGCATCCCAAGAATAAAGCCCATTTGATCATGGTGAATTAACTTTTTGATGTGCTGCTGGATTTGGTTTGCTAATATTTTGTTGAAAATTTTTGTGTCTATTTCATCAGGGATATTGGCCTGTAGTTTTATTTTTTTGTTGTTGTGTGTTTGACAGATTTTGGTATCAGGATGATACTGGTTTTATAGAATGGGTTAGGGAGAAGTCCCTCATCCTTGATTTTTTGGAATAATTTCAATAGGATTAGTATCAGCTCCTCTTTGTATGTATGGTAGAACTTGGCTGTGAATCCATCTGGTCCAGGTCTTTTTTTTGGTTGGTAGGCTTTTTATTACTGATTCAAATTCGATTACTCCTTATTTGTGTGTTCAGGATTTCTGGGGGTTTTGTTGTTGTTGTTGTTGTTGTTCAATATTGGGAGGTTTCTGTGTTTCCAGGAATTTATCCATTTCCTTTAGATTTTCTAGTTTGTGTGCAAAGAGATGTTCACAGTAGTTTCTGAGGATCTTTTGTATTTCTGTGGGATTGGCTGTGATGTTGCCTTTGTCATGTCTGATTGTGCTTATTTGGATCTTCTCTCTTTTTTCTTTGTTAATCTACTTAGCAGTCTATCTTTAAAAAAAAAAACAACTTTTCATTTTGTTGATCCTTTTTTTGGGTCTCAGTTTCTTTCTTTCTTTCTTTCTTTCTTTCTTTCTTTCTTTCTTTCTTTCTTTCTTTCTTTCTTTCTTTCCTTCTTTCTTTCTTTCTTTTTTTTCTGAGACAGCATCTCACTCTGTCACCCAGGCTGGAGTGCAGTGGTGCAATCTAGGCTCAATGCAACCTCCACCTCCCAGGTCCAAGCGATTTTCCTGCCTCAGCCTCCCAAGGCTGAGGCCCAGCTAATTTTTTTGTATCTTTAGTAGAGATGGGGTTTCACTATGTTGGCCAGGCTGGTCTCGAACTCCTGTCCTCAAGCAATCCGCCCACCTTGGCCTCCCACAGTGCTGGGATTACAGGCGTTAGCCACCGTGCCTGGCTTTGAGTCTCAATTTCATTTCAGGAACTTGGCATTTAAAATCAGAAGGTTTCTTGGCAGGAGATTTTGCTTTGAATCCTGTCTTGCCTGTTTATCAAAAGTGTAACCTTGCAAAGGCCAGTTGGTCTTTCTGAGTCTCAGTTTCCTCATTTCTATATCGGGATTGTTGTGATTTTGTGAGATCACATGTGAAAGTGCCTTATAAATAAGGAATCCAAGACATTGTGGGTGGAGAAATTGCAAAATTAGTGAGTGTCATAACGAGGCCTCATTAAATCTGGCTAATGAGGTCTGGTTTCCAGGACTATTTTATGACTCTCTAGGTCCTCATGGTAGAAATGGAGAAGACATCTTTGGGGCCAATGTCTAGGTCTACTAGGAAGGTAGGCTTGTCCTGTCCCAAGGACAATGAAATATTCAGCCTTAAAAAGGAAAGAAATTCTGACATATGCTACAACATGGATGAACTTTGAGGATATTATGCTAAGTGAAATAAGTCAGTCACAAAAAGACAAATACTATATGAATCCATTTATATGACAGATCTAGAATAGTCAAATTCATGGACACAGAAAGCAAAATGGACTCATAGGAGGGGAAATAAAGAGTTATTGTTTAATGGGTATAGAGTTTCAGTTTTGCAAGATAAAAGAATCTTAGGGATGGATACTGGTGATTGTTGCACAATACCATGAATGTATTTAATGGCACTGAACTGAATACTTTAAAAATGGTTAAGATGGTAAATTTTATGTTGTGTGTATTTTACCACATTTAAAATAATAATAATAAATGAATATTTTTAAATGGCCACCCGAATTTTATAAGCTACTGCCCCACACAATTGGAATCTACTCTTGTACATATGGTATATAATAAAATATCATCTGATAATTTCTTTAAAGGAAAATCAAGATTAAATAAAGACTACTATGTTGGGCATGGTGGCTTGTGCCTGCAGTCCTAGCTACTTGAGAGGCTGAGGCAGGAGGATCACCTGAGCCCATGAGTTTGAGCTCCAGTGAGCTATGATCATGCTGCTGTGCTCCAAGCTGGGTGACAGAGTGAGACACTCTTAAAAAAAAAAAATCAAACATGTAGGAATAAATCTAACAAAAGAGGTATAAGATCTCCTTACTGCAAATTACAAAACATTACTGAGAGAAATTAAAGAAGAGATAGATGTTTTAGTCTGAATATTTGTTCTTTCCAAAATTCATGTTGAAATTGAATCCCTAATACAGCAGTATTGAGAGGTAAGGCCATTAAGATGTGATTGGGTCATGGCAGCTCTGCTCTCAGGAATGGATTAAGCTTTTCATGGATTTATAGGCTAATGGGCTAATGGATTAATGAGTTGTCATGGGAATGGGACTGGTGGCTTTATAAGAAGAGGAAGAGAGACCTGAACTAGTACACACAGCCCCCACTGTGGTATTCTATGCCACCCTGGGACTCTGCAGAGAATCTCCACCAGCAGGAAGGCTCTCATTAGTTGTGATCTCTTGACCTTTGACTTCTCAGCCTCCATAACGATAAGAAATAAATTTATTTTCCTTACAAATTACTGAGTTTCTGATATTCTGTTGTAAGCAACAGAAAACAGACTAAGACAGTAAATATATACCATGGTCAGGGATTGGAAGACTCAGTGCTGTAAAAAGTCAATTCTCTCAAAATTGATCGATAGATTCAATACAATTCCAATAGAAATCCAAGCCAGGTTGTTGTTTTTTTTGGTAGAAATTGACAAGCTGATTCTAAAATCTATGTGGAAATGGAAAGAGCTATGCATAATAAAGACACTCTTGAGGAAAACAAAGTCAGAGGAGTTATATGATCAGCTATCAAGACTTATCTTAAGCTTTGATAATTAAAATTGTATGGAATTGGTACAAAGACAGACATAAAGACCAACAGAACATAACAGGACCCAGAAATAGACCCACATAGACACAGTCACCCGGCTTATGGCAAAGTTATCACTGAAATGTAATGAGATGAGGGTGATCTTTTCAGTAAACGGTGCTAAGGTTAATTAGAAGTCCAAACAAAAAAAAGTAAATTTGGTCTCTAGAACATGCTATACACAACAATCAATTCAGGGTGGACCACAGACATTAATATGAAGAGTAATACAATAAAGCTTCTAGAAGGCAACATGTGAATATTCTCATGATATTAGAGTATGTGAAGATTTTGTAAACAGATCACAATAAAACCCACTTGTCAAAAAGGAATAAAAAACTGTGAAAATTAAGAATTTCCATTCATAAAAAGACACCATGAAAAGAATGAAAAGGCAATATATATTTTTGTATTGCATATATCTGACAAAGGACTCATCTTTAAAATATACAAAACACTTCTATAAATCAATAAGTAAAAGAAAGACAACCTAATGAAAAAGAACTTGGCAAATCAGTATAGGCACTTTACAGGAGAGGGTCTCTAAGTAGCCAGGAAGCATATGAAAAGGTGCTTGATGCAGCTACAGTGTGGAGTTAAGGTTGCCTTCTGGGACTAAAGCGCTCATCTCCCTAGCTTCTGGGAGCCTTCTCCTCCCCTGTGGTCCTCTCTAGGAACTGCCCTTGGCAAAAGAGAACTCTACTACCCAGTCATACTCCTTTCCAAGGACAACCTGCATTCAATGATGGGTCAAAACCACATTCAGTGATTGCTGTGAAGGCTTGGCCCCCTTGCCTCAAGGCAGGACAACTCTGAAGGGTCAGGCCAGCTCCTGAGTTCCCATGGGATCAGCGGAAGCCTATTGCAATGAGACGTCCATCCTGTTGCCTTCTGTCTCTGACAGGTGTCCATCTAAGGGCATTCCCCAATCAACTTCCTCATGCAAACCTCCATCTCAGTCTGTTTCTCAAGGGACCTGACCTGAGACAGTAGTCAACTTCATTAGTTATTGGGAAAATGCAAATTCAAATGACCATGGGTCTAAAATGACTAAAATTGAAAATATTGACAATACTAAGTATTTGGGAGGATGAGAAGTTGTGGGATTGTAAATTGGTACAAGGATTTTGGTAAATTGGCATTATTTACCAGAGTTAAAGGTACAGATACCCTGTGGCCCAGAAATTCCACTCTTGGGTTTATACCAAAATGAAATGTGAGCATATGTTCACCAAAAGACATATATAAAAATGTTCGTAGCAGCATTATTTGTAATAGCCCCAAACTGGAAATAACACAAACATCCATCAACAGCAGAGTGGTTAAATGAATTGGTATATCTATATGATGGAATAAACAAGAACAAATGCCATAATATCAGATGAACCTAAATATTGAAGAAAAGAAACCACACATAGAAGAGTACTGATATGGTTTGGCTCTGTGTCCCCACACAAATCCCACTTCAAATTGTAATCCCCATGTGTTGAGGGAGGGACCTGGTGGGAGATGATTAAATTATGGGGGCAGTTTCCCCCATGCTGTTCTCATGATGTAAGTTCTCACGAGACCTGATGGTTTTAAAAAGTGTTTGGCAGCTCCCCTCTGTGCACTGTCTCTCTCTCCTGCTGCCATATAAGACTTGCCTTCCTTCCCCTTTGCCTTCTTCCATTATTGTAAGTTTCCTGAGGCCTCCCCAGCCATGCAAAACTGTGAGTCAATTAAACCTCTTTTGTTTATAAATTACCCAGTCTCAGGTAGTATCTTTATATCAGTGTGAGAACAGACTAATACAAGTACATACTGTGTGATTCTATTTCTATGAACTACAAAGACAGGCTCAACTAATTTGTGATGATAGAAGTCAGACTAGTGGTTATTTTTAGAGGACTGGTAGTAACCGGGAGGGGCACTAGTGTGCTGGGGTGCTGGTAATTTTCTATATCTTTATTTGGGTGTTCACTTAATAAAAATTCATTGGGCTTTAATGTATATATGTTATGCTTCAACAAAAAAATTAGAGATTCAGCCATAAACAGAAAGGCGCTCTCAAGCCATTAAAAAAAAAAAAGAAGAAGAAGACCCTTAAAGGCACATTACTAAATGAAAGAAGCCACTCTGAAAAAGCTATATACTATACAATTCCAGCTGTATGACATTCTGGTAAAGGCAAAACTATAGAGACAGTAAAAAAGATCAGTGAATTCTGAGGGTTAGGGTGGGAGAGAGAGGGAGAAGGAATAGGTGGAGTACAGAGGGTTTTTAGGGCTGTGAAAGTATTCTGTAGGGTAATGTTGGGTACATGTCTTTTTTTTTTTTTTTTTTGAGACAGAGTCTCACTCTGTCACCTAGGCTGGAGCGTGGTGGCACGATCCTGGCTCGCTGCAACCTCCGCCTCCTGGGTTCAAGTGATTCTCCTGCCTTAGCCTCCCAAGCAGCTGGGATTACAGGTGCTGCCACAGCACCTGGCTAATTTTTGTATTTTTGGTAGAGATGAGGTTTCGCCATGTTGGTCAGGCTGGTCTTGAACTCCTGACCTCAAGTGATCCGCCCACCTTGGCCTCCCAAACTGCTGGGATTACAGGCGTGAGCCACCATGCCTGGTCAAGGGTACATGTCTTTACATTTGTCAAAACCCATAGAATGTACAACCCAAAGAGTGACGATGTTAGTAACAGAGGAAATTAGTGGGGAGGGCGTATAAGAAAACTCTGTACTTTTGGTCTCATTTTTCTGTAAACCTAAAACTGCTAAAAAATAAAGCCTATTCATTAAAAAAATTAGAAGCTGGGTGTGGTAGCTCACACCTGTAATCCCAGTGCTTTGGGAGGCCGAGGCAGCAGGATCACTTGAGCCCAGGAGTTCAAGATCAGTCTGGCCAACATAGTGAGACCCCCTTCTCTATAGGAAAATAAAAAAATTAGCTGGACACAGTGATGCACACCTGTAGTCTCAGCTAATTGGGAGGCCAAGGCAGGAGGATCGCTTGAGCCCAGGAGGTTGAGGCTGCAGTGAGCTATGACTGTGTCACTGCACTCCAGCCTGGGTGATAGAGTGAGATCCTGTCTCAATAAAAGAAGAAGGAAGGAAGGAGGGAGGGAGGGAAGGAAGGAAGGAAGGAAGGAAGGAAGGAAAGAGAGGGAGGGAGGGGACAAAAGGAAGGAGGGACGGAGGGAGGGAAAAAAAAAAGAAAAGAAGAGAGAGAGCATGTGAGAGGCCCAGAGCAGTGAAGCAATCTGCCAGCAGGAGCCGGTGGACCGAGGCATGCATCTGGCTTGCCTCATTCCCATGCCCTGTGATCTTGCTGCCAGTCATTGTTCTGGGTGCCATTCAGGTCTGCACTCCCTGGGGAAGGTGTTTCTATTCTGAACCTTGTCTTTTAATATCTATTCTCAAATTGTTGAAAAATCAGAAAGTAATGTTAATAGAGGGGTTTTATGTTTGTTTTTTGAGACATAGTCTCGCTCTGTTGCCCAGGTTAGAGTGCAGTGATATGATCTCCACTCACTGCAGCCTCGACCACCTGGGCTCAAGCAATCATCTCACCTCAGCCTCTTGAGAGCTGGGACTACAGGGGTATGCCACCACACCTGGCTAATTTTTTATTTTTTGTAGAGACAGGGACTTTCCCATGTTGGCCAGGCTGGTCTCAAACTCATGGGCTCAAGTGATCCTCCCGCCTTGGCCTCTCAAAGAGCAGGGGTTATAGGCATGGGTCACCCTGCTCAATGTACCAGTGGTTGAGGATTGTTCCTCTTTAGGGTGTTTTCATTTGAGCTTCCAGGAATGGTGCCAGAGGAATGGTGGTACTTGTGAGAGAGGGAGGAAGGCTTTTCCGTCTCTGCAGCCCTCTCACTATCCCAGGGCATTCTGAGAGCCTTGCTGACTAAGACATTTTGATATTGAAGTGATCTCTAAATACCAGCCTCCTCTTTCCTTCACCATCGTAGCAAAAGCTCCTGCCCATTGAAGAGAGAAAGGGAAGGAGTGAGGCAGGGGAAGATGTGAGAAGCTATTTTTCGGCTTCAAAATCACAAGATCTTTAGGTAGACATCATCCTGGGTCATAGGAAAATGATTGCACTCATTTCTGAAGTTTGAAACACCCTCAGTTGACAATCAGCCAGGACATAAAGTATCTAACTTTGTACGTGGCACATAAAGAACACTCCATAAATATCAAATTTCCTTTTCTCACTAGGGTGTGGCATGATCTGAGGATCCTAGAGGGGATACAAAGATAAGGCACCATCCTAGCCTTTAAAGAGCTTAGTGACTTAACAATATTCGGCTGTGAATCCAACCCACCGGAACGAAGAAAAAAGCACAAAAATCCCTCCCCACTGAGCCCCAGCCCCTTTGGAAGTGAAAATCAGAGGCATCAGTCTCTGCCTGCTAAGCCTCCTGCCCTTCTCTTTCCATCCCCCAAGTTTAATCTGTTTAATTATTTCTTCATGTGTGCTCTAGAGAGCCTGTTATTTTTATGGGTCTGTGTCTATTAATTTTTCTTCCCTAACCTTCCCTCTTTCAGCGCAACCAGAGCGGTGCAGACAGAGGGCTGGAGTCAGGCTCCAGTGAACAGAGATTACACAGATATATATAGAGATGAGAGGAAGAAGGCAAGAAAATGTGGTTACCTCTGAGGCTGCAGAGAAGCTGTTAAGTGCTGGAGATTTAAAGCTTCGTTCGCCTCTGTACTAACTTCAAGCTGTTCTAAGCCCAGTCTCCCAGATGACAAAACTCAGACCAGCTGCGAGAGAGAGGATATGACTCTCTTGGGAGCCTCAGGTCTGATTTAGAGGGTGCTTAAAGGGACAAGTGGGAAGGAAGGAGTTGAACAATCAGAGTTTTATTTCTGGGGAGACTTTCTGTGCTGAAGAGAAGGCTAAGGACAGAGAGAAAACACTCGGTTATTTGTCACAGTTACAAAGAATAGGCTGAGAATTGGGCCTAAATTAGGGCAGGAAAAAAATCAGGTTTAATCTAAGGAAGAACTCATCTAAAAGAGTGATTAAATAGTAGCAGAACTATCAGAAGATAGAGTGGAATAATTATCTCAGTAAGATTTGGGCCGGGTAGGGTGGCTCACACCTGTAATCCCAGCATTTTGGGAGGCCGAGGTGCGCGGATCACCTGAGATCAGGAGTTTGAGACCAGCCTGGCCAGCATGGTGAAACCCCTTCTCTACTAAACCCCTTCTCTACTAAAAATACAAAAAATTAGCTGGGCATGGTGGTGGGCGCCTGTAATCCCAGCTACCTGGGAGGCTGAGGCAGGAGAATCGCTTGCCTCCTGGAGGCAGAGGTTGCAGTGAGCCAAGATCGCACCATTGCACTCCAGCCTAGGCAACAAGAGTGAAACTCCATCTCAAAAAAAATAAAAATAAAAAATATTTGGATAGTCACCTGTCTAGAAGCAGGAGGCTGGACAAGATGACCTCAGAAAGTCATTTCCCACTGTTTTGTTGGTTTTAAGAGCCGGTAGCCCGGGCACCCTGAAGCATGGCAAATCAGGTTTCCAAATGCAACTGAATTTGGTGAAGGTGGCAGTACCTTTGTAAGATTTTACCTAGCTGGCTCCCCGACTGGAGCAGAAATAACCTTGCGGACCCTGTAGTAGAAAAAGCCTGGATCTGGAAAAGGAGCCACAGAACAAATGCTTTTTTGAGTGGCAGCTGGGAGGGAAGGTGGAAGTTGAGGAGGAGCAAAGAGAAAGAGAATTTCATCTGTGGAGAAACTGGGAGAATTTCAGAGCTTAAACTGAGTATTCATTCTTGCAAGGGTGGTTGGGGTTGATCCTGGGTCTGACTGAATGAACCCCAGCGGCAGGGTTCGGGAATATGAGGGGGAGTTTGAGCTGACTGCTGCTGAGGAGGTGTTGTGTTCATCCTCAAGTCAGTGGCAAAAGCTTTCTGTAATGAGGGGTTCTCTGGGACAGCTTTGGAGCTGGTTAGCACTCAGGCTTAAGGACCTACGGATAGAAGATGACTTTGTTTCTCTTCCAAAGGTGTGTGATTGGGCAAAACAGAGAAATACTACATTTTCCTGTAAAAAGCGTCTGGGATGGAACTGCTACAGGGAGCAACTGGGCATGTGCCCAGCAGCCTGTGCAGTCTTGGGCCTGCTTCCTAGGCTGGAGCTGTGCTAGTGGCCTGCATGCATCGTGGGACTTTCTTAGACGGGCTTTGCCTTAGCAACAGGAAAGTTTGAATCTTGTTCTAGGGTTTTATCATCTCCAAAAGCCGTCCTCAAAATCTACCCTGTTCCCCTTTCATCTGGGACTTTCCCCCTTCAGTGTTTTGCCTTCCCAACCAAGGGGTGGCTGAGAGTCAATGAAAAAAAATTATTATGGCTGAGTGCAGTGCTGCACACCTATAATCCCAGCACTTTGGGAGGCCAAGGCAGGGAGATCGCTTGAGCGCAGGAGTTTGAGACCAGCTTGGGCAACATGGTGAAACTCCGTTTCCACAAAAACCACAAAAAAATTAGCCAGGTGTGGTGGCACTTGCTTGTAGTCCTAGCTACTCGGGAGGCTGAAGTGGGAGGATCATTTGAGCCCAGGAGGTGGAGGCTGCATTGAGCCAAGACTGCACCACTGCACTCCAGCCTGGGCAGCCAAGTGAGACCCTGTTCCCCCTGCCACCACCCCCACTCCAAAAAAAGAAAAAAATATTTATTGAACCCACTATTCACTAGGAAGCACAGAGTCCTTCATGTCACCCCCTTATGCCTCAGCTGCCAGAAAAACAAAGGCCAAATTTGTTGCTAAAATATCAGAAGCAGAACATCCTCAGTGCCTGAAACCATCAATTTCTTCTGATTCCTTCAGATGGATTCCATTTAAACTGCTCCTGAACTGTATCCTTCTTTGGTGGCACCTTGAGTCATCTTGAAAATAAATTGAGCATAAGAGTAAATCAATTACGCATTAACTTTCATGCTCTGGACAATGCTAGGCAAGTAGATGGGGTCCGAAGAGCATTGTCTCTGCATCATCCTTTCAATAAACACAAGACGGAAGACCAGATGCACACAAAGGTGAGAGCTGCATCTCAAAGTGGTTCAGCCCTACGTGGTAAGAGCTAGAATTGAATGTAAAGATAACTCACTCTTTACCCTTCTACCGTCCTTTCAATCAGAGCTTGTCCTTGGGCTTAACTAGAATTTCCTGCTGCAAGTTAGAATTTCTCTTCTCTTAGTCATTTTACAAAGGGGGATGTTGTAGTCCAGAGAGGAAAAGTGATTAGCCCAAAGTCACAGAGCAAATCCCTGGATGAAAAGTGCCAAAATCGTACAGAACACTAGCATTTCAGAGAAGGAAGAGAGCCCTTTTGCACAAGATAAGGGGATCTGGCACCCTCAGTTCCTCTCCAGGGTCTGTAACAGAGAACTATTGAATAATGGAAAGCTTCAAGGTTCCCAAGGAATCTAACAGTGGGGTTCAGAAGAGGGCAGATTTTTTATTTGAGAAAGGAAGGCATCCCTAGAACCCCTAAAATTGCCTGATTGTGTGTGAGGCTGGCCTGAGTCTAGTCTGTAGTTCTGAGCACTTTTCTCATAAGAATGGAAGCTTCTAGGGC